>NC_000014.9:55672319-55975349 GCF_000001405.40 Homo sapiens
TGTGCAGAATTTACAGTTGCTGATGGTACTCTAATGCACTTGCAGAATAAATACAGCTGAATATCAGTTAATACTAATAAAAAATTAATCACTTTTAGCCGAGCCTAATATACAAATGGAGTAGGTTTGGACCACAATTTAAATCAAGTTCAATGTGACTCATTTTTAAGGTCTTTTAAAATTCATCTCTTTTAAATGAGATGCATTTCAAAACCTTGGAAGTGTCTTTTAATTGATCAGAATTCTACAGGATAGAAACTGCTATATCCTTGGTGGTTTTACTTGGCCATGTAATTGTTTCACATTTCAGATGCAGTCATCATTTACATCTTCAGAACAAGAGCTAGAGCGATTAAGAAGCGAAAATAAGGATATTGAAAATGTATGTTATTTGATTGTTTTACTTGTAACCTATGGATTTGTTTTTAGCATTAACGGTTGTCTGAAGATCTATAGTTTAAGATTACTTTATAGTTATGCTCTTAATATCTTGGGTAGTGTTTGAGTTGATATAGTTTTATATTCATAAGTGTCATAATTTTGTCTTGTGGGGAAATATTATGAAAGGAAATTTTAAGTGTGTTAACTTTTCCTTTGTTGCATTGCTAGCTGAGAAGAGAACGAGAACATTTGGAAATGGAACTAGAAAAGGCAGAGATGGAACGATCTACCTATGTTACAGAAGTCAGAGAGGTACTTACAACAGAATCTTTTCAAACTTGCTTCTCAATTCAGATTAAGTTTATAACAGTGATATTTCAGTATAAGTTGTTTGTGGCAGAGCTTCCGAGTAGCATACAAAACATGGGCTATCATAAGGAGATCAATCTTAAACTCTAAACTTCATTGCAGCTGAAAGATCTGTTGACTGAATTGCAGAAAAAACTTGATGATTCATATTCTGAAGCAGTAAGACAGAATGAAGAGCTAAATTTGGTAAGAAGCTTGTCCTCCACTGGGTATCAAGTAGGCACTGAAAACACTTTATTGACATGTGGAGAAACCATCCAGGCTTTTTTTTCTTTGCTAACATCTTTAGCTTGGCCTTTTTGTAAGTCTAAGATAATCTTCATATTCCGATGATTCCTAAGATTATCTTTCTTTTCTTGACTCCTAAAATGATCCTTCTTTTCTTAGCTCCTAACAATGGCATGTTTGGCTTCCAACTCTTTTTCAAAATTTTCCATGTTTTATAAATCCTATTTTCTCAAACAGCAGTCTTTTCTGTGAATAAAGAAATGAAATAAAGATTGGCTGAGTTACGAAGATTTTCTTCTCAGACTATCATAGTTAATGGGGCCTTTTATTTTCTAACCTGGGAGAAGATTATATTGAAAGTCAAAGACACATATTCTTCATTCAAGGGCAGTAATCTAATCCAGTTTCTAATTTTAACCTAGTCTCTCTATATATTACAAATATTAAAAAGCGTATAAGAGTCTTTATTATCAACATATTATTTAGAGTATAGTAATCCTAAAAGCATAGGCTTTGAGATAAAGTTAGCTAAATGTCTTAAAACATATAATACCCTGTATTCCTATTCTCAAGTTTTCTAAAAACTGTACTGATTGTGACAGACTTAGCTATTAGACAAATATGGCTGTCTTGCTCTCTGTTTCAAACAGCAATTGTTATGTCTTCCTTGTGAGTTAAAAATTGTTACAGCACAGGGATTAGATTTTTTTTTTTTAAGTACCTTAATAAACTCTCAGAAGATTACAGTAGTAAGTTTTTTCCTTACCCAAAGTTCACCCTGCCCAGTTTGGAATTTTCTTGTTAGCATTACTCCATGTACCAAGAAAACTTTAACTCATTCATTTGTGGTTGGTATCCTATGTTATGGCAAACATTTATGGGAATCAATTTTTAGAGTAGAGCGGTATGAAATACAGGTTGCGTATTCTTTATCTGGAATGCTTGGAACCAGCAATTTTGGGGGGGGATTTTGGATTATTTGTATTATATGCTTGCTCTGTATGTGTCCCTTATCTGAAAATCCGAAATCTGAAATGCTCCAGTGAACATTTCCTTTGAGTGTCATGTCAGTGCTTAAAAAGTTTAGGATTTTGGAGCATTTCAAAGTTCAGATTTTCAGATTAGGGATGTTCATACACACAGAGCCCTACACACACAGAGCCCTACACCTCTAATTTTTAAATCTTTGTTTTATGTACCAATGTTTTACTTTAACTGAACTCATTCACCCTGCATTGTGAGACTGGTTCTATGCTATGCATTGCACAGATTAGGACTGTGATATGTCATGGCTATAAGTCCTCACTCTATGTTTTTAAAAAATCATTTCTAACTAGTTGTTAGAGTTTTACTTATTAACTTTGGTGCTTAGTGGCTGACTCAACAGTTACATGGTTACATCTCCACTTGGCTTAATGCTTTATTTTGATTTTTTATCCCTCTACTTCTGTCAGGAGATCATTTTTAGTGGTTGATACTTACTTTTTTTCCCTAGTCTTGAGTTTGGGATCTTTATTTTAATGTTTGTTTGCTCAGAATAACTGCTGCTACTTTTTATGATAAAATAGCTTTGTTTGCCTGTACGTGCTTTGTGTATTCTTGGGCCAAAAGATTAATTTCTCTGATGGAGAATATTAAAACTCAAAGTTGTGTAAAGGACCAGAATTTATTTGGGTACTTACATAGAATTCCTCAGATAAAATTTCCAAGTGGAATTTCCCTCCGCCCCACTGCCACCCCTTTTTAATTCTCCCTCCAATTTTAAATGTCACTGCCTTGTCTTTCCCCCTTTGGGCCTCTAGAACTGTTTCAAAAGTGCCCATGGGTGGGAAGCAAAAACAATTACCTTATGAGAATAAGAAGAAAGTTTTTTGGGAGCAGTATAGTTCATTTTCCTTGCTCATATTTAATTGGAAAATCAGAGAAGCGGCATTATATATTCGCATTGGAGTTACAGAACTTTCTGTTTTGACAGATTGGGTTATTCATAGGTATATCGTAAAGCATTTCTTGATGGTATAATACAGGCCAGTGTGGTCTTGTACTACCCCTTAGTGAAGCCTTAAACGATGGTCAGTATTTTGGGAGTTTTAATTTGACTGGATTTGTAGTCTTCTATTCAGTGTTTTTAAAAATATTGTATAATTGACTCTTTAATTGAACTGTATAGATTAAGAAAGCCTTTAAAAACTAACGGGTAAAGTATCTATTTGGCTTTTAATTTGAAATAATTTCAGTGACTGTTATAAATAGTGATATCTTTAAAAGGTACTTTACTGGAATTTGATGGTTTTGTTTTTGCATTTGCAGTTTTCTACTCTAAACTGTAGTTCATTTCTGTGGCTTTTCTTATGTTTAGCTTTACAGATGGGAACCTCTACTGCTTAGCCTTTCTATACATCTGGTGCAGCATATTGGCTAATCCACTGTACATAATAACTGTTAGCAGTCCCATTCATTCTTCAGTCCTAGAGGTATCAGCATAATCAAAGAATGATGCAAATTAAGTTAATTGTGGTGTTCCTTTATTTTTACAGTTGAAGGCACAGTTAAATGAAACACTCACAAAACTTAGAACTGAACAAAATGAAAGACAGAAGGTAGCTGGTGATTTGCATAAGGTAGGCACTGTTCGTCCTAGAGATGTAGTATCATGAGCCTGTGTTGTGTGTTCAATCTTAAGCAAACTTATGCTGCTAATTCTGGATTTGTTGTTTTGCATCATAATATTAACCTTTTATAAATTTAAGCTGCTTGTTATTAGTTAGTATTTTGGAATGAAACGTTTTGGCTTGTTTTTCCAGGATTCTTAATTCACCTCATTATTTCCTCACATTTCTATAATTAATTGCTTTATAAAGTACAGAGTAAAATTTAGTTGGAGTTATTAAAATTTGGCTGCATCCATATATTTTTTAAAATTGGGATTTGGCTGTGTATTCATTTACAAAGTATGTTTCTCTTGGTCTTTTGGATAAAACAAAGATATAAATTTCTATTTTTTTTAGATGTTTTTCCTTCATTTATTTCTTCATACAAATATATTTTTCCTAATCTCAATGCAAATGAATGATTTTTAGGACTGCATTTCTTTGCATTGGTTTGACAGGTTATTTGTAATTCTGTTTTGAGATCTATTTTTAATAGTAGAATTCACATATTCTTATATCAAAGCTGTTTTAGAGCTATGATAGTGTTTATGGATATATCATCATTAGCAAAACAAGTGTCACTTTTTGGAATTGCAAGAACAAGAGGTACGCACTTAAATTTTGATAGTATAAAATGGAATCCCAGAAACCCAACAGTAGTAATTTATACTCCTCTCAACATGGTATGAGAACATGTATTTCCCTATACCCTCACCAATATTAGATACTGTCTAACATTTAAATATTTGATATTCTAATAGATTTTAAAAGTTATCTCATTTTAAAAAATAATACTCCTTTTAAAGAGTTGAAAGAAATTTTTTTTTGATTCTATATGCTTATAGTTTATAATTGTTATGTAAAAGTCTAGGAATCCACAAGTGTTGTCAGGTTATTTTAGTGTAGACAGAATGTGAATTTGGGTCTGTTTTAGAGGACAAACTTTGATGCTTAATACACTGTTGTGGTTGAGCAGTCAGTTTACTTTGATACGTGATTTTAATTTTTGACCTCTGGATCAAAATATAAACATGGAATTTAGCCTAGCAATGTAGTTTCTTAGAAAGTACTTTAAAAATACCAAACTGGTGCTCAAAGTTATATAATAGATATACCATCTTATTTACAGTAGCTAAGATGGCAATGATAGGTGACAGTTAACTGCCCCATACCTATACAGTAGAAATATTGTGCAACATTTGATTGGAAAAGCACATAAATATTTGACTAAAAAAAGTTTATAACGGCTGGGCATGGTGGCTCACGCCTGTAATCCCAGTACTTTGGGAGGCCAAGGTGGGCGGATCACCTGAGGTCAGGAGTTCAAGACCAGCCTGGCCAACATGGTGAAACCCCCGTCTCTACTAAAAATACAAAAATTAGCCGGGTGTGGTGGTGCGCACCTGCAGTCTCAGCTACTCAGGAGGCTGAGGCAGAAGAATTGCTTGAATCCGGGAGGCAGAGGTTGCAGTGAGCCGAGATTACGCTACTGCACTCTAGCCTGGGTGACAGAGAAAGACTGTCTAAAAAAAAAAAAAAAAAAAAAAGTTAATAACATACTTTGTAAAATAGGTAAGTATAAAGCAGTATGTATGTTAAAGCTCACTTATGTAATATTTTCTATAAGCACATAATATGTAGAGAGGGATCTAAACTAGGGGTGGACAAATCCCAAAGCTTTTTTAGGGTTTGTGGGTCACATATGATCTCTTTAGAATATTTTTGTCTCCTTTTTAACATAACCCTTTATTTTATTATATATTTTTTGAGATGGAGTTTTGCTCTTATTGCCCAGGCTGGAGTGCAATGGCACCATCTTGGCTCACTGCAACCTCCGCCTCCCAGGTTCAGTTGATTCTCCTTCCTCAGCCTCCCTAGTAGCTGGGATTACAGGCATGTGCCACCACACCTGGCTAATTTTGTATTTTTAGTAGAGATGGGGTTTCTCCATGTTGGTCAGGCTGGTCTCGAACTCCCGACCTCAGGTGATCCGCCCGCCTTGGCCTCCCAAAGTGCTAGGATTACAGGCGTGAGCCACCGCGCCCAGCAACATGGCCCTTTAAAAAGTAAAAAATATTCTTAGCTTGTATTCTGTACAAAAACAGGCTTTGGGCCAGATTTGACTAACCTGTAATCTAGACTAATACTAACCTAAATATCAACTATGGTTATTTCTGTTTTTAAATTTCTTTGTATAGTTTCTGCATTACTTAAGCTTTTAAAAACAGTGAACATATGTTCTTATAATCTGGTGGGGGGTGAAGCTATTTTCATTTTGGAGGGAAAAACCTGTGTCGTCTTTTGAGAGGAGCTTTTATCTTCTACAAAATGAATAAAATTATTCATTTTTTATGTATTTATCAACTGTATTACTTAGTAGCTACCATATTGTTTTCCTTATAGGCTCAACAGTCACTGGAGCTTATCCAGTCAAAAATAGTAAAAGCTGCTGGAGACACTACTGTTATTGAAAATAGTGATGTTTCCCCAGAAACGGTATGTATTTTCTTCATCCCCAGATCTCTGAGCTAGTTACCTTGTGACCTGTGTAAAGAACAAAAATGTATAAGGTCCATCTCCGAAAGTCATCTTTCTTGAAAATATCCTGTCCCTAAAATGTAGTGTTTTCATTGATGTTTGATCTCATTTTTGCTTATTGAGGTATGTTAATTTTAAGGGTTGTGTTGAGAGGTATGGAGCGGGGGTCCCCAATTCCTGGACTGTGGACAGGTACCAGTCAATGGCTTTTTAGGAACCAGGCCACACAGCAGGAGATGAGTGGTGGGTGAATGACCATTGCCGCCTGAGCTCTGCCTCCTGTCAGATCAGTGGCAGCATTAGATTCTCATAGGAGTGCAAACCCTATTGTGAACTGCATGCTCCTTATGAGAATCTAATGCCTGATGATCTGAGGTGGAACAGTTTCATCCTGAAACCATCCCCGCACTCACCCATCTGTGGAAAAATTGTCTTCCACAAAACTGGTCCCTGGTGCCAAAACGGTTGGGTATTGCTGGCCTAGAGTATAGACTCTGGAGCTAGACTGCCTATGTTTGAATCCTGGCTCTGCCACTTAGTAGCCATGTGAATTTGGGCAGATCTTTAGCCACTTTGTGCTTTAGTTGCCCCATCTGTAAAAGGCAATGATAATAGTACCTATCCTGTAGGGTTTTTGAAAGAAGTAAATGAGTTAATACATAAAACACTTAAAATAGTAGGTGGTACTTACAACAGTGCCTGGCACTTACTTACTAAGAGCTCAGTATATGTTAACTTTTTTTACTGTTTGGAATGTACTTTCTTTTGCGGGGCAAATTTTCTTTTTCTGAAAGAAAAAATGGATATATTTCTGATATTCATAGATTCTAGATTTTTTTTCCTTTTGTGTCCAAGTGACAACATTTATAACATAGTTTTCTTTGGTGCCAACTAGTTTGCACCACTAGTTAGCAAACAGTATTTCTCTATGTGGTTTTTGTTATTGTTGATTTTCATGTCATTGTTCAGATTTTTTAATGTTTGTGTTTAAATCAGCAATATAACATTTTCTGTTGTTTGGTTTTACATTTCTTTTCCTTGTGTATGGAGTTTATCATCACTTCCATCTTCTTTTTAGGAGTCTTCTGAGAAGGAGACAATGTCTGTAAGTCTAAATCAGACTGTAACACAGTTACAGCAGTTGCTTCAGGCGGTAAACCAACAGCTCACAAAGGAGAAAGAGCACTACCAGGTGTTAGGTAAGGACAACTGAAATATTGCTGTCTATGGGTAATTGATGTTATGTGTCTGTGTAATGTGTATTTACATAAATAAACTCACTTCACTAGAGGAAATATTCCTTCTTTATCTCTCAGAACTTCCAGATGACAGCCTTAAGCTTTCTTGGAGCTTTAGTTCTATTTTGTGCATATCTTGAAGGTCTTGTAGCTTGGAGGGGTTATCTGTGCCTCCTTTGACCTTTGTATCAAACAGACTCTCTTGTAACTTGGCTGCCTGGGTTTTTGTGTGTTGCCTTAATACCTGCAACGGCTTCGTTAATTTATTCTGTTCTTAGTTTAGAGTAAGTATCTGTGACCTTTTCTCCCCCCTCCCTTCCTTCCTCCTTTCCTCCCTCCCAAAATAAAATGACCATAACATTTTAACTGAGGTAAGGTTGCTAAACTGGAAGTAAGGTCATCACAGTGTCTTAAAATTGAAAGCTGGTTTTTATTCAAGTTTGCTTTTGTTAGGTAATCTAAGAAATTCGTTCATTAGCTCCTGAAGTGAGATTTTTACTTGAGGATAGCTAAACCCATAATTAACCAAGTCATGTTATGAGCTTTTATTGTCTATATTACCTTGGAAGGCTCAGATTTGGTAGCATTTTAAAATGACTTGTATTCCAGCCGGTGAATGCAGTTTTTGTTTTTCTGGTTGTAGGGTTTTTTTTTTTTTTTCTGTTGCTACCTGGATTTTACCTGTTTTATGAATAACTTAAGTCACACTGCCTAGAGTGTAATTAGAGTATTCAGATATGCACTGAATACTTCAGATATTCTTCTTTTGAAGATATTTTCTCTAAAACAATCATGATATCCTGGAGACCCTGAGGGGCAACTCATCACTGAATTATCCCTTTCAGAACCCCTGATAATACTGTGTTGGGCTATACAAGGCCTCAGGGAGAGCTTAGGTATCCTGGAAAAGTTGGGATGGACTTCCATTTTGATCTTACAGGAGCGTTTTGTCTCACTTTAGAGTGATCATCCTCTGGCCTACCTTGACACATGCTCTCCTTCAAAATGCTAATTCAGGTCAGTTATCTCTAACATGACTTTCCATATAATAAGCCCAGCTCATTCTTCAACATATCAACAAAAGTAATTAAGCCTCAGCTCAAATCTTTTATCCTTGGTAAGCTGACTTCTCCAGTTTCCCAATGTAAAAATTCTGCCACATTTCCTCGCTTTTCCAAATTAGGAAATAACCTTGCTTCCTAGGGAAACTTCCATCGCTTCTTCCCAGGACTTCAGCCTTATTCTTTCCACTGGCTCCCTCTGTTCAGTCTTGAAAACATGCTCAGATGGCTTATTTTAACCTTGTACTTCCTTCAGGTTACCACCCTTATTTTTTTACTTTTTTACTATTTAGTATTCTTAAGAAAATACTCTCTATCTACTTATTTATTGTTATTGATTACTTTATACACTCTAGAATGGCTTTTCTTCCTGCTATTTCAATGAAATCATTTTTGCAAAAATCATTAATGATCCCTAATTGCTAGATCCAATATAGGCCCTTCTTTTGCATGTGATCAGATACTGAAAGTACTTAATGAAATATGTCAAAAATGCTGACATTAGACCTTTGTCTTATAAGGGAAGGGTTTCATTTCTAGAGAGCTTAAACAATTAAAAGATTGCCTATTACCCCTTGCCTTTCGACCTAAGCGATATTCTCTCTTTAGCATCTCATAGATGTTCTTTAATATTTTCCTTTTCTTCCTAAATACATAGTCTGCTCATTTTAAGTCTTGTGAACTATTTTTGGCTTGTCCATTGCCACATTTGTTTTAATTGTATTACACTTGAGACATATGAATCATTGATAATAACACTTTTTCTTTTTGATTTGCAGAATTATAGTAATTTATTAAAATATGTCTGTATACCCTCACAACGCAGTTGGCAGGCAGCTCCCCTCCTAACTGATAGCACAACATTCTTTTGTCAGCTGATAAACATAAGTCCAAGTTTGGCAAGTGGGTGGTTGACAGTATTATATCATGAATGATAGGCTGGATTGTTATGAAAATAGAGGCCCACCAGGCACTCTCGAACTTCTTCATTCCTTAGGCTCTACCTGGCATTGACATTGATAATTCTTCCTTGTGTACTTATGTTTTGGTTCCCGTAGCTCTTCTTTATACCCGTTAAATGTTTGTGTTACCCTCAGGTTTTTATCCTTAGCTATCATTTTTGCTACATATATTCTCCCTCCTGTATACTCTATTTAAACTGACACGAGATGATTACATTGAAAATACACATTTCTCAATCATTAGAATGTAGGTAATAGCTTAATATATCTAATGTCAAGAAACCTTTAAAAATATACACAAGTACTTATGAATTGTTTATGATAATGCTGCACATATTCAATAAAGGGAGAGTTGTTTTTAAAAACAAATATGCAAGAAATAATATGCATTGATGTAGTTTTTCTAAATCCTGATACATAGTACTTAGCGTTTCTTAGAGCTGTAGGGGTAGGTGTATTTAACTGATATCTTTAATTTGTGAAAACTTTTCTTTTGGAAATTTTTTTCCCCATTACCTATTTTTCCTCCCCCCATCAAAAAAAGAAAAGGGTACCATCCTCCGCTTTCCATTTGTGGGGAGTGGGAGATTGATTAAGATGCCTTTTATATGAATTGACAGTATTGGCATTTTATAATATACTTTTTTGTTCCCAGATATCTACTCTTTATGTTTCACATTTGCCTGGTTTCTAAGTTTTCTAGGTGTATTTCTAACCAAATCAGAAAACTTTATTATCCCAGGTTACCTTATCTTGGAACCAGTTTATAGAATCCTGTTGAGGGAGGATGATAATTTAAATAGCTGATACTTCATGAGTATGCCTGTTAGCATAAGCATGCTTCCAACATGTGGCAACTCCTTTAATCTTCACAACCACCCTGTGTGTTAGGTAGGTAGGTATTATTATTACCATGTTACAACAGACCCAAAGAGATTCTATAACTTGTCCAAGGTCATACGGCTAATAAATGGGCGAGCTGGGGTTTAAATCAAGGTAATTTGGGTACAGGGCTTGTGTTCTTAATCAGTGCTTTTCTTCTCCCTAATTCAGGCACTGTGTTCACTGATCCCTTTTGTCACTGTTTTCTTTTCTCCTCATTTTGTCTTTTTATTTTTTTTTGGCCAGCCTCTTAGAAGTTTTGTCAATCAATTCTGACTTTTTCCTAAAGTTGATATTTGGTTTGTCAGTAGCGTATTGGAGAGGCTTACAGTAGTATCCAGAAGAAATGGAGGTGAAGCTCTGTGTGTACTCTCTGTACTCCCTTTAACAAATAGATTCTTAAGTGTTTCTGAAAGAAAAAGTCCTTTTGTAGGGCTCCTGAAGTACAAGAGTTAATGCTCTGGAGAAAAACTTATCTTATTTCTACACTGAACCTTAGCTATCATATGGATCAGGTTTTCATTTTCTGTGTTTACATAGCACTTTAGAGTTTAATGTACTAGTGATCTTTTTAGACTTTCCGATCAACTGTTAATAGCCAGTGATAACTTTGCTTTTTAATTTTCCAATTGCTTCTTTCCTCTAAACTTTTTATTTCAACACATAAAGTTGAAAGAATAGTACAACACCCGTAAACCCTCCACCTGCTTCATCTCTTTCTATATGTCTACATATTTTGTTGTTAAACTAATTGAAAGTAACTTTTAGTCATTATGACATTTTATCTCTAAGTACTTTAGCACACATCTCCGAAAACAAGACATTGTTTTACCAATCAGTGGTACCATTATTACAACCAAAAAGACAAAATAGTAGTTATGTACTATCCAATATTAAACGTTTATTCACATTTTGTCAATTGTACCCAAAATAGCTTTTTAACTATTTTCCCCAAACCAGAATCCAAGGCAAAATTTAACATGTTGTGTTTTGTTAAGTCCTCTTAGTCTCTCTAATGGCTTTTGAAGTTTAATTTCTTTAGTCATCTTATCTGACTTAGAAAACTTCATATGACCTAAAAAAAAAAAAAAAAATCTATTTCTGCTCTTTTAAATTATTTATTCACTGGGGTAAGGTTGTATTCAACCCCTTTTCAGTGCTACTCACTCACTTTAGCTTTACATTCTCTTGAGTAGGACTAATAAAAATGGATTACCAGTGTTGTTGTTTTAAATGTTTTCTAACAGAATTTGGCTCACATTTAAAAGTATCTACCTAAAAGCTTGTTTCCTTTGAATCCTGAGATTTTTCTCAGTTTGATTACCATTAGTGTGAATTGCTTTGAGTCTATTTGAAAGGGCCATGCTAGATCAAATGGAATATGTACTTTTGGTGTTTGACAAATGTCTTCTGATTGCCTTCTGTTGCTTTGTTTTAAAGTGAAATTCATTCTTTCTGATCTTTTACAGAGTGAAGTAATTGGGAAACTGTTCATTTGAGGATAAAAAAGGCATTGTATTATATTTTGCCAAATTAAAGCCTTATTTATGTTTTCACCCTTTCTACTTTGTCAGAAACACTGAACAGAGTTTTGTCTTTTCTAATCCTTGTTAGACTACTGATTTAAAGAAGGAAAAAAAAAAGCCAACTCTGTAGACACCTTCAGAGTTTAGTTTTATAATAAAAACTGTTTGAATAATTAGACCTTTACATTCCTGAAGATAAACATGTAATCTTTTATCTTATTTTGCTCAATAAAATTGTTCAGAAGATCAAAGTGGTAAAGACAATGTAAAATTTAACATTTTAATACTGATGTTGTACACTGTTTTACTTAACATTTTGGGAAGTAACTGCCTCTGACTTCAACTCAAGAAAACACTTTTTTGTTGCTAATGTAATCGGTTTTTGTAATGGCGTCAGCAAATAAAAGGATGCTTATTATTCAAACTTGACTTGTTCTAATTTTTATTGAGCTTTAACAGATTTCATTAGTAGTACAGATCATTGTAATTTAGAATACAGCTATTAATTGGCAACCATTCAACAAGATAGGTTTATGTAGCCTCTGTAACCTTTCTAACTGATGCTCTGGGTCCTCTTCAGTTTGGTCCAATGTAAAGTGCCCCAGGAGTGCTGGGGTTTCAGAAAGGACAGAGCAAGCATTTAGGATTTCAGACTAAACACCCACACTTCAGGTAGAGGAGCTCTATTTTTACCATTACTATTTTTTTTTGAAGTAATAATAATTAACTGTTAGTTTTCTTTTTCAGGCACGGTTACACAGTTTACATGTGTTATCTTTTTTGTTGTTGTTGTTGTTGTTACTGTTTTTTTGATACAGAGTCTCACTCTGTTGTCCACGCAGGAGTGCATTGGCACTATCTGGGCTTACTGCAACCTCCACCTCCCGGTTCAAGCAATTCTCATGTAGCTGGGATTACAGGCGCCTGCCGCCATGCCTGGCTAATTTTTGTATTTTTAGTAGAAAGAGTTTTTCACCTTGTTGGCCAGGCTGGTCTCGAACTGCTGACCTCAAGTGATCCACCCATCCCAAAGTGCTCGGATTACCGGTGTGAGCCACTGTGCCCAGCCAATGAAAGTTTTTTTAATAATTTGTTAAAAACACTTCAGATGCTAAATAACCACTGAGAAATATCTTGTGCCATTGAGTACTAAAGTACCCATTAGGCTGCACTGTGGTCATCTTGTTATTTTTGTGCACATAACAGTCATGCTTCTGTCATGGGGCCTCTGCATTTTCTGTTCTCTGGGCTTGGAACTCTCCTCTGGTGTGTCAGCTTTGGCTTGCTCCTTCACTATGTTGAAATCTGCTTAAATGTCACCCTTCTAATTAAGTCTTTCCTGACTGTCCGCTATCCTTCTGCCCTCCCTATTCTGCCTTATTGTCTGTCATACTTGATTTCTACTCTCCTTGTTCCCACCAGTAAGTAAGCTCCACAAGGACAAGAAACATCTCTTTGGTTCTTTGCTGTATCTGTAGCCTGAGACAGTGCCTGATACTTCATTGTGCTCAACTATTTAAATGAGTGAATGGATAAAATTCATTTTTGGAGGTTGAAGATTATCTAAAGTGGTGCTTCCTTACCTTTTCACTTCACTGCACATATAGTATTTCTAAGGCATATAGAAATCAACTGAAGTGACTTCTTATGGCCAGTGAGGACTGGTGTGGGGATTCAAGCTACCTTTTTCTACCTTTGCTGCTTTCAGCAAATCCTTGGGAAATTGATCTGAAGGCCAGATACTACATCATCAGCCTCTTTCCTTTGTCCTTTCCCATTGCCTAAAGGTGCTCATGTTGCTGCCACCTGTAACGAACAAATTCTGCCTTCCAAGTTACAGTGTCTTCTTGCTACTCTTTCTCTCTTCAGAGCTAAGTTCCTCAGAATAATTGTGTAATTCTATTATTTTTTCAACCTTTCTGTATGTTTGAATTAAAAAAAATAAATTTCAAAGGACTCTGGGGACACAGTCCAGTCTCCTGTCAGTTTGTATCCCTTCCCTCAACATCTCAACCTTACAGTCATTCATCTTTTGCCTCTGAAGTAGCAGGAAGTTCATAACATTGCCTTTTCTAACTTGACAGCTGTAACTGTTAATGGTTCTTCTATGACATTATTAAAAGTTGTGTCCCTGATACTTGCATCAATCTGTCCTTTCTCACTACAGAATCACATAGGAAAATCTTATCACACTCTCAGTGATTGTTCAGATATGCAAAGATAATTCTGTGCTCTACGTTCATTCCCCTTACAGTTAAATATTCGCAGCTCCTTAGTTGCACTGAGTGATTAAAGGCCAAACTAGCCTCCTTGCCTCAATCCCCGACTGTCCACCTTCTCCCAGTATATTACAAACCTATCTCCAGGAGAGGAAGGGAGCATCAGAAGAGAAGGAATTCTGTGTCATCAAACTCAAATGGCTCTCCTTGCCACCATCACAGTCAACTGAGGCAGAAAGCCCCAAGAAAATTACACATTGAAGGAAGCTTACAGGAAGAGAATAAAGAATAGTCAGGGGCAGACTTCTTGATCCCCCAAAAGAGAAGAGAGAGACGTGGAAGGGAGGAGTGGGGATGCCTGTGAAGCCGGCCATACCCTTGGGTTTGGCGTAGGAAAACTAATTCATTTCCTGGAGGTAGTGATATTGTGTAAAGCATCGAGGCTTGAGCTGCCTTGCATGCGTTTCACTCTAGCTGCAAGAGGCTATGTGGTGTATAGCTGTGGGCAATAGCTGTGTTGCTCACAGAGTTAGAGCTAGATTTTTCATGTGTCTTGCATCCCGGGACAGAGACTGCATATGGGCACCTGCCACTTGTGGAATCTGCCCAGGATGAGATGTAGGGAGAAGCAGTTACCACCAGAAGGAGGCTGCAGTTATACCCTCGTTTGTTAAGACACGTTTGTCCCTTGACCTCATTCATTTGGGTCCCCAGAAAAGGAAGGGCAAAGGAAGAATGAAAGAAAAGACGATTCCTTGTTGACATTATTAAAGCCAGGGGGCAGATGGGAGATGGGTTATTACACTGGGTTGGACTGGACTTGTATTAACCGAAGTTACAGAACAGCTTTTGGGTCTGCTTAGGATGTGCAGAAGAGGGAGACTCCGCAAAGCAGAGTTGAAGACTATGGTTGGGAAAGGACACTAACTTGTTAGGCTGTTCTGCAACCTGGGTGGTAGATTTTTTTTTCTTGACTACATTTTTGTCATTTTTATTTTCCTAGAAAATCTGGCCATTTCATATTTGTTGGCAGAGTTCTACAAGGCAGCCAACATACCACTTGTACAACCTATCACATGCCAGATGTTTTTTAAGCAGTTACGTTAGTTCATTTAATCTTCCCTAGAATTTAACTGGCCAGGGGGTTGTGCTTTCATCATCTTCATTTTATAGATAAGGAAACTGAGGCACAGGGAGGATAATTAAATTAAGGTCTCACAGCTACTAAGTAGAGGAACCAGGTTTCCAACCTCCAACCTAAGCTGTCTGGCTTGATTGCCTTATTTATACTCATAAAAAAAATTTTTTTTATATATGTATGCATTTATAAATGTGAGTGTAATTATATAAATTACTGGAGTAATTTTTAAAATTAGACTATACATAGTCTGATAATTTTTAAATTTACTCATTTTTTTCCCTCCATTTGTTCCTGTTGTTAAGGTGCCTTCTCTCATTTTGTCTTGATTCTACTTTGCAAGGGATTGCCTACCTTTGTGGTTCTCAAAAGTATGGTTTGCAGTCCACTGGGAATCTCCAAGACCCTTTCTAGGAGTTTGCAAGGTCAAACTTAATTTTCATAATAAGACGTTATTTGCCTTTTTCACCATATTGAATCTGCGCTGAATGGTACCTCAGCAAGTGTTAAAAGCAGTGGCTTCCAATTGTTTGTTTGTTACTGTATTTACACCACTACTCATCCCAGTAAAAGTCCTACTACAATATCAAAGTCACCTAAGAATGTCTTCTGATGAGATCAGTAGTGATGGTAATGAATGTGATTTTGTGATATGTGTAATGAAGTGTGTAAACATTTGGAAGATCTGTATAACTCAGTGAACCAGTATTTTCCAAATTATCAATGCACAGTGTTACAAAGTCATGCATGGGTGAAAAATCCCTTCAAAAAGCAAGACAGGGCTGGGCGTGGTGGCAGGCGCCTGTAATCCCAGCTACTCGGGAGGCTGAGGTGAGAGAATCACTTGAACCGGGGAGGCGGAGGTTGCAGTGAGCTGAGATTGTGCCACTGCACTCCAGCCTAGGCAACAAGAGAGAAACTCCATCTCAAAAAAAAAAAAAAAAAAAAAAAAGGGCAAGACAAACCAATGGATTTTAATGTAACAGTGCAAAAAGTTCATTGATATCATTTCAGACTCCATATTGTGGTTAATCTTTAATAAATTACCACTTGAGTTTGGCTGTAGCATTAAAGAACATCCACAGTTGTCTGAAATGGCTGCCTTTTTTCCAAGGATATGTCTGTGTGAGGCCAGATTTTTTTCATATACTTCAACTAAAACAACATATCACAACAGATTGAATTCAGAAGCAGTTGCCTTCTATTAGGCCAGGAATTAAAGAGATTTACAAGGCCGGGTGCAGTGGCTCATGACTCATTACAGCACTATGGAAGGCCGGAGTGGGAGGATCCCTTGAGGAGGCCAGGAGTTCAAGAGCAGCCTAGGCAACATAGGGAGACCCCTTCCCTACAAAAAAGATTTGCAAATATGTAAAGTCATGCCACTCTTCTCATTATATCTTTTGAGTTTTGGAAAATGAAGTTATAGTTCATGAAAATATGTTCATTATATTGTTATTTTAAATTAGTAAACTTCCAATTTTCTTGGTTTTAATTTCTAGTACGTTGAATATTGATAGAAATAAGATTTTAAGTCTAAAGCAGTTCTGAGATCAAAAACGAGTCACTGGTCTGGCATGTTGGTTTATTTTTCCAACAGTTTTAAATTATATTGGACAACTTAGCACATGTTTTATGTATTTTGTTTTATATTCAATTCATTTATGTTTTTATACTTTTTTTATTTTCTTTGCCAACTTACCTGTAAATTTTAATTCATTTATTTTCAGTTCCTGTTTTCTAATAATTTAGGCTATACATTTTCCTCTGGACTTCTTTACCTGCACCTCAGATTTTGATATATAGGTATTTTGTTAGTCTTCCAGTTTTTAATTTTTTTAAATTGTGAATATTTCAAACATATAGAAAAGCATAGAAAATAAGAGAAAAAGTCTGTGTTCCTCCACCTTCTGTTCGCTTGAATTTTTTAAATAAAAGAAAACATTAGCTACAGTTGAAACATCTTGTATAACCCCCATCAAATTTCCCTGCATTTTCAGAGGTAGCCACTGCACTGAAGCTGAGATTTATCATTTAATTTCATGTTATTATCAATACCATAGGTAGGTATCCATAACTAATGTAATACTATTTTGCATGTTTTCAAAATTTATACAAATCATTCTGCCATTTGCGTTATTCATTCAATATTAACTTTAAAATTTATTCATTTTGAACTAAGAATATGCCACAATTTATACATTCCCACTTTCAGCTGGGCTTTCTTTAAGCTTTTTTATTTTTTTTGGAGTGTGTTATATATTTTTCACATGTGTAGATTTTTAAAGGATCCTTTTCTAATATTGCATTTTTGTCAGTGAATATGACCTATATGACACCAATTTCCTGAATTTGTGGAGAGTTCAGAAAGAAATTATAAACCAAAAAAGAAATTTATTTAGTCTTGGTTTAGAATAAGAATGTGTCAACAAGAATGTGAAGCTTTGGCAGGAAATGATTTCATTATCTGAAAGTTTGAGTTTTCAGGTTACTATACCAGACTGGTTGTTACCCTCTTCAGTTAAAAAATAAGAGGGAGTTGGGGAATATTTATTTTCCAGTGACCTCAGAACATAGGAAACAGAATCAAACAGGTGGGGAAAGGTCTTATTTAGATTTGCATTTCTGCGTTGTCTCTTGCTTTTGCTATGAAGAATCTAGCAGTTACGAGTTTATGAGTCAATAGCAGGTTCTTCCTGAGCTATTCAATACAGAGTTCTTGGGATTTCATCCAGTGCCAAACACAAAGTTCCTATTTAGTGAATGCAGTATTCATTTCAAAATATATAAAATATGTTACTGTTGAGTTAATCCACAGACTATAGTTACAGGAAATGGAAATTTGCTTACTTATGTTGATGAATTGTGTTGGTAAGTTCCATTGCCACCTAAATTGTGCAGGCTTATCAAACCTCTGCATCTAGTTTTTCTCCTTGCTAGCTATGTAAATAAAATTAAAATGTGACCGTGTTAGTCATTTCTTGCATTGCTAAAAAGAAATACCCATGGCAGGGTAATGTATAAGGAAAAGCTTAATTGGCTCATGGTTCTGCAGGCTGTACAGAAAGCAGGGTGCTGGCATCTGCTTCTGATGAGACTTCAGGAAGCCTGTAATCATGGCAGAAAGCAAAGGGGGAGCCGGAGTATTGCATGGCAAGCAGGAGCAAGAGAGAAGGGGAAGGGACTGTGCACTTTTAACAACCAGATCTCGTGTCAACTAACTGAGCAAGAACTCACTCATCATGCTAACTAAGCAAATCATGAGGGATCTGCCCCAGTGATCTGAATACCTCCTGCTAGGTAATGTAATCCCTCCACTGGGGATTACATTTCAACATGGATTTGGAGGGGACAAACATCCAAACTGTATCAGTGACTAGCAAATTCTAACCCAAATGCAATAATTGTTAGAGTTTTCTCTAACAATTCCTTTGTTGCCAATTATATAGTCAATATCTGTAAATGTTCCAAACTATTGAAAGTATGCTTTATACTTGTTAAAATCAAATTTATTAATTGATAACATTCTCAGTTCCCAAACTGTGTTTCTGGTTCAGTGGGTGTGGGTTAGGGTTCAAGAATTTGCATTTCAAACAAATTCCCGGCAGCTAATGCTGCTGGTTTGGGGAACACACTGAAAGTCATGCATATGGTTTTCAATTTGCCTTTCTTCTTTTGCAATTTCTTCACAGTTTCTTATTAAATGAGTGTTCTTGTTTTCAAGGTTTTAAAATATTTACTAAGTATTTTTATACCACTTCTATAAATTCTACAAATTTGGAGAGGAACAGAGACTGCAACATGTGTTTGGCTCCAGTTGGTGGTTCTCTTGGTGTTTCTTGATATTTTCTCATCATGTCACACAGAGAATATTTTTTTCAGAAATAAGTCAAATTGAAGCTTTTTTCCTCTTCAGTGAATTTCTTTGTTATCCACCCTGACAAAGTCTGAATATGCATGAATGCTGTTCTCCAATTGACCAATATTATGATTTTTATCCCCTCGAAGAAGGAATTGCTTGGAATAATGTAAGATGAGACAAGTGTAAGTTTTTCCCACTTTTGGTAACAAGGACAGGGTGGTTTACTCACCTAATACTATGAGGACAATATAGGAACCCAGGTATAAAAGTTTTTATGGAATCTTAGCCCTAATGTTCTGTTAGGTAACAGTCTCTATAGACTTAGTCTTCTGTTAGAACAGATAAATATGTCCAGTCAGATGAAACAGGTTTTTTTCCTGACAACTAATCCTGGTAACTTTCTGCCTGTATCTGGACACCTATTTTGAATAAACTAGCTTGCATTTCCTACCCACATTTGCATGGAGAATACAGAACTTTTGCATATGTGCTGAGCACCTGGTTTTAATATCATGAGTAGCTTTAACACATAATTGCCCCAGTTTCTGTTCACTCTCACAATGATCTAGGAGTTAACTTTACAATTTTTAACTGGATTGTGGCTGATGCCTCTATAAAGCAGTTAGCATGTATTATTAGTAATAATTACAACAACAAAATAATGGCAGTTATAATAATTGCAAACATTTATTGAGTGCTGTTTTCCAGGTACCATGCTTAGTGTTTTAAATCCATGTTTCATTTTGCTACTGGTACGTTGGAAAGTTATCTAGAAAGTTGTATTGTTGTAGGAGTTTATTCTTTGGAGTCTTTATAGAGCTTTACAGTGCCTAAGTTGAATATTTGGTAATAACTGTTTCTTAAAATTACTTTTATTTATTATTGATTTGATTGAGAATGACAGTTGTAAAATACCTGTGAGGTATAAATAATAAGAATGCAATGAGCACTTGGTTACCTGCTATCCTATTTAAAAGAGATAATGTTACCGTTACTTTGAGTTTCCTTGGATATCCTTTCCCAATCCCATCCAACTCTGACCACTCACAGATATAATCACAATTCCAAATTCGTGTATGTTACTCCTTTGTTTTTTGTAAGTAGTGTTTTTGTATAGGTTTACACATCCAATAGTACATTATTTAGTTTTATATGCTTTTGACCTTTACTAAGATGGATGATTAATGTCTTCTGTGATGTGCCTTTTTTGCTCAACATTATTTTATGAGAGTCATAAATATGGTTGCATATAGCTTGAGTTTCTCCTTCTTTTCCCTTTCTCTGTCCCCTCTCTTTTTTCCTCTTCCCCCTTCATCTTCCTATATAATGTTTAATTGAGGGAATATACCAAAATGTCCTTATCCATCTGTTCTAAATGGACAGTAACAGGGTCCATTTTTTAGAATATGAGCTATTGTGAATAATGGTACTATGTATATTCTGGTACGTATGTTCCTGTGTCTGAGGATAGGAGCTTTTCTAGGGCATATACCTAGGGATGGAACTTTGGCTTATGGAATATATTTTTACTAGGAACCACAAGCCTGTTTTCTATAGTGGTGGTTTTAATTTACATTTCCATAAAAAGTATGTGGGAGTTTCTATTGCTCTATAACTTCACAACACTTGGTATTATTCTACAAATCATTTTTCTTTTGCCAATATAGTGGGAGTTAACTGAGATCTCATGGGTTGTTTTTAAACCGTTTTATTAAAATATAATAGATGTAGAATAAATCACACATGTGTACAGTTGGATAAATTTTGCAATATGAACCACAATCAAGATAATGAATTATAAACATTACTCACAAAAGATTTCTTGTGTACCTTTGTAACTTGTCTTCTCCCCCACTTTCCTGTCTCCAAGCAACTCCTGATAATGCTTTCTCTCTATGGTAATATGCATTTTCTAGAATCATACAGTAGGTACTTATTTTTTGTCTGACATCTTTCACTCAGCATAATAAGAATCAATAGTCCCTTTTATTTCTGAGTACATGGCATTGTATGTATATACTACAATTGATTTATTCATTTATAGATGAATGTTTGTATTTTTCTAGTTTTTGCCTATTATAAATAAAGCTGCTATCAACATGTATATACAAGACTTGTACATAAGTGTTTTAAAAACATAAACCAAAATACCAAGCTATAATTGAACATTAAGAGACGTCCACCAGGATAATCTGTATCAGTCTCTTGCACAGATCATCCTGTTAGTAAGCAGGGCTACTCCAGCCATCAAATCATGGAAAAGGAAGATTATGAGGCAGTGATAATTCGGGATATGGTGGGCAGGAGGGAGTCAAGGGACAGCATCCCTGCATTGCCCATCAGTCTCTCCCCTTCAGAAGTCACTCTTTGACTTCATTTCCCTAGCTCCCTCCTGCCAAGCCACTGTGTCTGGAGCTGATCCACCTTCCTATTGATATTCTTTGTGATCATTGTGTTTTTTTGCTACAGCGATAATAACAATAGTTAACATATGTCGAGTTTTCCATGTGCTACCACCCTTCTCCCTAATGGTTTATCCTCACCCCATTTTACCCTCACAGCAACTCCAGGAAGTCAATAACGTTTCTCATTCCCCCTGCCTCATAGGGCTGCTATAAGGATGAGGTAAGAGAATGCTCATAAAGCACTCAGGCTAGTGTCTGGAACATAAACTTAATGTATGTTAGCTGTTACTATTGTTTTTAAAATGGTTGCCTGGATACTAAACCTCTCTCTGTGACCATTATACACGCTTTATCTGGCCCCTGGCCTCTGAGGGCTTTGGGCACCAGTTCGTGTTTTCCAAAAAATCTTTTCCAGAATTGCAAAGGGCTGGGAGAGGCCAGGAGTGAAATAGAGAATCCCATACAGTCAGGCTTCCAACTTTGCATTAAAGAAAGCGTATTGAATAAATTTTTCTCTTCTCCCTCCGAAGATCTCACTAAAATGATAATAGAAGAATTATAAAAAGGTATAAACTTGAGACATTTTCAGATAAATGAAAGCTGAGAGAATTTATCACCCATACACCAGCACTATAAGAAACGCTAAACGCAGTTCCCTGTAGCTGGAGGTAAAGGTAATGACACCAGATGAAAACTTGAATGCACAGGAAGAAATGAAGAGTTCCAAAAAGGCAAAATATGTGAAAATATAAAGACTATCTTTTTATTTTTAAAAAACTTATTTAAAGGGTAACTAAATTTTAAAGTAAAACTATATAGATGTAAAATACATGACAGAAGGAGCACAAAATACTTGGGACAAATGGAATTATGTTATTGTAATGTTCTTGCATACATGGGGCAGTACCACATTAATTTCAGATAGACTGATAAGGAGGCATAATGTAATCTCTAGAGCAACAAATAAAAATAATTATACAAAGGGGCACAGCTGAAAAGAAAGGGAATAAAACATAATACTAAAAAGAAGACTGGGAAAAAAAGCAACAGTAGAAAATAATGATGACAAAAACAACCAGTAACTAAAAACCTGAACAAAATACAGAATCCACCATTTTTAGACATTGGACAACAGACAACAGGACCATGGTGACTGAGAAACAGGGGACAAATGAGATGAGCCTTCACTCTCGAGAGTCTCTGCCTGGGAGCCATGTCCAAAATATAGTGTGAGGAAGGGAATGTTAAAGAGTCATGCAGCCTCACGGAGTTGAAGAGATAGAAGTTAGAGTTTGAGATAGCCAAACCAACTGTACTTTGTGGAGCAGAATACCCAAGAGGATGGAGCTATAGAGTTTCAGAAATTGAACAGGGATTCCCTTGAGTCTTTGGCTGAATACTAATCTGCTCGTGCTTAGGGCAAAGCCCCACAAAGCTAAGCCAGGATAACTTCCAGGGAGAGAATAATTACTGCTCATTAACAATTCAATTGTTTATGAAATAAATTGGCTTATTAAACAGATAATTTGATAAGTTTGGATTGGTTCTTTAGTGCCTGTTCAAACTCACAGCAAAAGATTTAAAAATCTTCATTCTGTTCCAGAAAAAGAAAAAGCACAAGATTCTGAGCCAGTAAAGACCCTATCAGAGTACATGCCACTGTCCTGAATGTCTTGCTGTCTCTACTCCCTACCCTGCATGTCTTTATTTCTATTATAATAGCAGAATTCCAAACACCAAGTTCCTTCCATGCCAGATAACAGACTTTACTAGACTATCATCGGCCTTTTATAGGTGAGGTAACCAAGACAAAGCAAGGTTGTATCTTGTTATAGATGACATATAGAAAGTCAGCTGGAAGTAGAACTTACTGCGCCAAGGTTTCAGTCTAGCTTACTTATAGGCTTAGGAGGGAAAATGCCTGCTCATGCAACTTATCCCAAGGGAAGGTTTAGAAGCAGGGGTAACTGCAGAGAAAAATTTCACAAACTGTGGCATTTTTGCCATTGGCAAAATAAGCCACCCAACTCAACGATTTAAATGATTAGAATAAGCACAATTGAGGCTTCAATGTGGGACCATTTGTCTTCCTGCCAGAAAATGAACAAATGGCAGATTCAGTTACTACCATTTTAATGACAGCCATATTGTTTCCTTTTATTTGAAGCGTTTGAATGTTTGGAGTCCCAAGCTTAAATTACCCTAATCATGATAGAGCAAATAAGCACATTTTAGTGATATTGACACTTCCCACAACCATAGCCCTCAGCAATTTCAATAGCCAGATCTGAAGAGTGAGAGCCAAACTTTAAAAACTTCATTAACTACAGAGCACAATCAAGTTGAAATTCCTAAGTGTTAAGGCTTGATATCTTTACTTCCTTGAGAGATCATTTGATTATTTCAACTGGCTTCTTGGTGTGTCCGATGAGATCATATTTTACTTGCCTTTATGGAAGTGGCTGAGGGATTCAAGGTTATAGCATTCCAAATGAAACCTGGAAGGGAATTCACCAGCTGCTGAATTATAAGGAGAGTGATAGGATTTGGGATTGAGGCTACTTTCTATGCCATAACTTAAAAAAAAAAAAAAAAATCTCCTTTCCCAAAATGGTTGTAGATTGAGGGTGGCCTAAGTAGGCCCAGGAGGGATGGAGCTGAATGAGATGACATGTCATTTGATGTCTCAGACATTATAAATGTTGAAAAGAAATATTTTGCAGTTTGCAATAAATTTTTAGGGGTTATTTATAGTCCTGGCCTTTGGCTCCCCCCAGGGCCCAGTCTATACAGGTCTTAGGGTCTCTGTACTGGCCTTCACATCTACAAGTGCGGCTGGCCACCAGCTGGCCACCATCTAATCCTCAGTTCTCTATTAACTGTACACCAGGGTTTTTCTGGAAACTAAGACCAGTAAGCTCACCAGCCTCATATTACTGCCATCCTTGGTTACCACCCCAAATTTAAGGGCCCCCTGAGCCAGTTATAAATTTATTGCTTCTCAGCTGCAAACCTACTTTTCATTGTCTGCCCTAAAATGGAGCTGGGTCCTTTAAACATTTCTCCTTTGGAGCAGGTACACTGTTAAGCTTTGTCAGTTGAAGTTTTTGGAAGGACATGAAAGGAAAAGGACCTTCTCTTTCTGGTTCTGGTGTTTTCTATCTGCTTATTGCTCCTATGGTATGGCTGCCAAGAGCATGTGTGTGTGTGTGTGTGTGTGTATACATATATATATACACCACCATATATGTATATACCACTGCGCCCGGCCCAGGGTATTCTTTAGTGCTATTTTTACCCCATGTGTAGGTCATCTCCTGTTGTAATGAATAACTCTTTATATTAAACTTTTTCTGTTCAAGTTTTGTGGGGTTTGTCTCCAGATTGGACCTTGACTGATCCACCTTTCAATCAAATATCCTCCCCTAGATTCTTATCCCCACACTGCCTCATGCTTCCTCACCACTGACCCAACATCTTGTTCTCTTTTCACCTGGGTCATCCACTCCTCCTTTTGATAACCCTTTCCCTTGGAAAACTGATACCCCTCCCCTATTCTTTAAAATAAAATTCTGCTCCCCTGAGCCTCACGCTATCTAGAAACATTGCTCTCCTCTTTGCTGTCACCCATTCACCCCCTGGTCACTTCTCCCCCATGGGTTAGAAACTGGCATCCGCCTTCCAGCTTCCTCTCCAGTGCAAATTCCACAGCCGTCACAGGTGATTTGAACTTACTGTGGATCTCACCCAGCGATCTAGGCTCACAATTCTTAGACCTTGACTCATGTATAGTTTCTCACAACTGATGAAGCAAATTACCACTAGTAGCTTAAACTAGTGGCTTAAAGCAACAAAAATTTATTCTTTTACAGTTCTGGAAGCCAAAGTCCAAAGTAAGTCTTAAGGGCTAAAGTCAAGATGTCGTCAGGATTGGTTCCTCTGGCAGCTCCAGCAGGGAGTCTCTTCCCTGACATTCTCTAGCTTCTGGAGGCCCCCTGCATTCCTGGGTTTGTCAGCCCTTCCTCACAACACTCCAACCTCTTGCTTTGACATCACATTCCTCTTGACCTTTGTATTCGTCTGGATTCTCCAGAGAAACAGAAGCAATAGGAAAGACATCTATGTATAAAGGGATTTAATATAAGGAATAGGCTCACATGCTTATGAAGGCTGAGAAGCCGCATGGTCTGTGTTTGGCAAGCTGGAGACCCAGGACAGCCGACAGTATAGTTTCAGTCTGAGTACAAAGGCCTGAGAACCAGGAGAGCTGATGGTATAATTTTCAGCCAGAGTATTAGCCTGAAAGCAGGAGAAAGTCGATGTCCCAGCTTGAAGACAGGCAGAGTGAATTCTCCATTACTGAGACTTTTGATCTATTCAGGCCTTCAATGGATTGGGTGAGGCCAGCTCGCATTGGGGAGGGCAATCTGCTTTACTCAGTCTACAGATTCTTATGTTAATCTCATCTAGAAACAGCCTCACAGACACACCCAGAATAATGTTTAACCAAATGGGTTAACTGGGTACTCCATAGCCCAGTCAGGTTGACTCATAAACATGATCTTGACCTATTGCATTAAACATAAAAGGCTTCTTACCTCCCTCTTAAGAGGACCCTTGCGATTACATTTAGGGCCTATCGGGTAATCCAGGCTAATTGTCCCTTCTCAAAGTCCTTAATCACATTTCCCCTTGCCTTGTAACATAACACATTCACAGGTTCTGGGGATTAGGATGTGGCTATCTCTTGGGGAGCCATTATTCAGACTATTGCAACTCGAAAGACCTTCTTCTCTTTCATGCTTAAGACCACAGCTTGAACCTTGCTATTGTTCTCCAGTATTCTACCCTCTGATACACTCTGTCACCATTCCAGATTTCTTAGCTGCTAAATTCCATTGTTTCTGTCATTTGCCCTCATGGAGGTGTTAGCCCCTTGACAGCTCTAAAAAATTTTTTAAATAATATATATTTCTTTCTCTGTGATTCATTATATACATGTCTTTTGTCAATATATTAAATTCTTTTACCCTCTTGTCCCTCACACATGCTTTGCAAAGGGCTCCAAATCTGTATATTAATATATCAAAGTGGAAGCTCACATGTATAGAGACGAAATCGCAAAGTGGGGTGTGATTCTGAAACATGCAGTACTCTGAAAATGGAAGATGGGGAAATGGTGTTGCTACTCCTAATTCCTGCATCTATGATCACATAAATGAGAGTTAGAAATTAGGAGAGAAGGGAATTTTTCAGAGATTGCTGTTGCTGTTATTGTACTGTGAGTCCCACCTCCGTCAAGGGTCAGGGATGGGGGAACCCTTCATCTAAAGAGGGAGGGCCTTCCACGAGACCAACTTGGCAGTTTGTTATGCATCCTCTGCATCTGGAAAACAGAGTAGACGGGTCTGACTCCATCCCAGAAAATACAAAGGTCAAGAAATGGCTACTTTGTTTGATGGCAAAATAAGGGAGTGGTGGCTATGCTGGATGGCCTGCATTTCCCAAATTTTTCAGAACAAAGGGTATGTAGATGTCTGCCATGGACCAGACATGAGTCATGTTAGGGAGAAAGCCAGTGGCATTGTCTTGGCATCTATCCAGTTGGGCCATCTGGAGGAGGAAGAGACCTCATCAGACAAAAGGCAAAGAAACCATTAGATACCTACGAATTGAGGAAGAAGTAAGCGACTAGTTGGAATAGCATGTTCTTGCTCTCAAGGGAATTGCAGGTGAGAGATCATTAAGAATGGAAATGAAGGACTCGAAGTTGGCGGAGTCACACCAGGGAGCTTAGGTCCCAGAGTCACTGCCTGGAGGAAAGCTGTGCAGGGCAGGGCCCACAGCACACTTTGCATGGGTGAGAAATGATCTTCTATTGTGTTTAGCCACTGGGGCTTATTAGTTAACACATCATATTATAGCCTTGTTGCATGTTCCTACAAACAGCATACCCATTCTACCTTAGAGGGTTGTGAGAAAAATGGGATGGCCTGTGGAGGGCCTGGTGTGTGTTGGGCCCTCAGCAAGTGTTCGTCTCCCTCCCTCCCTGTGAGCACATGCCAAGGGCCAGCCTGTGTTCTGAGGCGTGTCTGTAGCAGGGAGCTGGCTCTTGTTACCAGAAAGCCAGTTTAGGTCCTTTGAGCACCATCTCCTGATTGTTGGTTTGTCTTTCTTATTCTTTCTAATTTGGGTTCCAATTTTGGGATTATGTACAGATGTCAATAGAAAGTAGCACCTTGGTTGATATTGAGCCCTATCTGAATTAAGCCAGTTCCTTCTCGGCTTCACTTCTAGGGTGGTTTTTGTTTGTTTGCTTTCTTGCTTGCTTTTTGGCTAGGAAGAAAGGCACTTGCCTAAAAATATGGGGATGCTACTGTATATCTATGGAGGATTTGTGATTTTTGTTCATTCAACAAGTTTTTATTGTACATCTTCCAGGAACCAAGCAGAAGTTCTGGGGCTAGAACCACAGCAAATAACAATAGAGACATAGTGGTGCTTCCATAAAGCTCGGGGCAGCCGTGGGGATGACAAAGACAGAAAACCAAGCAGGAGGGGCACTGAGCCTAGGCTAGGGAGGGCTCCTAGAAGGACACAATGTCTAAGCCAAGGCCTGAAGCAGTACAGGCAAAGAAGGGAATGCAGGCTGCTGGGGAGCAGAGGGGGAGCAGGGGATAGAGCAGGAGGTACAGGAGAGGACAATGGAATAACGTTACGTGTGTTTCCATCTTTGTCCAAATAGTTCTGCCTTCCTATTGTTGAACAGGTATGTGGTAATGATAATATGAAAATTCTATACATAGAATTCACTGTCAAAGCATTTCTGAATGAGAACTAGCACACTGATCATGGCACTCATTTATGGGTTACGATATGGTTTGGTTGTGTCCCCACCCAATCTCAACTTGAATTGTATCTCCCAGAATTCCCACGTGTTGTAGGAGGGATCCAGGGGGAGGTAATTAAATCATGGGGGCCGGTCTTTCCTGTGCTATTCTCATGATAGTGAACAAGTCTCATGAAATCTGATGGGTTTATCAGGGGTTTCCACTTTTGCTTCTTGCTCATTTTCTCTTTCTGCCGCCATGTAAGGAGTGCCTTTCACCTCCTGCCATGATTCTGAGGCCTCCCCAGCTATGTGGAACTGTAAGTCCAATTATACCTTTTTTTGTTCCCAGTTTCAGGTATGTCTTTATCAGCAGCATGAACCCGAACTAATACAGGCTATGAATTAGAAATCAAGATTTGGCTTAAGCATCACCTCTGCTTTGAAACTTTCCTGCCCATGTGTGGTCTGGCTATCTAAATGTCACATCAAACCTCCTTCTCCCTTACTGCCTCTCTACTAGAGGGGCTGAAAACCAAATATTCACTTTTCCAACTTCCCTTGCAGCTAAAAGTGGCCATGTAAACTAGATCTGGGCTGTGACCCCTAAATAAATGTCTGCAGGGGAGGCTTCTGGAAAAGCAAAAGTTCTCTTGATTTTTTTTTTTTTAAAAGAAGAACACACGAGCTGATCCAGCCCTTTTGCCTTTTCTCCTTTTCTTGCCTTGAACATAGACACGATGGTTGGTGATGCAGCAGCCATCTTGTGACCAAGAAGAAAGGCCAAAAGAATTGCAGGAGAATTGGCCCTAAAATCAATGAAACTCTCACCCACCCCTTTAACCTCTTGTCTCCAGACTTCTGGGTATGTAAAAACACAACACAACAAAACAAACAAACAGAACAACAACAACAACAAAAACAAAATAAAAACCTAAGACCAAATACCATTGATTTTGTTTAAATTGCTCTAGTGAACTGTAGGCAAAATAAGTCCTGCTACATCAAACTGGGCAGAATCTGGTAGTCCTTCCTCTGAGTTCCCATCTCACATGTTGCTTAGGTCTACGTTCAATTACCATTGAGTATTTGTTATTTTTGCCTGTCTGACTTTCCTGATACTGTGAGTTCCCTGGAGTCAGGGATGACTATGTTATCCACTTTGGTGACCCCAAATCTACTACTATGCCTGGCAATGTTAGCTGCTTACTAATGCTTTGTGAAACTTATTAGTAATGCTTAGTGAACAAGTTAATGGCTGACTGAATGTGGTTATGTGGAGGGTGATGTGGGGGAGGACTCATTTGGGGGAGGAGTCATTAGTGGCAGTGAGAACAATGAAGAGATTTTAGCAGTGAGAATCCAGGGAAGAGGTGATGAGAGCCCAAACTACAAAAAGCAGGACCATCTCAGGAGAGATAAAGGGATGGGTTCAGGAGTTACTTAGGAGGCAGAAGAGATAGGATCTGGTAGGGGTGAGGGTAAGAGTGAAAGAGAAGAGGAGCTCAAGGATGGCTGGAAGATCCTTAATGTGTGGTGGATTTGGGCATGCACTAGTCCTGTGATCTTGGGCAAGCTCTTCAAACATGTTGGTGCCTTTGTCACCTCATCTGAAAAACAAGGATAACAGTAATGTGCACTTCTTAGGTTTGTTGTGGGAAGTAAATGACTTAGTGTGTGTAAATTGCTCATATCGGTGCCTGGCACAGAGTAAGTGTTCAGGCTATGTTTTCAGTTACCATCATCATCATCACCGACTTTGGGGCAGGATAGCAGGAAAGTGAGGAGACTGTTGAGAAAGGAGGGTGACAGTGAGCAGGAAGGGGCAACTCAGGAGGAATGAAGAGGAAGAGGTAGGTTGGTAGCAGTGACTTTAGGATGCTAAACACTTCCTCTCTCTTCCTTGGAAACAAAGATTTCATTTAAAGTGGGACTGCAGGTCATTTAATGAGCTCAAAAGGAATGGGATTAGGGACAGCCCGCTTTTATTCAAGGCTTGTGTCAACGGGTTATGCTGCTTTGATTATTGTTTTAAACATGTCCCAGGAGGCTTGGGGCGAGAAAAGAAGTGCTGAGGATGCTCATTTGTAATGTGAAGAATTGTAAGCTATTCTGGGGCGCAGTAGGAGTCTCAAGAGGGTTGTACCTAACAGATTTCTGCAACAATTAATGAAGCCCAACAGCAAGAATATCATAAGAGGCACAGTATGAGGGCCATTAGCTTCAAGGCAGTGGAGGATCCTGCATGATTAGGCAGGATGAAATGGTAGGGCAGAAACCACACTCAAACTACGGCAACCGGGGGCCATGTACCAGCTTCCACGGGAACAGTGAGCTCCCACTTATGACATGCCTAAGAGGGTCCAGTATTTTACACGTTACTTTCATCCTCTCGATTTCCCTGCAAGAGTGGGCTATTATTATGCCCATTTTAAGAATGAGGAAACCGAGGATTGAATAGATTAAGCAACATTTCCAAGATGCACAAACCCAGAAGAGGTAGGACTAGGATTCGAGTCAGGCCTGGCTACCAAAATGTGGCTATTTCCTTCTCACTGTGTTGAGCCGCAGGACACTGACATGCAGGAAATTTTATTTGGTGAATTTTTTTCTCTGTATTACAGGAGGTGTTTTTCAGCTCATACTCAGTCTGGAAGTTTACTTGCTGCTGGCAAGAGCAGAGTATAAACACTAAATCACAGGCTGAGGATGGATAAACACTTCATCATCGCTAAATCACAGGCTGAGGATGGAGGGCCCAGCGGGAGACATGGCTGCAATGCAGGGAGGAAAACCTCACACTGCATGTGATGGTTACTTTTTTTTTTTTTTTTTTTTTTTGAGATGGAGTCTTGCTTGGTTGCCCAGGCTGGAGTGCAGTGGTGCTATCTCCATGCACTGCAAGCTCCGCCTTCCAGGTTCACACCATTCTCCTGCCTCGGCCTCCTGAGTACCTGGGACTACAGGCACCCACCACCATGCCCGGTTAATTTTTTGTACTTTTAGTAGAGACGGGGTTTCACCATGTTGGCCAGGATGGTCTTGATCTCCTGACCTCGTGATCCACTCGCCTCGGCCTCCCAAAGTTCTGGGATTACAGGCGTAAGCCACTGCGCCTGGCCATCATGGTTAATTTCATGTGTCAACCTGGTGCCCAGATACTTGGTCAGACATTATTCTGGGTGTTTCTGTGAGGGTACTTTGGGATGAGATTAACATCGAAATCTGTAGACTGAGTAAAGCAGATTGCCTTCCCTAGTGTCGATGGGCCTCATTCAATCAGCTGAAGGCCTGAATGGAACAAATACTCTGACCCTCCCCTGAGTCTTTCTGAAGGAAGTCAGACCCTCCTGCCTGATTTCCTTCAAACTAGGATAGTTGCTTTTTCCTGCCTGCAAGACTTAAACAGAAACATTGGCTCTTCCTGGGTCTCCAGCTTGCCGACTCTCCCTGCAGACCTTGGGACTTAACCAGCTTCTGTAATTGCATGAGCCAAGTCCTTATAATAAATCTCTTATAATAGAATCTGTCTACCCTATTGGTTCTATTTCTCTGGGGAACCCTGATGATACACTGCTGTATCTTATGTGTATATGCCAACAAGTGGTGGTAAAGCAAGAAAGTGCCTTTCCCTTCAAAATGGAAACTTTCTATAGAAATATGTGGACTTGGAGCAGATATTAGTTATTCCTTGCATTTAGGGTATGGACCCTGGTTCAAGGAAATGAACAAGTCAGGGGGCAAGGCATTGATGAACAGGGCAGTTGATAGCTCTTTTGCTCAGGCCCCAGAACTACTACCACCAGACTTCTATCACAGTCCCTGTGAATGCTCTGTTGACCACGCTGGTGTCTGATGATCAGTCTGGAAGCTCTCCCTCCCTCCTGGCCCCAGGATGAAGACAGATGGGGAAAGGGCACACGTTGCATGGAACAGAATCTGCAGAAAATGCAAAACCAAAGAAAAGAAAGACATTTCCTTTAGCCATATCTGGCTAAAGTTGTTCAATTCCAGCAAGGAGAATTTGGAAATTAATGTGAGTCCACCCTAGTACAGATTATTTATCTTTTATTGTATATAATTATGATTGATAACTGTAATGATAGGAATATAGTAATAACAGTGGTGACCATGAATTGAATAATTGCAATGTTTCAGCTGCTGTGCTAAGTACTTTCAGGATATCATCTCATTAAACCTTCCACTAAATGAAGTAGATTCCATTTTTATCCCATTGTACAGATGAGAAAACTGAGACCCAGAGAGATTCATTGACTTGCCCAAGATCATACAGCTACTAAGTGGCTTAATCAAGGCGTCACCCAGGTAATGTGACACTAGAACCTCTATGCTCTTAACCTCATTCCCTAGAGTGAATGTGGTCATTCTTATCTGGTTCTTTGTGCTGGCTTCATAAAGTTAAAGAACCCTCTTCAGTTCTTGAATAAGGTAGCCCTCAACGGACAACTGCAGTCAAGATTTGGGTGTCCAGACTGGACTGAGGAGGTGCACAGCTTGCCTATTAAATGCTGCCTTAGCTAAGCTTGTCCCAGCCAGGTGAGCCATCTTTTCAGGTTCCCACTCACAGTAACATTTGCTGCTTCTTAGGATGTCAGCATTGTAATCACACCACCTTTAAGTAGACAGCCTTTGGTTCCAAATTCTTGTTCTGTTCCTCAAGCTGTGTAGCCATCAGCGAGTGGCCTAAACTTTTACAGCCCCAATCTTTGTACCTGTCCAGCAAGGATTCTAACACCTTCTCATAGATCATTGTGAGGACTATAGGATAAATGTGGGTCAAGCATCTTACACTGCCTGGCACGTAGACAGTACTCAATGAATGTTCATCTCCCAGCGCAAGAGCTGTATCTTCTTGGTCCTGTACATTTCACCCACCATCACCTAAGACTTGGAGACATCATTTTTTTCAATGTGCATGAATAGAATCCTTCAATCAGATATTGTTGAGTGCAAATATGGTGGTGCAAATACGATGCTAAGCACAGTGAATTAGGCCTCTGGTTCCCAAGTGTCCCTGGCTCCTGAGGTGGGGTCAGCATGGCAGGTCCCTGGTTTGTTACAGTTTTGTCCACCCTTGGTGTGGGCTCACAGGGAAGGCTGGAAGCTTTGAAGAAACTGACACTTGGATGGAGTCTGCTGTGTGCACTTTAGGGACTGGAGTATGAGTTCTCCAAGCTCATTGCAGAGAGGCATGCACGGGCTTGATTGTGTGGGCTGGTATCTCACATCCCAGGGCATAACTATTGAGAAAGACCTTCCTAGTATGCAGGAAAAAGAATTATAGACTTCTGCCACTTGGAGGTGGCAAGGATGGTGTTTTCTTCAGCAGTAGGAAGGAAGCATCAGGATAAAGAAGTTTCTGTAGTTCCTGAATACCATTTTACTTTCTCTCCTACTTATTATTTCATAAGGCCTAATGGGATGTGGCAGACTCTTGACTCCTCCATGAAGTGGAGACAGGCCAGCACCTGCGATGAGGGCTGCCTGGGTGACTTGTGGTTGTGTCAAAAGTGTTTGCTCAAGAATAAGCTGTTTGCTTTTCATCCTGACGTCTGCTAAGCCCAGGTGCTGGAGCTATTTTTGGTAGCTGACTTCAGGAATTACTTTTCGCTATCCCCAGGCAGATCTCATAAGCCCATAATTGCTGTGAACCTCTGTGTGTGTGTGTGTGCGCATGCACTCAGGTGCATGTGTGCTTCATAAGCTTGCTCACTGATAATAAGCCAGATTTAGAGTCTTAAAAAGCTCCCTATCTGATTTTTCCACACTTTCTTATGACCACTAGTTCCTCTTTAACCACCAGGGATAAAGTCTTTGAGGAAGAGAATTGTTCTGAGCAACGCCTGGTCTAATGTGCTCTTCTGATTGCACTTAGCTCCCAGGGTTCCTAGGCTGGACAGGCAGACTTTATAGCATCTGAAGGAGCATCTGGAAAGGACACCCTGCAATTTTGCACTTCTTGTCAGGCCAAGGTTCTTCTGCTTTAGAAATGAACCCTAAGACAGGTCATAAGCCAGGCCAAGGAGGGAAAAATAACTGGAAAATAAGGAAAATTGAGAAAGAGAAGTAGATTTTTTTTTTTTTTTTCTGAGACAGGGTCTTGCTCTGTCACCCAGGCTGTAGTGCAGTGGTGTGATCATGGTTCACTGCAGACTTGAACTCCTGGCCTTAAGCGATCCTCCTGCCTCAGCCTCCCAAAGCACTGGGATTACAGGCACAAGCTCCTGCATCTGGTTGAAAGTAGATTTAAGTAAAGTACATGTTTTTCAGTTAGATACAAGGAAGAATTGTCTCCCAGCAGGCTCAGAAATCATAAATGTGATCCTGAGGAAGTGAAAGACCACTCCTAAAAGATGCCATTAACAAGCAGCAGCAGCAGCAGCAGCAACAACAACCACCACCATGACATTTTAAAAGGTCTTACCTCACACCAGGCACAGTGCTCAAGCCAGTACTGAATGATTCATATAGTGGTTATTGTATCTCTATGATATATACAGTCTCAACCCCTTTTACACATATGGAAATGGAGGCTCATGGTTTAAGCCACTGGCTCGAAATCACAAAGGGGTGCATGGTGGCACCAGGCTACAAATGTAGGTCTGACTCCAAATCCCTAGGTAGTTTTCTGTCTCGGATTTTGATTAATAGGCTCCAAAGCAATGTCAGTGTGAGATGATTTGGAAGTGGAATCCATATTGTCTATTTTACAAAGTAGTTATCCAGATACATGAAATTACCTGTGTGAAAGCACTTTGAGGAGCATGCAGTACTGTTCAAGTATAAAAAGGCATCATCATCATCATCATCGTCATTGTCATCACCATCATCGCGGTCACTTAATTTCTCCAGCTCTGCCAATAGATTCTTATGGCATTTCACATATCCAATCACTAGGGGGAGGCAATAGACAATGCATATAAGCAAACTTAGTTTTGGAAGGAAAGTTTATTTTTCCTGTAAGTGATGCTCAGAGATTTAAAATAAATAAGCAAAGGTTTGTATTAGGGACTGGCAGCCATTCCCGTCAAGGTTTGATCTTGTGCTTTTGTTGAAGTGTTTCCCTGAGGGCATCTTCGTCTATCACAAATACTTATGAATAGTGGGTATTGCCCAACAAAGGCCTGACATCGACTTTTGTTTCATTGTTCCTGCTTCTTGCCTTCTTTCCCCACTGTGATTCTGCCTGTGATCATTTCTGCTTTCGTTGAGGTGCAGTTTTTCCTTTATTCTCCCCATTCCATTTGACTATGGACCGTGTTTGTTGGTCATCTGAGGCAGAGCCAGTAGGGCATGTTCCTGATCTCTCCTGTCCCTTAACGGTGCTGCCCTGGGGTACCTTTGGCTTCCATGGAATCTCTTCCTCAGTCTTGGGGTTCCTGAGGTGACCTTCTTGGCTCTCGTATGCAGACCATTCTGACTCTTCCTACATCATTCTCATCCACACTTTTCTTACTGTGGCGATGTTGACTTCTCTTTCCATCCTTCTGGAATTCCACATCTGCCTTCATTTCCTTTCTGCTAGGTGGAGAGGATGTTGGACTAGGAGTTCAGGTCCTGTGAGTACTACTTACTAGCTAGTTGGCCTTGAGACACAGGAGGACCCCACTGAGCCTTTGTTTCAGGGATCATTATAACTTCCATGTCTACTTCCCAGGCAAAGGACTATTTATTTTGTAGCCTAAATTAATCGGCCTAGGCTGTTCATGTAGAGTTATCTAAATAGTTCATCTTCTTTTCCATTTCATGTATTTCTGTGGGTCAGTCCCAAGGTTCTCATAAAGAAGCCCTCTCTGGTAGTGTCTGCACTGTTCCACCAGGTGCAAGTGATCTGCCAGCCAAAGTAGATTCTGCTGTGGCTTCCCTGGAAACCAAAGCTGTATGGGGTTGTGTCTTAGCTCATTAGGGCTGCTATAACTAATTACCATAGACTAGATGGTTTATAAACAACAGAAGTGTATTTCTCGCAGCTCGGAGGTCTAGAAGTCTGAGGTCAGGGTGCAGCATGGCCAGGTTCTGGCAAGGCCAGGCCCTCTCCTGGGTTGCAGGCTGCTCACTTCTCTTTGGGTCTTCACATGGGAGGAAGAGAGCAAGAGCGAGAGCGAGGACGAGAGGGACAACTCTCTGGATCCCTTTTATAAGGGCATTAATCCCATTCGTGATGGCTCCACCCACATGACCTATTTACCACCCAAAGGCCCCACCTCCTAATACCATCACATTGGGGATTAGGATTTCAGTGTATGAATTTTAGGGACACAAACATTCATTCCATAACAAGCTGTGCTGCCAAGGGGAAGTGCAGCTGTCTCCCCGGTGTGTTGCCTTCTGCTAGAAGGGTTCCAAAGCAGTGTTGCTTGAACCTCCATGAGCTAGAGTTCCCATTCCTCTCAGTTACCTCTCTCTCACCTACAGGGCTGGCTGGAGGTGGATTCCTGTAGTATCCCCCATACTTTCATTTTTAATAACTTCTATTCTCCTTTAACAACCAAGGACCAATCCATTGTGCCCAACTGTCTCTTTCCTTAGGATGAGTCCTACCTTCCTTCACCCTTCTGAAAATAGACTATTTGCCAGGCATGCCTTAATACTTTAAAGTCCATCAGGTGAAAAATCTTGAGTTCTTCCCAGGAGACTTTCCATGTATGTTTCCTGTTGTCAGGCCTGTCCCTGTGGCTCCTGAATATATCTAAGTCCCAGCGGTGGACAACAGAGAGCTCTGGCTGAAGACAAGAGTTCTGTTTTAGTTAAAAAGAGTTTCATTGTCATCAGAACTATCTTTCTCTTGTCTTGTCCTTTGTGGCTCTTCTTCCTTCTTCAGCATTTCAACCTTGATTTCTTTCTTTCATTTTAAATACCACCATAAGGTGTTTAAAACTGAAGGTGTGTCAAAATGACACAGGATTTGCTTCAAGGGGCTCCCCTGGACAAATTTCGGACAACCTGAGAATCAAAATTAGTAATAACAGTTATGAGTAATAACTCATTGCATTAAAAAAGAACCTATCCATCTATATTTATACTAAATAAAAGGGGAGGGGAGAAGGGAAAGCCTTTCTTTGTAGAAGAATGCCAATTAATAAATACAAATGATAGAATTACAAAAGCACCATTTTCAACCACTATGGTGGTTGAAATAATTATTATTGTAATATTATTACAATTATTTTTATTAATTTTTATATTATTTTAATTATTACATAGTAATAATTCAGGCAAGAATTATTAATGGTTTCTAAAACCATTGGCTGAAATGTTGTTGGGGAAGAGGATGTTCACAGTCTCAAAGTATCGTCCCATAGATTACTTACTAATTACAAAGGGAAAAGGGAACTTTTATGGTGGAGAAATTTGGCAGATACTGCTATAACTAAGTGATCAAACTTAACATCAATAATAGACAAATCATCATTATGGCCTCTGATGTGACATATGAGGACACAACACCACCTGCACAGAATTCCTGCCAAAAATATTGAATTTGAATCTAATCAAGAATAAACAACCAAATCAACCCAAATTGAAGGACATTCTGCAAAGCAACTGGCCTGGATTCTTCAAACAGTCAGTGTCATAAAAGACAAAAAGTCTGGGAACTATCCCAGATTAAAAGAAACTAACAAGACATTCAACTAACTGCTATCGATGTGTAATCGATGATTGGATTTTGGATACTGGAGGAAAATTGGACTCTAAAGAATATTATTAGCACAAGTAAGGAAATTTAAATGTAGACTACAGTAGTATACAGTTAAAAATGGTAATTTGGTTAATATAGAAAAAGTTAAAATTAAATTTAATATTCAGTATTTATGCATGTGTGTCTCAAACAAATAATTTCTGTGTTGTTTTAAAAAATCTCTATCTTATGGGCTGCCATATCTTATGGGCTGATCCTTACTCACTCCTTCTCTATTCTTCCCTCTCAATTTTCTTTCCTTTACTTTTCTGTTAGAGGGAACTAACACAGAAATAAGGGAACATAACCAAGAAATGGCCGTTTGAAGGGTACCATGATTAACTGGTGTTTCCCTTTGGGACAATTGTGGTATAGACAAAGCCTTTCATGGCCAGAGCCACTTCTATTTTTGTTGGACAAGTGCTTGCATGACACTAGCTTGAGTTATTTTTACTTCCTTTGGGCTCTGATGGTTGACTTACTTGAAAAGCACAGAATTTCCTTTCTTTGCTCTTTCTGGCTCTGTATCCAGGGCAGGAGCCTGAAATCAGGGAGGCTCCATAAAAGGGTCATGTGGATTCTGTAGCTCCTTGGATTAGACCATGGTCGGTGAAGCTGGCAGTTCCTTGCCAAGAAGAGAAAAGCTATTGTTTAAAAAAAAATTATTACTATTATTTATTATTATCTGAGTTCCAGCAGTCAAAATGCCTGAAGGAGGATAAGGTTGATTTCATAAACAATAGAATTAAAAAGAATGAATAATTATGTAAGGACAGCCTTCTTGCCAAATACAAATCTTTTTCCTGGCTTTGGAGGCGTTTCCTTGGTTTTGCTTTTTGAGTTAGTGGAGGAGATAAATTGAATTTGATGTCAGGAGTGTTTTAGAGAAAGGATCACACTGTCAGAGCCAAGCCCCTGGTTGGGGGGATGATGATAGAGACCCAGAGAGGTCTGGGTGATTCTTGAGCATAGTAACTTGCACTTCCCTGCCCATGGTGCAGCCCAAGGAGACCACATACTTCTTAGAGCTCTTCACAGGCAGCCTGGCCCCACAGCGGTGGAGAAGTCACATATGACTGGACAACAGCCAGAGGGCTCTGACGTTAGCCTCATGGAATCCTGATACCCCATCTTAATGCAAAGAGAATATCCAAAGGTCCTTATGCCTCCTGAAAGGGCAGGGTGGAGCTGAGAGAGGACTACAGTGGTAATGGGGAAGACACAGTGTGCTTGGACGTTTATTTAAACTTGGCAAGATGAAATTCACTACCATCAGCAAAATGGGGGCTCACATTCAGAAATTAAAATTAATTTCTGATTTATATAAAGCTAAATACTTTTATTTAAATATTTTTATGTAACTAAATTTGCTATTATTTAAAATTAAATAATAACAATAAAATTTCTGATTTATATAAAATTAATATTCTACTTTGACAGTTGGAGGTTGTGAAATTTGAATGGCTGTGCTTATTTTGTTGGGTTTAGCTGGAGCCTAAATGAATGAGAAGGCACTATTCTGGTGTTACCCATAGCAGACAGTATCTGAGTTTTCTTGGCTTGTTTTGGTTTGGATTACATGATTTCTCAGGACTATAAGACTGGCTATTTCAGCCCATTTCTCCTGGTTCACCTGGGATTCCTGAGACATAAAGAGGGCTACTGGTGGCTTGTGATGGGTCCTCCCCCTTTTCAGGCCTCATTACTCATCCTCAGTCTGCACCCAGTGGCCTGAGCTGTGAGAAGATGGGTGCTATGGTTTGAATGTGTCCCCCGAAGTTCATGTGTTGGAAACTTAATCCCCAACACAACAGTGTTGACAGGTGGGACCTTTAATGGATGAATGTTGTTATTGTGGGAGTAGGTTTGCTATAAAAGCAGGTTTGGCCCTCTCTTTTGTCTCTCTTGCCGTATGATATCTTCCACCATGTTATGACCCAGCAAGAAGGCCTCACTAGATGCCATCCCCTCGATCTTGGACTTTCCAGCCCCTAGAACCATGAGCCAAATAAATTTCTGTTCATTATAATTTGCCCAGTTGGTAGCATTCTGTTATAGTAGCAGAAGATGAACCAAGACAATGGGGATGGCCGTAAAGGCCCTGGGGGCAAAGGAACATGAGGGTGCCCACAGGAGAAGCTTATCCTCAGCACCTAAGAAGTAGGAGGCTCTCTTCTACCCTAGATGGCAGGGGTACCTGCTGCACATTTTCTTTCAGCCAGGCAAAGCCTACCTTACTTTCCTGGCAGGCAAGGATGCAGAGCTGCGGTGAGTATGGAGCATGGTAAGAGGCATCATCCACAGATGCGAGCTCCCCTCCTCTTCCCTATCCCCTGTCACTGGCAGTTACATAATCTCTCTTTACAGTGTGCCAGGCCGCACTGGGAGGCTGCCAGCTGTGGGTGCCCTTTGGTAGTTGTAAGGGAATCACACAGGCGAGTATGACCTTTGGAAATACAAGGAGGTTACTCGGGAGTCTGTAGCTTTAGGATCCTTGGGGAGACTGCAATTCAATCTGTATCCTGTGGCTTTGAGTTTTAAATCTCAACTAATAAACTCTCCATTACATGAAAGACTCACTGCTGCAGGAAACAGAATGCACCGTTTTGGGGAGGAGAGCGTAGGGCAGGGTGCCTCCTTCATCTCCAGAACAGTGTTGTCTGTTACTAAATGGCTTAGGACAGCAATGAGGTGAGGAGCTGGCCTTTGGCAGTTTTGGTGGTCTGATGAGTGGTTTATCTATTGTCAAAGACTCTTATTCCCTCTCCTCCTCAGTCCTCCGCTGCTCTCAGTGCTCCAGGCAGTGACAGCTGGATTCTGCCTGGCTGTGCTTGCCTTTTAATGGAGGTGTAGCCCTCTTTAGACACACACAAAGCAAGGGTCAGCTCCCAGCCCTCCAGGAATCTGGCTCTGTGGTGAGGGGCCTGCTCACCAGGCACCTACCCTACAAGGAGTGTTGGGTTCAGGGCACAGATTAGCAGCCAGTTCCTTTATCCAGAAAAATGGGAATGACATGGGGCTGGAGGAAAGCATGAAGGGAAACAAGATAAAAGGACACACACACGATAATGAGAATAAAACGGTACAGGAAATCAGGAGAATAAATGAATTTGTGAATGATGAGGGCTAATGCAATTGCACTTTACCTCCCAACTTTTTGGCAGCTACGACAAAAAATGAAGTATAATAATGGGAAAGAGAATTTCTATTAGTAATGATAGCTAAGATTTTCTGCCTTCTAGGTACCAGGCACTGTTTCGGCACTTTACTGGGATTGTCTCATTTTATTCTCACAAGAGCTCTGTGAGGAGGTACTAGTTTAATGCCTATTTTACATATGAAGAAACAGAGAGGAAGGTTACGTAACTGGTAAGTGGTGGACCGAGTTACGACATTACTCTGTCTGACTCCAAAGCCCAACCTCAAACTCTCAACCTATGCTATATATACTGCCTCAGCATATGGAAAAGGGGATGCATAGCTCTTTCTGTCTTCATCATCAAACCAAAATCTAGATTGGGGTCCCCCACTGGCCCAATGGGCCAACCTGATTTTACCCAGTCACTACTGTGTCTGTAGACAGAGAACAGAAAGCTTGTCTCAGGGAGCAGGTGCAACGAGGCAATGGGAGTCGTTGCCATTCCAGAAGGTCACTTAGAGGCAGAGGGGCAGGGAGACCTTGCTTCATTTCAGGCTTCCTGAACTTTAGATTTTTGCCTATTCCAGTGATGAATTCAGAAGTGAGGACAGCTATGTTGAAAACTAGGCATGAGGAGAAACAATTTTTTTTTTTTGAGACAGAGTCTCACTTTGTCACCCAGACTAGAGTGCAGTGGCACGATCTTGGCTCACTGCAACCTCCGCCTCCCAGGTTCAAGTGATTCTCCTGCCTCAACCTCCCGAGTAGCTGGGATTACAAGCATGCACCACCACACCCAGGTAATTTTTGTATTTTTAGTAGAGATGGGGTTTCTCCATGTTGGCCAGGCTGGTCTCAAACTCCTGGCCTCAAGTGATCGGCCCACCTCAGCCTCCCAAAGTGCTGGGATTACAGGCATCAGCCACTGTGCCTGGCCAAAACAATTTCCTTTAATTAAGTATCATGTCATTTCACCTGACACATCTCAGGTGCCCTCATTCTCTTGGCCTCACCTGTGTTCCAGACTCAGGGCTTGCTCCATCTCAGTTGCTGCAGTGACACTGGCTCTGGCAAGGCTCTGATGTGGGGCTGAGGCCCAGAGTCTTTCTGCCTCCTCCCTGCGGCACTGCTGGACGTGAATGAGCATCATGCCACAAGATGTGCCATCTGGATCCCCTGGGGGCAATAGGTCTTTTAATTTAACTCCGAAATTCAAAGTGTGACTGTGGGTCACATTCTACCAATGAGAATGAAGTTAGGTAAACAAATTCCCTGTCCATTCTTCTCTTTGATGGACATTTTTTCTCTATATAGCTTGGCCAGAGATGTCTTGTGTGGTCAAGAAGGTACACGAGTTGGGGATTGAATGCATCTCTTGAAACTTGTTGAGGAGCAGTGGACAGCATTTACTCTCCATCCTTCCCTGACTTGCTTTCCTTTTTCCTCAGGTGCAATGCCCTGGCACTGTACTTCCTAAAGCATTAGCCCTTAATCCTTGTCTCAGGACATGTTTTCAAGGAATTCAGGCTGAGAGTGCTCTAACATGGGTTTTAGAGTAAAAAGTGAAATTTCTTCTGAACTTTTCCTCTAGATTACTGTCCTGTCCCATTCAGTTTTAAGGGAAGATGACTTTGGTTGATGGATTAGGCTGTCCAAGAAGCAAAGAGCCCTGTGGCTCTGATGTGAGAGGTATATACTTTGCTTGGGGAGGGGGGTCTGATCTCTCAACCTCAAAAGCTCGACGTTATGCTATATATATATATATATATTTTTTTTTTTTTTTTTTTTTTGAGATGGAGTCTCGCTCTGTTGCCCAGGCTGGAGTGCAGTGGTGTGATGTCGGCTCACTGCAAGCTCCTCCTCCTGGGTTCACGCTATTCTCCTGCCTCAGCCTCCCGAGTAGCTGGGACTACAGGTGCCCACCACCACGCCCAGCTAATTTTTTTGTATTTTTAGTAGAGACGGGGTTTCATCATGTTAGCCAGGATGGTCTCGATATCCTGACCTCCTGATCCGCCCGCCTCGGCCTCCCAAAGTGCTGGGATTACAGGCGTGAGCCACCGCTCCCGGCCACAGTATATGTATTTTAAGCACCAGTTTGTTGTTTACCAGACGAACATGAGAACAGCACAGACCCACTTCCCTCCAGACGTCCAAATGGCTGTGTATGTTTCAGGGACAACCAAGATGAGACAGACTGACGCATTTGGAGTCAAAGACTGCTCAATGGGTTCTTTTGGGACAGAGGTATATCTAGTCTCTCCATGGTAAGTTTGATTGGGATGAACAGTTCATTTCTTTGCTGCTTACCTGGTCCTGCCTTGACGGCCCCATCTCTTCTCTTTTGTCTGTGCCCTCTGCCTTCACACACGATTGTAGTGAGATGATCCAAATTCCTCTGGCTGAGCCTTGTGTCTCTCCTTCCTAAAAAGCTAAGTGGTGGTTCAGCCACGGAGGACTGAAAATCTGTTGTGAATTGGTGATATTAGAAAGTTGCGGCCACAACTTTCCATTTTAATCACTTAGAATGAGTTCCCTTGCTCTGATGTCACTGCCAAATTCCTGTGGGACTCTTCACAGATGAATTCCAGATAGCTGAGCATCTTGTTGTCAAACAGAAAAATAAGAACTGGAACATTTTTCCCCACTGGGTTAAGAAAATGCTGCAAGTGAGATGTCCTGGTTTCCCATGACAACGCCCCCTCCTTTAGCCAATCACTTTAGCTAGTCACATCTGTTGGCCCCTGGCTATAGAGAAGTCACTGTGAGGAACCGTGTGGTTGCTGGAGGCTTGTTTTACATACCCGTTTCTATGGGTTCTCACACAACAGTGACACAACCTAAGATTTCATGAGCTAATGGATCTCTGAAAAGCCAATTTAAATTTCCAGGGTTTATGAAATGTTCCTAAGTGGTTCTGTAGCTATTACAGTGAAAATACCAGAGCAAAGCCACCCTAGAGCAAAGCTGTTGAACCTCCATTCCAAGCCTAATTGTGAGAGGCTGCTTAGGTAATATCAGTATGAAAGAAGCTGCTTTATGTGTGGGAGAGAAAGGATCAATCCATGACTTCAGAGTGCCCTAGGCTGGGTCAGATTGGAGGTAGGATGGAAAAAGGTCTTTGAGGATCAGAGAAAGCAACCCAGCAGAACCCACACCACTCCGTGCACAACCCACACAGCTCTGTCCTTTTCCACTTCAAAATCTTCCGGCAGACAGCACAGAGGCACAGCATGGAAGCTATGCCCCCCAAACCAAGATTGGAGCTTCCCCTGGAGTCCCTGTTTAGAGGAAAAGTCACTGAAACAGACTTTCCCGGGGGTCTTCAAAGAAGTCCCATTTTGGTGTATGGTATTTTGGGACTATGGCCTCAGAAGCAGTGGCTATCCAGGCCCCACTGTGAAAGGAGCACAGCGGTACAAAAGGTTTAGGGGTGATGAAAGGTGGAAGACTTGGGTAAAGGCAGGCAGGAGGCACCTCCGGGTGTGTGAAGTTGAAGCATTAGTTTTCGCATGGAAGGGCTGCTCTGGTCCAGGAGCTGGAAGCAGACAGAGTTGTGAGCCCCCGATGCCCAAGCCTGGGATTTCTTCCTCCACTCACCATCAACTCCAATCCCATTCTCCACTGTGGCTTGTGAGACTCCCTACCTTGTCTGGTCCCCAGGAGCAGAATAGATTTGGTGGCCTCATGGACAGAAGGATCCTCACACAGTGGCTGCTTCTAGGATCAACATGACCCCCTTAGATCCTGGAATCTGGATTCTTCTGGGAAGAGCTTCCCGCTTCCCCATTTTAAGCACCAATTTGTTGTTTACTGGATGAACATCAGAATAGCACAGGCCCCTTTCCTTTCAGATGTCCAAGCGGCCACATATGTAGCAGGGACCATCAGGAAGGAAACAGACTGATGCATTTGGAGTCCAAGACCTTTTACTAAATGAGTTCTTTTGGGATCACAGACGGATAAACAGATATATGTTCTCAGCGTTTTCTTGTTCATATCTTTGGTGCCAGGGTGTCTGAGTGCTCTTTTGTTGAGAGCTGCATACAAAATTCACTACAGACTACTCAGCCTGGGGTCTAGTTTCTCTCTCTCTCTGTAGATTCAGCAGGACTGTGAGTTGACCATAGCCCTTCCAAAAGCAGACATGGCCTCTACTCAGCTAATTTTGTCTCCCAACTTTTCTTTTTTCTGTGTGAACCTTTTAATAGCTGGGCCAGACCATTCCTATGGAGACGGTTAAGTAAATTCCCGCGGAGCAAGGTAACATGATAGCATTTCCTTGGTGGTGTATTTCTACCATTTTTTCTACTTCTTGTTTTGCTCATCTCTCTTCTCCTTCCCTTAATGGCGTTTTTTTTTGGTTAATAGAGTAAGGGCCCTGTCAGGCTGTTGAGGCACCCAGAGTTGCTGGTTCTTCCTGGAGTGCTGAATTAATATTCAGTGTAGAGAAAGAAAAATACCTTACTCTGGAAATTCAGGACATTTCCTTCCTTCCTTCCTTCCTTCCTTCCTTCCTTCCTTCCTTCCTTCCTTCCTTCCTTCCCTCCCCTTCCTTCTCTTTCTTTCTTTCTTTCTTTTTCTTTCTTTCTTTCTTTCTTTCTTCCTTCCTTCCTTCCTTCCTTCCTTCCTTCCTTCCTTCCTTTCTTTCTTTCCTTCTTTCTTTCCTTCCTTCCTTCCTTCCTTCCTTCCTTCCTTCCTTCTTTCTTTCTTTCTTTCTTTCTTTCTTTCTTTCTTTTCTTTCTCTCTTTCTTTCTCTCTTTCTTCTTTCTTTTAGATGGAGTCTTGCTCTGTCGCCCAGGCTGGAGTGCAGTGGAGTGATCTCAGCTCACTACAACCTCTGCCTCCTGGGTTCAAGCAATTCTGTCTCAGCCTCCCTGAGGGGTAGCTGGAACCACAGGTGCATGCCACCATGCCTGGCTAATTTTTGTATTTTTAGTAGAGATGCGGTTGCACCAGTTGGTCAGGCTGGTCTCAAACTCCTGACCTCAGGTGATCCACCTGCCTCAGCCTCCCAAAGTGCTGGGATTACAGGTGTGAGCCACCATGCCCAGCCAGGACATTTCTATACAAAAAGTTGCTTCTCTGTGCTGAGGCACACTAAATACAAATCTTACTTTTCTGACAAACTGGAGACCTTCTAGAACAATGATTTCCAAATTTTTTAAAGAATCAAACTCCTCCTCAAGTGATGTATTAGACAGATTGTGCAGCAGCCCTGGCTGTGGAGTGGGATAGATGCCCCACCCTTTTGGGCTTCTTTCCCTCTCCCTCCCTTGGCAGCCATCCATGCGCCCCTCCATTGAGCTGTGACTCTGCAGAACAGGGAGAAACTATGCTGGTGGAAAGTGTGAGCTGGTATGTCTAGGTATTTATTGACAAAATCATGATACTGCCAAAGACTATATATGTTGCTGGTTTGACAAAAGTATGTTTGTATATCTATGGCACAGGTGAGCTATGGCCTCTATAGAGAGCCATTTGACAGTTAGGTATAGTTCCTGCCTAGAGGGAAGTAACAACTTAGGTCCTGTAACAGGCACACAGATATGTGTATGGTGGTGGGTGCTGGGTATCTACGTTTCCAGGTCATTTCCACCATGACCTAGCCCAGATAAACATGAAGATATGAGGAAGGCTTCTTGGGAGCCACAAGTCTGCTTAGGGACCAAACAGGAGAGATTCTTCCATCATTTTTGAATCAACATTCCGTGACAGTCAAAAAGCCATAGGGTTCCCCTCTGGGTTTCCTTAATCCTATGTTGGTTCAGTGAAGCTCATCTATTCCAGTTGACTTGAAGGTCATTGATAACAAATTGATGATTTGGTGACTGTTACATAACTGTTTCGATTATGAATTTTGATTGACCTCTGCCTCCCCCACAAGTTATCAGCACCCATGTTTCCTATCCCCATTGCTGGCGGGTACCATGAACCATTCACTACTTGTGCTTGGGCTGAGTCTTTCTCAACAAGCACAGCCTAGGAAGCAAGAACAGCAGGTGGAATTGTGTGCTCTGAAGGCTGTTGACTGACAAGGCCCGGTATGTGGTATTAACCTACCCTGGCCAGCTCCTGTTACCTCTGCAGCCCACAACCAGCAATAGTGACCATTCTCTGTGATCACAGAAATTGTTCATTGCAGTCCATTTTGTCATGTGAAAGAAAAAATGGGCTTTGTCTCATAAATTACATCCCATTAAATTCCAAGTATTTCTGAGAATTCAGGAAGAGGAACAGAGTAAGTTCTGTTTGTTCATGACTGAATAATTGCTAATTGGTTATTCATTTTAAAACACACAGAGAATTACATTTAATGCTGTTGTCTTCATCTGGAAAGAGATTTGTTTTGTTTGATAGAGCATAAGCTGTGACATCTTGGGGAAGTACAAATGACTTGGTCCTACCTGAAATTCACAGATTTGAAATTTTACAATTTCCTTTAGGTGAGAAATCAAATAATAGGTACTAAATTACCTTTCTAATTTATTGGTCCCATAACATTGCAAAAGTACCTCTCAGGCCTGATGGAGCCCTCCTGTTCCATCCACGGGGACTTTTTTCTCTCCCTGAAGACGGGCAGGAGTTCCTTCTCTTTCCTCCACCCTATGACACTTCCTAAAAACACTCTGTTCCATAAACTGTCTTTCTTGGTTTATTAAAAAAAAAAATCGGTGGTACAATGAGGTTCAATATGCAGAATCTGGCATGCGTAGCTTGTGTTGAAGGGCTGACACAGTTGAAATAATGAATTTCATTTATAAAAGGAATGCAGTTGACTACTAATAGTTTGAGTTTTCTTCAATTAGTGATGATGAATTTCCCATTCACTCATTCAGTAAATATCAGTTGATCATATTCTCTATGTTCCAATCTTACCCTATCCTTCTGATCTTTCTTTATCTGCTCAAGAACTTTCCTGCTGTTTAATTATCTGCTGCTAGGGAGATGGTGAGTGTAATCATGGATGAGAATAAAACAATATGAATGAACCTCTGGTTCTTAGCACAGTCCTTTAACCTATAGAGCAATTGTATTAGCCATCATTTCCTTTTTCTGGTAAGTGAGATTTCAAAATAATAACTGTATATTATAGCCATCCTGAGGAGTTTAAGAACATGGCCTCCAAAATACAATATCCTGAGATTGAATCCTAACTCTGCCACTTACTGTACAGGAGACCTTGGGCAAGACACTTCACCTCAGGGTGTCTCAGTTCTCTCACCTGCGAAATGGGATAATAATGTAACCCACCTTTTAGGGTTAGTGTGAGGATTAAATGAGATAATCCTAAAAAGTTCATAAAATAGGAAGTGGCACAGGGTAAATTCTCAGTAAATGTGAGCCATAATTATAATTGTAATCATTTTTTGATCTCTTTAATTTTTCTTAGTTATCATAGAAAATACAGCTGTGAAGAGTGATCATTGCATATAAATAATGACAATAACCTTTGGACTTACCTGATTCTTGTCTAAAAGCCTGCTGTGAAAGATGTTGTCCTGGGGCATAGTATACTGTTCTTCCTTCTCTCCCACATGCGGGAAAGGAAGCGCATAGCAATGAGATGGTAGATTACAGTGGAAGTCAGGAGACACAAAGTTGGGTGTTACACCTTCTTGATTATGGAACAACTCTGGGTGAATTCTTCAGTTACTTGCAGGTTACCTTTTCCTACATACAAAATTAAACTGTCAGAAACTACAGTTTGTGGCAGTGAGAGCCTTGAGACATGTACGTATCGTGGCTTATTATATATTTTCAAGAATTTTGTGTATAATGTGGTGCAAGTGAGCAAAAGCACACATCCTTGTGAGCCCACTGGGTTCCATGGAAGTCTTTTCTTTAACATGTTAAAAAAAACCCCAAAATACTGTCATTTATTGAGCCTCTAGTATGTGGTTCTATATATTTATTATCTCATTTATCCTTCAGGGCAATTTGATGACTAACTTGTATTGTTCTCATTTTTCAGATAAGGAATCTGAGCCTCCAAGAGTTGTAGTGACATGTTCAAGCCACATGGTTAGTGAGAAGCAGAGAAAGGACCTAAGGTCAGAGCAATCTTAAGCAGGTCCTCTGTGGTCATGGTTAGTGTGGTTTGCTTCCAGGCCAGACCATTTCCTTGCTGATGCAAGATTCTCCAGAGCTCTCCTTTTCCCCCGGGAAGTGGTGATTGGCTGCTCCATCAGCCTGTGTCCTTGAGTGACTGTGCTGGGCAGAATGCCCTGCCAGCCTGAGAGGGACCTGTGGTGTAGAACATGAAATAAAAACCTTTGTGGTTTTCAGTTATTGAGATCTGGGGGTTCTTTGTTACTGCACCATAACCTGGCAGATCTTAAACACAAAATCTTAATGATCTGTACACAGATTGAATACTTGGTGCCCATTTCAAACATTTTTAGAATAGGAAGGAAAACCCAGAATCCAAGAAAGCAAAGTCTTGAATTCTAAATTCTCGTGTCTTTATTGACAGTTTGGTAAAACAAGCAAACAAACAAAAACACACATTAAAAAAAAACAAAAACAAAAATTAGTCTTAAGGAGTTGTCTTTCAACCATGCAAATAATCATAAGAATCGTTGTCTTAGTTTTCACAGCTTATCAGAGGACTCTTCACCTTCATTTCTCTTGGTACTGTATCTATGTGGCCTGAGGAGGAATCATGGCTATAACGTGGTTTCTGCCTGTGCAAGCAGATTGAATTTATTTCTGTCTGAGCCCATCCCTATCTGTCATCCAATTATCATCAATAAATATTTAAATGTCAGGCCAGCAGCCCCAGAAGGGAGCCCTGGGTATTAGGCCTTTGCGAGTCCCAGCTGATCGTTATTAATTCAATGAATGTAGTTGTAAATTGGCTAAGAATACACAATGGAAGCGATTACAAGTGCTCTTGTCAGTGTGGGCTCATTCCATTGAAAGATGGTTCAGATTTGCTTTTGCCTCATTCCAAGGAAATATGAGATGCAATTTGCTTCAAACTAAATGCTCGCTTAGTTTCTTGCCCAAATGTTAAACAAGAATAAGGCAGGTTGGAAGGACCATCTCTGGAATGTATTGTTCTGAATGACTTAGAGGTTTGCAGGGCCACTTTTTGAGCTAATGTAAATTGGCAGGAAAATGCTTTCCATTGAGATGAATTATGTGCTCAGGGTTACCTGTTTTTTTATCTGAGTTAGAGAAGTCAGAGTAGATAAAAATGAAATGACCCATTATCAAATAATCAATGAAAAAGCTACACTCCTGCAATGTTTCTGGATCAATATACAAGTTACCTTTCAGATAGATGAATTGTCCTTGTGTTGTTCAGAGCAGAACAAAGCCCGCCTCCAGCCAGTCTCCCCAAATGCACTCTGTGTGAAAACATAAAGCATTAAACCATCAGGGACAAAAAAGTGGGGTGCTGTCCACATGGCAGCCCTTCCCAAACGGTGCTCAATGAGACTATTCTTGGGAATGTGTTTGGTACACACGGATCTGAGGCACAGCTGTTGCAGGTTAAGGGCGAGGTGTAGAAGAGGTTCTGGGGACACAGCATGTTCATTCCCCAAGGGCAGGAGCATCAATCAGCAAGAACTTCCCGAAAGATATATTTCACATGATCTATCAAAATTTAAATTGCTCTACACTTTGTCCTAGCAATCCAATTTTAAGAATTCATCCTGCAAATTGTAGCTACACATGTATGCCAAGATCTTTGTGAGAGGATGTTTCTTGTTTGTGATGGTAAAAACATAATCACAAGTTGAAAATGTCCATCACAATGGGAATGGTTAGGTAAACTGTAATATATCAACACTGTCAAGTACTATCAGCTGTTAAAAGGTAGATATGTATATGCTAACATGTGATCTTGGGAACTTATTTAATCTCTCATGAATAACTCATGACTCCCACCGCCTTCTTCCATTCTAAGACCATTCCATGTCTTATTCAGCCCTGAATATTCAATATCTAACATAGGGCCTGACTCCATAATGCTAATTACATTTGATTAAATATTTGCTAAAAAAATTGAGGGTGCTGACAGAGATCCCCCTTGCCTTATGTTTTACTTATCCAATTTGTAAAATAGGGATAATAATAGTATTTAATAAGTATTAGCTGAGTGACAGATAAAATGAAAGGGGTGTGTGTGTGTGTGTGTGCATGTACGTATATATACAATGTTTTATTTTTGGAGAGACTAAACTCTAGAAAAGTAAGTGAAAAACTCATAGACAGAGCTAAGCAAAGAATCCCAAGATCCTCACCTGGGAGTGTGAGATGGGAAGATGAAAGAGGAGGAAAAGTAGCCTGTCCTGCACGTGCAGACTACTGTGTGCAGAGCTATCTGTTATATGCTTTTCACAGTTGTTTCATTTAAAACTCACCATCATTTGAAGTATTATCATTCCCATTTACAGATGAGAAAAATAAAGCTCAGAAAACTTACCCAAGATCACTCAGTTGAAGTAGCAGAACTACGCTTCCAATCTAGGTCTAGTGTTAAAGCCCATGGCTCCCACCACTTCCTTCCATTCTGAGACCACATTTTACTCATCCCTGAGTATTCAATGTCTAGCATAGGGCCTGACTCCATAATACTTCTTACATTTGATTAAATATTTGCTAAAAAAAATTGAGGATGCTGAGTGAGATCCCCTTTGCTTTCTGTTCCTTAACACGTGTGTCAGTGCTCCCTTCCCCAAACAACCTAGATTTTCTTGAATGTTTAAGGTCTTTTTTTGTATGTATCTTACCCACCTGTATCAGTCAGCATAGCCTAAGTTACACTGCAGTGGCAAACAACTCTAAGCGTGTCAGTGAATTACTCCTTTGTTAATGTACCTCACGGACTGACTGCCAGTCTGCTCCATTGAGATGAATTATGTGCTCAGGGTTACCTGGTTTTCATTTTGGGACCCAGGCGGAAGAAGCAGCTCCTTCCTGAGACATGGTGGGTCTCACTGGAGAGAAGAGGGATGCAGGAATCATATAATGTCCCTGAAAACTTCTGCACAGAAGTAGCACATGTCACTTCCACTCACATTTCATTGGCCACAGTGAGTCTGATGGCAGACATGAACACTACGAAATGGAAAGAGCGTGATCTTCTTGTAGGAGGGGTGTCTGCAGACAGAGGCCAGTAAGAAGAAACTGGGAAGAAAGGCAGCAACTATTTTGAACAGTAATGCAATATACATCACCACATTACTGCAAAATAAATTATAAGCTGCTTAAAGTGACACTGTTTTCTGTATCCGTTTAGCTTTGTATCTCCAATGGAACTTTAACTTTTCCAATGCTAGTGCCTGCCTTCTTCTCTACATAGTAAACATTACCTTTGATGGGAGTCAGTCTTATTCAAAATCAGCAGTTCTCAAAATGTGTTGGGGGAACCCCAGTGTTTCTGAGACTTTCTCAGTATCTTTGTGAGGTCAAAACTATCTTAATAATAATTCTACAAAGACGTTATTTGCCTTTTTCACTTGCATCCTCCCATGAGTGGACAGAGGGGTTCTCCAGATGCTCTGTGACATGTGATATCAGAACAGGTTGAATATAGAAGCAGATATGAGAGTCTAGCTATCTTTAAAGAAGCCAGGCATGAAAGAGATGTGCAAAAATATAAAGCAAAGCCAATCTCTTACTAATGTTTTTGTTTTGGAAAATATAGTTGTATTTTGTGAAAATATTAACATGTAGTAGGTTAATTCTTTTAAGATTAACAAATTCATATTTAAAATTCTTTTCAGTTTTAATTTCTAATGGCAAAAATCAATACTTGTAATACATTTACACTAAAGCTCTTTCAGGTCCTTAATCATCTTTCAAGAGTATAAAGGGTTTCTGAGAACAAAATGTTTGAGAACTTCTGTCTTAACATGATTGTGGCAGGCCCTGCCTGTTTCAATGACAATGTTAGCTGGAAAGATCATTAAACACAGTTAAAGTTTCCTTAGCTATACTGAAGATAGCATTGAGCCCAGTGGGTTCTTATAAATACTGTTATTTTTCATAATCATCACCAGTGTTCCATATCTGGTACTTCCTAAAGGGGGAGAGATGATTAGTTTGTTAAAGAAGATTGGTTGCATGAATTATTTCCAGCCTTGCAGAAGTTCACAGCTTGATATTGCATCAGTAATGAATAAGAAAAATGGTGGTATATAACCCTGAAAAGAAAAATGCTGCTTTCTAATAAGAGGCACTAGTAATTGAACGTTGTCTTGGAGCTTTATGATCATGTCTCGCTAGCTTCAACACAGAAGAACTGAAAACAAGCCATGCTTTTACAGTGGTGAATAATAATAATGATGACTTTGTATGGAGCCTTGATTCAGGCACTGTGGCGTTTTTCACGTACAAATCAATTAAGTCTCCATTCACATTTGTGACCAAACTTCGCTAGTTTATTTATTTTTTGAAATCTACCTCCTGCTTTTGTCTTTGCACTGTGCCAGTACTCTCTTCCACAAACAAAAGGTGTCACCCGACAAAAGGGCTTGAATTTATGGGCAGGGTCCTTTTTTCTCTGTTGCGGAATTTTTATCAAATAACTTTGCATGGGATGCAGTGTGGAAAGGGAGTGAGTATGAACATTCTTCATTTCATGGTCATACTGATTGTAAGACTATGACAAGGCTGGACAGAGGGTAGGGGTCTGGAGGAAGCCCTGGTCATTTAAGAGTTTAGTTGGCATTGTGCTGGTTCCACAGAGGGATCTATCAGAGAAATCACTGGTGCTGGCAGAGAGCTTAGTAGCTGCTAAAAACTGTATTTATTCTTTTGTCTAATTGCATTAACCACCAGAATATTGCTGGACGAAAGTAGAGATGGTGGACAACTTTCCTTCTTGATTTTAACAGGATTATTTCCATGGTAATTCACCATATAAATGTTAAGCTAGCTCTTTTAAGACCTATATTTTTATCTATTTATTCTCCCTTCTTTAAATATATTTATTATGTTATAGATGTCACTACATATTCCTGTATCCATATCATCTTACCTCATTAAGGGTTTTTCTGGGGAATGAGTATTAAATTTTATTAAATTCTGTTTTAGGCATGTATTTATATGGCCACATGAGTTTTCTCCTTTAACCTATCAGTGTGGATGCTCTCATGAATAGATTTCTTAATATTAAATTACTTTTGTATTTTTGGAATAAAACTTGCCTAACCTATTACCCTTTTTTTATTATTATACTTTAAGTTCTAGGGTACATGTGCACAATGTGCAGGTTTGTTACATATGTATACATGTGCCATGTTGGTTTGCTGCATCCATTAACTCATCATTTACATTAGGTATTTCTCCTAATGCTATCCCTCCCCCAGCCCCCGACCCTACAACAGGCGCGGTGTGTGATGTTCCCTGCCCTGTGTCCAAGTGTTTTCATTGTTCAGTTTCCACCTATGAGTGAGAACATGCGGTGTTTGGTTTTCTGTTCTTGTGATAGTTTGCTTAGAATGATGGTTTCCAGCTTCATCCATGTCTCTGCAAAGGACATGAACTCATCCCTTTTTATGGCTGCATAGTATTCCATGGTGTATATGTGCCACATTTTCTTAATCCAGTCTATCATTGGTGGACATTTGGGTTGGTTCCAAGTCTTTGCTATTGTGAATAGTGCTGCAATAAACATACGTGTCCATGTGTCTTTATAGTAGCATGATTTATAATCCTTTGGGTATATACCCAGTAATGGGATCACTGGGTCAAATGGTATTTCTAGTTCTAGATCCTTGAGGAATCGCCACAGTGTCTTCCACAATGGTGGAACTAATTGACACTCCCACCAACAGTGTAAAAGTGTTCCTATTTCTCCACATCCTCTCCAGCACCTGTTGTTTCCTGACTTTTTAATGATCGCCATTCTAACTGGTGTGAGATGGTATCTCATTGTGGTTTTGATTTGCATTTCTCTGATGGCCAGTGATGATGAGCATTTTTTCATGTGTCTGTTGGCTGCATAAATGTCTTTTTTTGAGAAGTGTCTGTTCATATCCTTTGCCCACTTTTTGATGGGGTTTTTTTTTTCTTGTAAATTTGTTTAAGTTCATTGTAGATTCTGGATATTAGCCCTTCATCAGATGGGTAGATTGCAAAAAATTTTCTCCCATTCTGTAGGTTTCCTGTTCACTCTGATGGTAGTTTCTTTTGCTGTGCAGAAGCTCTTTAGTTTAATTAGATCCCATTTGTCTATTTTGGCTTTTGTTGCCATTGCTTTTGGTGTTTTAGTCATGAAGTCCTTGCCCATGCCTATGGCCTGAATGGTATTGGTTTTCTTCTAGGGTTTTTATGGTTTTAGGTCTAACATTTGTCTTTAATCCATCTTGAATTAATTTTTGTATAAGGTGTAAGGAAAGGATCCAGTTTCAGCTTTCTACTTATGGCTAGCCAGTTTTCCCAGCACCATTTATTAAATAGGGAATCCTTTCCACATTTCTTGTCAGGTTTGTCAAAGATCAGATGGTTGTAGATGTGTGGTGTTATTTCTGAGGCCTCTGTTCTGTTCCATTGGTCTATATCTCTGTTTTGGTACCAGTATCATTCTGTTTTGGTTACTGTAGCCTTGTAGTATAGTTTGAAGTCAGGTAGCGTGATGCCTCCAGCTTTGTTCTTTTGGCTTAGGATTGTCTTGGCAATATGGGCTCTTTTTTGGTTCCATATGAACTTTAAACATATTACCCTTTTAATATATTGCTGGATTCTCTTTGTTAAGGTTTTGCTGGGTTTTAAGTCATTGGTATTTAGGTTTTCTGAAAAGAACTGGAAAGCTTTATTTCTTTCTCTATGCTCTGAAACAGGTAGCATTGGAATGATCAGTTCCTTGAAAATTTAGAAGGATTCATCCATGGATCCACTTATGTTAGGTGTTTTTTTTTTTTTTTTTTGCAGGGGCAACTATTTGCAACTTATACAATTGCTATCAAAGTTATCGATCATTCTTTTCCTATATTACTTCTTTGAATTTTGATAAATATTTCCCTAGAAAATTTTTATCTAGGCTTTCAAATTTATTAACATAGAGCTCTACACCATATTCTTTTATTATGGTTTTATACAACTTTATTTTTAATGTCTGCATAATATTCCATAGGTGGATATGCCATAATTCATAAATGTAAAAACAGTTTTACATTTTACTAGTAATTTTAAGTAGTGGTTGGCTGGTAAATGAAGGCAGTTTTTCCTTCTTGAGTTCTACTGGCAACCCTGCCCTGTGTGATCTTGTTGAGAGGAGGATAACAAAAGGATATGGCCTTTGGGTTCAAATCTTGGCTCTGCCACTTGGTACCTTGGGGGAAATAAATTAATCTCTCTATACTTTAGTTTTCTCTTCTGGAGAAAGGATAATGATAGTAATTTCTGTCTCAGCAAGGGTTTAGTACAAGAAACTAAAACTCTTCTAGGTGTTTTAGCAGAAAGGGATTTAATACAAGGAACTATATACTTACACAGTTGCTGAAAGGGCTGGAGGAGCAGTGATTCCCTATCACAGAACTGACGTACTAGGGGAGCTGTACCTCTGAAGCCAGCACGATGGGAACTGGTGAGTTTAAAAACACAGCTGAAATGTTGTATTGCTACTGGTTCTGCTTTAAATGCCCAGGAAGCTGGAGAAGGACTGCAGTCCTGCTGCAGAAAAGGATCACATCTCCACACCCTTGCTTGCCAGAATGAAATTTCTAAAAGGGGCAAGAAGTGGCCTCTGCCTCATTTTCACCTTCCCAAACTCATGCAAATACTTATAACTTATGAAACCTAATCTATATGCAAAGCCTGAGCTCCAAAGGAATTTGGGAAATAGTTTTCAGCTTTCTAGTATGGAGGATGATCAAGCCAATCCACAATATCTGCTATAATGCCTTCCATGAGATTGTTGTGAAGATGAAATAAAATAATTCATGTGAGTACCTGGTAAAGAGTGATGCAGTAAATGCTATTTATTGTCGTTTATAGAGAGCAAGGCATGTGCCAGGGACTGAGCTTATTTACTAGGGATGGAAAAATTAATAATGTTTCTTTGCTGTCCTCAAAATATTTCCAGTATAAAGAGGGTAGGAATTAAATAATTATATTACAACCAAAAAAAGTGCTATGGGAAGGCAGGGGACAGGGTAACTTGGTTGGCAGTGTGTGTTAATTCGCTTACTTATTCATGAGAAAGCATATTTGCTGGCATAACTCACTGTACTGACCAGGCCTATTGCTTGGTGCTGGGATGTAGAACTGAACCAGACAAATGTCTCTGCCTTGTGATGCCCTATGTGTTCTCAGTGGGGAGTGATGACTGGGGGGAAGTCAGAAGGAAAGGCTTCACAGAGGAGGAAACATATGGGCTGGCTCTTTAAGGATGAAGAACATTTTAGGCAGAGAAGGGAAAGAAGGCAAGTACAGACTTACAAAGAATTTTAGTTCTTGGCTTAGGGCAGCATTTCCCAAAGTGTGTTCCATAGAACACTAGTCCCCAGAGTGGCTCCTCGAAGGGATGGTTCTGCAGTAAGTCACCATCTAGGGGTCATGATGATGATTAGCTCATTAAAATGTTGACAAGACTTACAGTAAAATGCTATTAACTTTTTAACTCAATGTTTATTATATTTTTTGTCACAAAAACCTTCTTTGATGGAATATCTATTAGTATAGAATACACTCTGCAAAACATAAACCCAAGGTGATCAACCGCTTCATTCTACAGCTGGCAAAATGGGGCACAGGCAGGCTAAGGGTCACACCATTGGATTATAAGCTGAAAGAAGTCAGGGACCATGTTTCTCTCCAGCAACTTTTTTTTTTTTATTATTAAGGAATTAACCTAGTACATGGCACTAGACTGTTAGGGATGAAGAATTGATGAATTAATGAAAAACTAATCTAGAAGAGAACTCAGATATCTCAACTTTCGGGCCTATGTTTTTATTAATATATACCTTTCAGCCAATGGGAAGACATTCTCCCCACAAGGGTTATGTACAGCCTTTTCCCTTTGAGGTAGTGTTGCCTGATAAAATTTAGGGTGCACGCAATATTTGGACATATTTATACCCCAAAATTATTCATTATCTATCTGCTGTTCAAATTTAACTGGCATTCCATATTTTTATTTGCAACATTTGGCAACCCTACTCTTGGGGAAACAGTATGGAAATCTTTCTACCTGCTAATGTTACTTGTTAATCACCTTAAAAAGCCATTTATAAACAGACTTGTATTTTGCTTTCCAGTATATCACAGGGTCAATCCTTTTAAGTGGGTCTAAGAAGATAAACTGATTATGTTCACCTTAGTTTCTTTCAAGTTCCTGCTGAGAGAAAAAGCTTTTGTGTAAACAGGGAAGTGACAAAGCATTTGTTTCATCAGCCTGCACCCTAGCACATGTGAGAGGGTGCCAGTAAATTCTTCCAGCCTGGGCAGCCCTTTATAATCCACAGGAGAAGCACAGACTGAGATAGTAAGAGATATGTGAAGGAACAGGGAAGACAATTTCCTAAGTAATGAGGCTGTTTAGACCTTGCAGAGGAAGGACACTGCTATTATACACCCTAAGCCAGGTCTGTGTTTCCAAAAGGTGATACTCTTAGCCACAATTTTTTGAGTTTGGACCAGATGATTCCTTCATTTTGTGCAGTGCAGACCTGGATATAGATAATAAATTGTAATGCCCTTAAAAGCTTTCTTGTTCCCCATCCATCTTTGTCCTGCCTCACAAAGATGTACTGAGACCTCTCACAAACCATCCATTGTGACTTTGCCAGGGGATCCTGATCTTAAGACAATTAAACAATTAAAAAAGATCAGTTAAAAAAAAATCCTTCTTCTCTGCTCCTTATGCTGTTGGCTGCTTAAGCTGTTTGCTTTCATCCTCAGCTCTTGTGTGAATTATACATGTTTTTGTAAACTCAAACTTAAAACCCAGTATGTCTTTAGATAGCTTTTTGCACTGCACCCTTTAATGTGGGTTATTTTTCACATGCACTGGGGTGATTTTGCTTGTGCATAGAAGGGCGGTGGCTTGCTTCAAGTATCGGTTAATTGCACTTACATTCATTGGTTTGTTCCTGTTACAAACAGAAAAGAAAAAAGAAAAAAAACAAAACCCAACCAAACCAACCAAAGAAACACAAAACATTATGTACCAGGAACTGTGTGTAAGGCCCAGGTGAAACAGAGATACATAAAGCACAGTCCTTAAGGAATGGAAACGTTAAACAAATACTTACAATTCAATGTGATAAGTCAGTAGAGGTGACATTAGTACAGAGGTGCTGCACAGAGGGGCAGAAGGAATAACTCCACCTGTGGGAGACGGAGGGGGAATAAAGAGCTGCACAGGGATTTATGAGCTGAATCCTGAGGCATAAATAGGCATTTTCTCACTGCACAGATTGCAGATGGGAACTCATGCAAAGGCAAGGAAATATGAAGCTGTGTAATTTGTGTTCAGTGAGAGACTTCCACAGGTTAAAGATGGCCCACTGGGACCCAGAAAGAAAACAGCATAACTCCTTTTCTGTATTTATTTTTATGTAAAAAATCTTTACTAATATTTAGTATATGATTTACAGTTGGGCATATGTAATTTATCAGTTAAGTATAGCTGTGTGGTGAGTTGCATGCTCAAAAATGCTTTACCAAAAGGGGGCGCCCATGATCAAACTAATTTGGCTACTACTGCTGGAGTGGCAGAATTGGGGGTCCAATTCAGGCCGGCAACAGTGCCAAAGGAGTCCAGATAATTATGTTTCTTGTAGTCCAGGGTATCTCAAAGTATGGTCCACATATATGTACCTACAATGCTTGCTAAAGAAAAGTGAATTCCCAGGCCTATCCCACATCAATAAAATCAGTATTTCTCAGGAAGAGGGTCTGGGAATTTGTGTGTTTGACAAATTCACCAGGTGATGCTTATGGTCTTAGTCTGCTCAGGCTGCCATAACAAAGTACCACAGACTGGGTGGCATAAACAACAGACATCTATTTTTTCAGTTCTGGAAGCTGAAAGTCCAAGATCAAGGTTCCTGCAAGGCTCAGTTCCTGGTGGGGGCTCTCCTCTGGCTGGCAGATGGCCACCTTCTCGCTGTGTCCTCATATATTGGGGAGAGAAGCTCTACCCAGACTGGAGTTCAGTGGTGCAATCTCAGCTCACTGCAACCTCTGCTTCCCAGGTTCAGGCGATTCTCATGCCTCAGCCTCTGGAGTAGTTGGGATTACAGGCACATGCCACCACGCTTGGCTAATTTTTGTATTTTTTGTGGAGACAGAGTTTCACCATGTTGGCCAGGCTGGTTTCAAACTCCTGACCTCAAGTGATCTGCCTTCCTTGACCTCCCAAAGAGTTGGGATTATAGACCTGAGCCACGGCTCCTGGCCTCTTCCTCTTCTTATAAGGACACAAGTTCTATTGGATCAGGGCCCCACCCTTATGATTCATTTAACTTTAATCCCCTCCTTAAAGGCCTTATCTCCGAAACAATCACATGGGGGAATTTAGAGCATCAATATGTGAATTTGAGGGGGGCAGGGCAGGACACAATTCAGTCCATAGCACTTATGTTCACTGAAGTTTGAGGACCACTGCTCTAGTCTAACCAACAAAGAAACAGTAAAACCCGTGATAGCTTCTGATGGTAAGCTCCTTTGTTTCTGAGTCTGCACCGAGAGGATGAGCTAGAGAAACATGGGATTTCCAGCTCCCTGCCTTGCCTTTCAGACCAGCATTGTCCACTAGAAACATAATGGTAGCCACAAATGTGAGCCACATGTGTAATTTAAAGTTTTCTATCAGCCACAATGGAAAAATGTTTAATGAGACTGTGACATCAGTAAGAAACAGGTGAAATTACTTTTTAATAAGTAGTTAATCTATTATATCCAAAATATTATCATTTCAACATAAAATCAACATAAAAGATTATGAGTAAGATATTTTACATTTTTTGTATGAAATCTTTGAAATTCTGTGTCATATTTTATACTTCTATTTTAGCACAGCTTAATGTAAACTAGCGAGATCTCAAACACTTAGTGGCCACATGTGGCTACTGGCTACTGTGTTGGACAGGCAGTGCTAGACTATCCCAAGCTAGACTATTCTGCTTTGAAGAAGCAAAACAGACCAGGTGTGTTGTGTAACATGCTGTATAAGTACCGTTGTTTCTAAGAAAGGCTTTATGATTATGATTAGTCCTGAAACGTTTTTGTTAACATGACTCTCCTCTAACCAGAAGTTTAAGATGTCAAGTTTAAGCAGAGAACAGAAGCTGACGGCTCATCCTAGCAGCTGAAGAAATTGTCACCGTTCAATGTTCTCTTTACCATTTACATAAGAAATCACAAGCTGCCAGCCAGGGCTGGCTGATGCCTGAGCCATGCTGACTTGATGATGGTTTTCCCTTAAATTAAAACTGAGCTGCATTTGATTTATCACCCAGAGCTGTCACTTCTCACCTCCAGTGAACCTTTCCTAAAACCACAATAAATGTCACTTCAAAGGTTCAGAACTGGATTTCAATGGTGAAGAGCATATTCATCCTAAAACAGGCTCCTTGAAACAAAACAGGGTTTGCCATCAGTGTTGGGAATGGGGAGAGGATATGGAGACACTCCCCTGAATTTTGTATAATGAAGAAAGCATTTGGCTGATCATGAACTTTACCCATATCCACAAGATCAAGTTTGGGATCCCCAGGGGCAAAGGGTGTGTTATTGGTGCTGAGCTCCGTCTTGGGAGCCACTAGAGCCCAAGAGCTTCTAGTTACTTTTGAGACAAGAAATTCTTGTTTAGTTGGAGGAACTTGGGGGCATTTGGTTAGAGAAGAGAAAGTTTGGTGAAGAGGGCATGACACATCACCCTCATGTATTTGAGAGCTTCTTGGAAGAAGAATTAGACCCATTCTACATAGTCAACAGGGCAGAATTAGAACATATCTTTAGTTCAAGATAAATAAGACATTTTTAATGAGATTGTGACATCAGTAATAAGACACAGACATCAGATTGTGCTTCCGTATGGAAATATTTGTTGAGTACCTACTTTGGGTCAAGCACTGTTATTTATATTATTTTAATGAAATTTCATAACATTTCTGTAAGGTAGGCATTATTAGCTCTTTTTCATAGATGATGAAATTGAGGCTCAAGGATGTTAAGCACCTCCCAGAATAGGTGCTTTGAGTTGGAGGGAGGTCTCCCAGTCACTGAGCCTGTTGAAGCAGAGGGTGCAACACCATCTGTATGAGCTGGGAGGTGTCAGCCATCTTGATAAGCTAATAACTGCTACTCTTTACTTGTGCTTGTTTTGTGATAAAAGATATTACAAATTTTGATTTATGTATTAAAGTGACATGGCCAAAGAGATATTACATAGACTAGTTTTCAAACTATTAAGAAGAGAAATTCTTTTTCCTTCCTGCAGATGGAAGCTTCAGCAGCAGGAGCCAGGCCCCACACTCTCCTGCTCCCAGTTGGTCTGTGGTGGGATATGGTGAGGCTCAGCTGTTTGCTGGTCACTTCCCCTGGTGACCAGTTAGTATCCCAGAGGAATCACAGATAATAGAGTGATGTGAAATGAACTTAAAAATAAATGTTTAAAACACTCAGAGGAATAAAGGGAAAATAGAATCCATACAGCAAAACAAGACCTTATAAAAAAGAACAGGCAGATTTGAACAAGAGATAGAAATTTAGAAAACAAAAAAAAGTAATTAAAATAAAAATCTGTCTTAACATGTTTATGCTGCTATTAATAAAATACCTGAGACTGAATTTACAAGGAACAGAAATTTATTTCTCACAATTCTGGAGGCTGGGAGTTCAAGATCAAGTTGTATAGCAAGGACCTGGTGTTTGTTTCCAAGATGGCTCCTTGTGGCTTCATCCTTGGAAGGGGAGAAACACTATGTTCTCGCATGGTGAAGGATGGAAGGGCAAGAAGGTGAACTGTCTTTGCAGCCTCTTTTGTAAGGCCATTAATCCATTCATGAGGCCAGAGCCCTCTTGACTTCATCGTTTCCCTAGAAGCCCCACCTTTTAATACCACCATGATAGGGATTAAATTTCCATATGAATTTTGAAGGGGACACACATTCAAACCATAGCAGTGGTCTAGACCAGGGATCAACAAACTCTAGCCTGTGGGCCAGCTGCCTGATTTTGTAAATAAAGTTTTATTAGACCACAGCCATGCCCATTCTTTAGCATATTGTCTTAGGCTGCTGTTGAACTACAAATAGCAGAGTTGAATAGTTGAATAGAGACGATGTGGCCACACACTCTAAAGTATTTACTACCGGGCCCTTTAAGAAAACATTTGACAAAGGTTGGTCTGGACTGAATGTGAGAGAGAATTAGTGATTTGGAAGGTAGAGATAAAGAAATCACCCAGGATACAGCACCAAAAGATAGACAAATGGAATATGGGATAGGAGGTTGAGACATGGAGCACAGAATAAGCACAACACATTCATGTCACCAGTATCTGAGTTCCTCCTTTTCTACCAGGGTGCACTTCTAGACCACACAGCTTAGCTGGTTGTGGTCAGGTGGACCTTGTGATTGAGTTCTGGCCAATGAGACATGAGCAGGAAGGAGGAGCAGCACTTTCCTCTTGCCTGGACAATCTCTCCTACAATCTCTCACATACTCTCTTCCTTCATGAGAAGATGGAAGTTCTTCTGGCTTCCTGAGTGACGAATTCTCCCTTTCCTCTGCTCAGCTGCCTCAGTTTGAATATGAATTAGAAAGAAACCACTGCTAAGCCACTGACATCTTAAGGTTGTTTCTTATGGCAGTTAGCCACTGATAGGGTTTGGCTGTGTTCTCACCTAAATCTCATCTTGAATTGTAGTTCCCATAATCCCCACATGCCATGGGTGGGGCCCAGTGGGAGGTAGTTTAATCATAGAGCGGTTACCCTCATGCTGTTCTTGTGATAGTGAGTAAGTTCTCACAAGATCTGATGGTTTTATAAGGGGCTACCCCCCTCACTTGGCTCTCATTCTTCTCTCTCCTGCTGCCATGTGAAGAAAGACATGTTTGCTTCCCCTTCTTCCATGATTGTAAGTTTTCTGAGGCCTCCCCAGCCATGCTGAACTGTGAGTCTATTAAACCTCTTTCCTTTATAAATTACCCAGTCTCAGGTATGTCTTATTAGCAGGTATGTCTTATTAGCAGACTAATACATACATTTTGATTTATGTATTAAAATGATGTGGCCAAAGAGATGTTACATAGACTGAGTAATAGTTTTCAAACTATTAAGAAGATAAATTCTTTTTCCTTCCCCCAGATGGAAGCTTCAGCAGCAGGAGTCAGGCCCCACACTCTCCTGCTCCTGGTTGTTCTGTGATGGGATATGATGAGCCACCCTGACTCGTATAGATTTAATAGAAGTTCCAGAAGGAAAGAATATCAACTAGTGCTTTTCAAATTTTAATGTGCATATGGTTCACCTAGGTGTCTCATTGAGTTCTTGATTCTGATTCCATAGGTCTTGAGAGGTGCCAGCTATTTTGCATTTCTAACAAGCTTCCAGGTGGTGAAGCCACACCTGGTCCATACATCACATTTTGAGTAGAAAGAGAGAATGAGGAAGAGGCAATATTCAAAGAGAGAATGGCAGAGAAGCTCCCAGAGTTCAATATGCCAGAGTTTACTCTTTGTCTGTTTTCTTCTGTGTTCTTATTTCCTAAGTAAGTAGACACTTAACTTCAAACAGATGACTATGTTTCAACAGACTGGGGGCTTTGGCTCAATTTCATGTCCCTGCAAGTCACTTTGGCCATCTCAGTCACTCAGTCACATTTATGCACACATGCACACACACAGAAGTGATTGTGGAAGCCCAATGCACAATGATTTTTTTTGGCGCGTTTCCATATTTTATGATCCTCTTTGCAAAGATGCCCGTTCAAGTGCAACACACCATTTCATCTCCATGCCTACTCCTTTGTGGTCACAGATCTAGTGATTCTGGACCTCACTGGACTCTGTGATCCCTGGACAAAAGAACACCTAGAAAGCTTGGGTGTGGGGCTGACCCTGAGGCTCTCAGCCTAGACCACATGGAGTTAGAATGGGATTGGAACTACCCCAGCTTGGTGGGAATCCCCTGGAACTGAGAAGGCGAAGAGCTGCCCCTGTCAGCAATGCTGTGCCCACCCAGGCTCTTCTCCAAAGGTGGTGTTCCTCTGCTCTAAGACCATGGTGACAGCAAACAGGGATAAGAAAGGTATCAGCACTAGGGCTGGAACCTATGGAGTCCTCAGCTTTCCCAAGCAGATTTTATGCCGGAGGAAGTCCAGTGTAAATGTCATTTGCTTTACATGCTGGATTGGAAAATAGACAACTTGTGTGTCTTATACAGTGGAACTTGAATTTCAGAGGTGAAAGAGATGCATAAAAAACCTTTACAAAGTTGTAAAAGGTTTTTATTTAAACCGGTACTTCCCATTCTCACAAATGACGAGTGTACTATGGCAGAGTCTAAATTTTCTTCTTTAGGTGAACCTAAAAATTTTTGCTAGCCTATATAATTTGTATGTCCACAATTATCTATCTATCTATCTATCTATCTATCTATCTATCTATCTATCTATCATCTATCTCTATCTATATTTTATTTTTTATAAATAGAGACAGGGTCTCACCATATTGGCCAGGCTGGTCTCAAACTCCTGGGCTCAAGTGATCAATTGCCTTTGCCTCCCAAAGGGCTGGGATTATAGGCATAAGCCACTGTACCTGACCCAATCTTTTTTGCTAAAATATATCTTGCAGTGCCCATGAAAGAATATGTTCAGAATTCATCTCTAAAATGGATACTGGTTTTACCTTCATCCTACCAACAGAATGTATTGTGACTAGAGCTACCTCCCATCTCTTGGGGCAGCAAGTGGGGCCTAATAGCTTTATAAGATATAAACATAATTAAACATTAATGGCTAATATTATTGAGTAGTTACTGTGTGGCAGGCATTGTTGTAAGGGCTTTATGGTTTTTTTTTTTTTCTTGAGATGGAGTCTCCTTTCACCCAGGCTGGAGTGCTGTGGCGCGATCTCGGCTCACTGCAAGCTCCGCCTCCCGGGTTCATGCCATTCTCCTGCCTCACCCTCCCGAGTAGCTGGGACTACAGGTGCCCGCTACCACCCCTGGCTAATTTTGTTTTTGTATTTTTAGTAGAGACAAGGTTTCACTGTGTTAGCCAGGATGGTCTCGATCTCCTGACCTTGTGATCCGCCCGCCTCGGCCTCCCAAAGTGTTGGGATTACAGGCGTGAGCCAGCGCCCCCAGCCTTTATGGGTCTTAACTCATTTTCTCCTAATACAGTCTCCCACAGTGTAGCTACAGTTATGACTCCCATTTTCTGGAAGAGGAACCTGAGGCACAGGGTGGTTAGGTAATTTTCCCAGGGCACAAGGAGTAAGTAGTAGAGTCAGGATTTGAACCAAGCAGTCTGACTCAATAGACCATAAGCATAATGGCTATACTGTGTGTTGGCATAGCAGAGCATAACTTTTCTCCTACCTTACCAGAAAATGAGCACACTGGAAGCCTCTGTTTAAGCCTGGACTTTGGCTGTCCAATGTGGTGGCCCCATGTGGCTACTGAGCACTTGAAATGTGCCTAGTACAAATTGAGATGTGTGGTAGGAGTAAAATACATACTGGATTTTGAAGACAGCATGAGAGAAAGAATGCAAAAGATCACTTTTATAATTATTTCATATTGATTAAGTGCTGAAATGATAATATTTTAGATATGTTGAGATGAATAAACTATATCCTTATAATTAATTTCACTCTTTTTACTTTTTAAAATGTAGCTTCTAAAAAATTAAAAATTCCATGTATGACTTGTCTTTGTGGTCAGCATTTCTATTTGAACAGCGCTGGCCTTGGCAGTTTGCTCATTCATTTGTTCACTCATTCATTCAGCATGTGTTGGCAACCAATAGGTGCCAAAAGAAGCTAGACTCTGAGGATACAGCAGTTAACAAGACCAATTTGATTCTTGTTGTCAAGTAGCTCAATATTCCAGAAGGGTGGGTGGGAAAAGGAGGTCTTAAAGACCCTAAGAAATAATTATGTAAGTAGTTAATTAACATCATTATTAAGTGTTCAAAGAGGGAAGGGGGTAGCTAGGAGAGATTGTACTAAGGGCATCTAACCCCTGGGGGCCATTCAGTAAATGTTATCCATTCAATAAATATTTGTTGAGGGAATAAATGAATCTGGGGGATTAGAGGAGCTTTCCTGAGGAAATAACTTTCAGATAGAATTCTGCAGAGATGGGAGAGAGTCAGGTGAAATATTGGCAGCTTCTCCTGTGATCGCAGGCCCTGCTGTGTGGGTGGCTTTGTCTACTCTCCCTTTATATCACAGATAGTTGTCTCTGGTTGGGTTTGGGTCTGCCCATTTTGATGCGGTGGGTAGAGGCATGGGGAGTTGTGTTCCTTGGTATGAAGAAGGGTGGTCTCAGCCACTGGGGGCATCCTAGGGAGATGGGCAGGAGGGAGGTCACCTTCCCTTCCCTCCTCCAGCATCGCGCAGTGCCCAGCCCCTGGGGCCTCCCACAAGGAGGCTGTGTATTGCCTCCTTTCCCTTTCCTCCTGCTCCTACTAGGTTTGCCTCTGCAGCATTTTCCTTTGTTGCACAATCCATTTGACAGGTTTTTATTTTGTTGTTGTTTCTGCCCAGTGTAAATGAGATCTCCAGTAGGGAGAATGACTTTTAAATCTTTTGTGACCCTGGAGTACAAAATGTTCCCAATTCCTTCCCCTGAGCAATTTTTATTTCTGTGGCAAGTCACAATAGAGTGCTTATTTTTGTCAATAACAATTGGGCAGCAGGAGAGGTGGGAGAGGCTGGCCCCATGAAGCTGGGTGGCTGGAGTTTGCTGCTGGTAATGGTAACTAGCCTGAAGTGGGAGGGAGCTGGGAGCTGGAGCTGGGCTGGGGACAGAGGGCAGCTGTGGGCAGCTAGGGAGGAATGTGGGCACCCGCCCTTGGGCCCCTGTGCAGACCCCGGGGAGTTGATCTTGGATCAGCCTCCTCTGGATTTTTGCAGACACGATCCCAGGTTGCCAAGTTACCCAATGAGCCAGAAAGCAATAAAACCACCCTAACCCAGCTGGGGGTGGATTTTGCTTGGTTCAGAGCCTATCTCGCCTGGATCTTATATTGGACTTACACAAAGGGATTTACTCCAGGATGGGTAACTATTTTGGCAGGAAAATCAGGCACTGTGCCCTAAACATACTGGGACTTAATAAATATTTGTTAAGTCAGTGAATACAAATTTGCAGTAAGGAATACCATTTTCAGTTAATTCAGGGCAGTTGGGCTGCCCTGAATGAGGTCTCAGCTGGGCTGGTTGTCTCAGCAGTCTTTTCCTGATCTAAGATTCTGCAGTTCTCTGAAACTTGCCTGGTCAGGGACAGGCTTCTGACCTGGAGGTGGGTTACGGTCCAGGATTTGTGCCTACCTAGAGGTCACTGTTTCTTCCTTACAGCAGGGTGTCTCGACCTCGGCACTGTGGACATTTGGGGCTAGAGAACTCTTTGTGGCAGGGGCTGTCCTGTGCACTGTGGGAGGTTAAGCAGCATCCCCAGCCTCTACCTACGAGATCTAGTGGCACCTCCCTCCACGCTCCAAGTGGTGAGAAGCAAAGATGCCTCTCTGTCTTGCCCAGTGTGCCCTGGGAGATGGGGGCAGGGGACAAAATTGTCTGTGTCTGAGAACCACTGGTCTACAGGAGTAAAGGGAGACCGTGTGCGGATGATACCAGGAAGTACATAATTGCAGGCCGTTTCTGTGCGATATATATCATATGGCATGGAGGGTGTGTGGATTTATCTTCCCAAGCACTGTATTTAGCACACATTAAAACTGCCTGCTCTGTCTTAGTGCCCACTTGTTGGGGTGGGAGGCCTGGGGGAAGGAGGAGGGCTCCTGCAGCACAGCAAGGCCCAGGAGGTGGTTCACTGCACACGGACAATGCCCAGCACACTGCATCGTCCTCTGTCCACAGCTCCCTCCTCTATTCCTTGGGGATGGCAGCAGTTCTAGACACTGTATGTCCACTGAAATCACCTGGGAGGCTTTTCAGGACTTCGGTTTAATTGGTAGCAGCTAGCACCTGAGCATCTCTCCCTCTTTCTTTTTTCTTTTCCTTCCTTCCTTCCTTCCTTCCTTCCTTCCTTCCTTCCTTCCTTCCTTCCCTCCCTCCCTCCCTCCCTCCTTCCTTCCCTCCCTCCCTCCTTCCTTCCTTCTCTCTCTTTCTCTCCTTCTTTCTTTCTCTTCCTTTCTTTTTTTTTTTTTTTTTGACTGAATCTCACTCTGTCGCCCAGGTTGGACTGCATCTCAGCTCACTGCAACCTCCACCTCCTGGGTTTAAATGATTGTCCTGCCTCAGCCTCCTGAGTAGTTGAGACTACAGGTGTGCACCACCACGTCCCGCTAATTTTTGTATTTTTTGGTAGGGACAGGGTTTCACCATGTTGGCCAGGCTGGTCTCAAACTCCTGACCTCAAGTGATCCGCCTGCCTTGGGCTCCCAAAGTGTTGGGATTACAGGCGTGAGCCATCGCACCCGACCGCATCTATATTTTTTCTGAAGCCGCTCAGGTGACCCATCTGTGCAGCTGTCCCGCTGAGAGTCCCTGGTGTGACAAAGAGCCTGGGCTTTGCGATCGGGCACCCCTGGCTATAGTCCCAGCTGGCCAAACTTCTCTGAGGTTACTTGTTGATGAAACTGGGAATAATAATTGCTCCCTCCCAAGCTGTAGTGATAGGTGAAGGAGGTAATGTTTCAAGGAAGCTCTTATTGTGAGGTGCCTAATAAGTGCTTATTAATGCCCTTCTCCTTTCAGGCCGTCCTTCCCGTAGCCACATCCTTCCCTCCTGGTCTCATTCCCTCTGGCTCCGAGCTGGGTCTCCAGGCGCTCTTTTGGGATCTCCATGTGGCTGATGTGGGGTTGTCTCTCTTGACTCCCTGTGGAGCCTCTTCTGTTTTCTGCACCTGGAAAGAACCAGTTTCTGCACACTTTTGAGGCCCTAGGCCACAGCAGGGCTCAGAGGGATTTTCCAGGTACTTCTAGCAAAGCTGACCTGAGGGGCCAGCAGTGAGTGCCAGGGCAACACAGGAAACACATTCCTGGCTAGGGGTATGTCTCCATTTGTCCTACTATTTGTGTGTGTGTGTGTGTGTGTGTGTGTGTGTGAATAGGGAGTGTGTAGGTGGGGCAAAGTAAGCCTGGGTCACACTTAGTAAGCCTGGGTCACAGGGGTCAGCTGAAGGTGACACGAAGAGGAGAGGTTCTGTTCATTCTGTCACTCACTTATCCTTTTATTTTTTTTTTAAATGGCCCACTGCAGATGCAGGCCCCCGGAGTTAGAACAATGCTTTGGTTATGTTGAGTTAGGGAGTGATAAATATCCTTGAGAAGAATGCTCTTGTGTAGGCCTGTAGGTCTTGGGGCTACTGACCCAACACAGTGTTTAACCAGGGGCAACGGGTTCCTGTGGACATCTGGCCTGAGCCCGCAGTTAAACCTACCCCCTCACCACTTTATTGAGCAGAAATTCGTAGTCATGGGTGTATTCACATGGAGCCGAAGTAGCCCTGTAAATTAGCACAGAAGTTAAAACCTCACCCAATTATTTCCCTAGTTCATTCTCTTCCCTTGGATTGCAGTGCTTGTCAAATATAGGAAGTGAATGTTCTTCCATGGTTTACCGGAAAAAGTCATCCTGGCAGGCAATTTTTTTAAACTGGAAACTCTGGGTAGATTCTTGGACTTTGCCTAATACTAATAAGAAACCTAGTATGAACATTTTATTTGACCAGTGTTCTGAACCAGGGGTGATTTTTGCCTTCCAGAGGACATTTGGCAACGCCTGGGAACACTTTTGGTTGTCACAACTAGGGGAGGATGCTACTGGTTTCTTAGAGAGTAGAGGCCAGGATTGCTGCTAAACACCCCATAATGCACAGGACAGCTCCCCACAATGAAAAATTAGCCCAAAATGTCAATAGGGTTGAGGTTGAAAAATCCTGTTAGAGAAGCAAGTGTCCAGTGCTGGCACTGGGATGTGAATTCCAGGCGCTTCTGTCCAGCTAAACCCCAGCTCTCCCCTGCTGGAACAGCTCGCTTGGCTTGGTGATGGTAATGGTTGGGTCTGGGCACACTCAGCCAAATGATGACGATAACTGTGTTCATGATTGTATTTCATTAGTACCTATTCGTGCTGAGTCCAGAGCTGGGCCCCCTACAGATATTATCTCGCTGAATATGCCAGCATCACAGCCCTGAATGATGTAGATGAGGGAGTAGCACCTCAGGCAAGTGAAATTGCCTGGCTGCGGCCACACAGCCAGTAAGCTAAGGAATCCAGGTTGGTACCCACACCCCTTCCCTCTAGAGCATAGGTTGCCTATTATCCACATAACCAAGGGAAAAGGCAGTGGCTAAGCAGCTGCGTTATTTATTAATTTTTTCATTTTTAATTTTTTTGAGACAGAGTCTTGCTCTGTCACCCAGGCTGGAGTGCAGTGGCACAATCATGGCTTGCTGCAGCCTCAAACTCCTGGGCTCAAGCAATCCTCCCATCTCAGCCTCTTGAGTAGCTGGGACTACGGGCGTGCACCACCACACCTGGCTCACTGCAGCCTCCATCTCCCGGGTTAAAGGGATTCTTGTGCCTCACCCTCCCAAGTAGCTGGGATCACAGGCATGCACTATCACGCCCAGCTAATTTTTGTATTTTTAGTAGAGACAGGGTTTTGCCAGGTTGGCCAGGCTGGTCTCAAACTCTTGACCTCAAGTGATCTGCCTGCCACAGCCTCCCAAAGTGCTGGGATTACAGGCGTGAGCCACCACGCCCAACCTTGTAGCTGCATTCTTTCATTCAGCTTTGGGACAGATGTTTTTCAGGAGTTGGTTGTTCCCTCCTTTAGGTAATCTGCTGTTGGATCCAGTCTTCACCTTTGTCACTTTTTTAGATGCAGGGTCTCACTCTGTCACCCAGGCTGGAATGCAGTGGTGTGATTGTAGTTCACTGCAGCCTTAAACTCCTGAGCTGAAGCGATCCTCCCACCTCAGCGTCCTGAGTAGCTGGGACTACAGGAATGTGCCACCACACCTGGTGATGTTTCAAAAAAAATTTTTTTTAAAGAGATAAGGCTCTCACTATGTTGCCCAGGCTAGTCGTGAACTCTTGGCCTCAAGTGATCTGCCTTGGCCTCCCAAAATGCTGAGATTACAGGTATGAGCCATCCCACCCAGCCATCTTTGTAACTTATAACCCTATCTTGATGCATTTTTTATGAATAGTGATTTTGGCCAGCACCCTTTCAGAGGTGACGGTAATATCATTTCACACCACAGGCAGGGTAACTTGCTTGAGTTTCTCAAATTGCCGGCTAGCTAAGGAAAGTGGGTGGCAGCCCCTGGCTTTCTCTGTTTACCTCCAGGTGTTCCCCACCAGCCAGAATGCTACTGCTCCCATTCACAGAGGCTGTGGGGATATGGAAGTTTGGGGACCCTCCAGGCTGCCCATGTGTGGTGTCTGGGAAGACTCCTGTCACTTACATGCTGTCACCCACCAGCTGTGACTCAGAGGCTCCCTCTGGGCAGCTATGGAGAGGTCCCAGGGCACACTGGGTAGCTAGGCCAGAGACTTGATTCTAACACAAGTTCCCACAAACAGGCTTGTCGCATGGCTTCTTTGGGTCTCGGATTCTGCATCTGAAAATTAGAAGATGTGCTAATTTACAACTCTTTTCCCTTTTTGTGTCTATAATTCTGTGACTCAAGACAGAGAAACATTTGACTTCCAGTCTAAGGAGTGTAAGGGGAAAGGGAAAGCTCAGAGAGATTCTCATCAGCCAAGTCAGAAGGGAGACTGGCTCTTCAGACTTTCAGAAGCTTCTGTGGCCTTTGCAATGTCCCACCTTTGTTATTTTGTTTCCTTGTGATTAGCAGTAAAACCCTGCATGTGGGGTGTCAATGAGGAGGAAGGAGGCAAACTGATTCTGGGGCCTTCACAAACACTGTCCTTGGCCGGGTGCAGTGGCTCACACCTATAATCCCAGCACTCTGGGAGGCCGAGGCGGGGGGATCACATGAGGTCAGGAGTTCAAGACCAGCCTGGCCAACATGGTGAAAACCTGTCTCTACTAAAAATACAAAAATTAGGTGGGCGTGGTGGTGCGTGCCTGTAATCCCAACTCCTCTGGAGGCTGAGGCAGGAGAATTACTTGAACCTGGGAGGTGGAGGCTGCAGTGAGCCGAGATTGCACCACCACACTCCAGCCTGGGTGACAGAGTGAGACTGTCTCAAAAACAACAACAACAACAAAACCACAAAACACTATCCCTTAGATCTCACTCCATGTTCGGCACTCCCAGACCATCTCTGTCTTAGAGAGGGCCAGGGGACTATCTCTCCACTTCTGGCAAAATACTCCTGAGTAAATTCTCGGTCTCTCTCTTTTGCCCTCTCCCAGATACACTCTGAGCTGGCTTCCCCTCTCCCCACCCCTGTAGGGTGAGACTCTGCCTGTACTCAGAGGCCCTTTCATGTAGGCAAACACAACATGACCTCACACTGCCTAAACTCCGCTATTCTGCACCTAAGGGGGTTCCTTATTCGCAGACTGGCCAGAGGGCAAGCTCCGTCAGATTCCATCTCTGGGGAATGTTCCAGTTAGAAGTCCCAGGAAGTTGCTTGTAAGCAGAAACACTAAGGCCGAAAGATCCTGATGAGACGGGCATCAGGTGAAGCTGAGGAGAAAGCTGTGGACACTGGCCTGTGAGGACAAGTGGTCTCGAGGCCCCTGAGAGAAGGAGGGGTTGGCTGTAGTGCCCAGCAGCCTTCCTGTCCCAGATGGCACATGATGTGCTGTTGTGGAGTCCCAGGGTCCTCCAGGGTCCTTGCAGTGAAGCCACCATGCATCCAGGCTGAAATATGGGTTCCTGTGACTGGAGGGACCTGAAGTAGAGGACTCTGTGCTTCCCCTGTGATCTGAGGAGCAAAAGAGATGCCACTTTATCAACTAAGAGGGACCCTAGGGTTAAGGAAACAAAAGTTACCTGTGGGTAGAGGGTTCAGTGCTTGACTGGCATGCCAACTTCCTAAATTCCTACGGCTATAGGAAAAACCACGCTCTTGGAAAACTCCCTAACAAGAGGAACTATCAGGTAAATTGTCAGACCCCTCCTAAACCTGGTCTACATCCCAGACCACTACAACTCTGACTGGACAGAGGACCAGCCTTGCAGACATTCTTTTCTGATAAGTCACTGCAGACCTTAAACCAGTTTCAGCCAGCTGATAGAGGCTGCACACAAACTGACTTTATGTCTTATAGTTCATCTTTCAGCATAAAGAGCCAAAGTCCACCTTGTGTTAATGATAAAACCCCACTCCAAAGTGAACATGGGATGTATGCTATGTATATGTTTACCCATTATGCATCTGTTTGGCTCCCCTCATAAATATGTGAAGCTTTCCCTCCAAACCTACTGAATATGTATGATACAGACCCTGTGAGGCATAAAACCCAACCTGTTCTTTCCCTCTTCGAAGAGAAAGGACCTTTGCTCTGCACTGGAGACTTTCTCTTCCTAGTTTGCAAACTGTATTGCCAATCAAGCTCTCCTTTCTACCATGTAGCCATCCTGGGGCCTTTTGGATGACACTCTTTAGCTGAGAGCACCAAGAGCAGTATTCTTCCTCATCTGATTCTTCCTTGAAGAAGGAGGTATTTCTCACTTGGCGGCACTAGGAAACCAAGGTCACAGCCCATTTTCCAGGTGAGGAACTTGAAAGGTGAAAGATACTCATTGAGGGTCAAGATTTGCATTTGTGATGGAACCTGGGCAAGTCTGGATAGGCCATTTCCCGCCCTGAGCATCTGCTGCACTCAGGATCGGCCGCTTCGGGGTAGACAAAACAAGTTAGACAAGGCCTCTGCCCTCTCTAATGTGCACCAAGAGACACAGCAATTAGAAGAGGCTCTAACAGGATTTGTTTTCTGACTTGCCCTTTGCTTAAAAGTCTCTTAGTACAAGTGGGACTTTGGATTTCATGACGAATAGTGCAAGTATAAAATCTATTCTTTAAAGCCCAGCTTGGATCAGGCCCTAGGCAAAATTGTGATCTCTGTGAAGTTGGCTTCTAGCTCCACGAGGCCCTTGTTTCTGCCTGTCTTGCCTTCTTTCTTCATTCTTCCATCTATTCTCGCAGCTCCACAGCCACCTTTCCCTTTTACAAAATTTCCCTCTCTAGTAAAGTAAAAAAATGACTGTTAAGACAGTGTTACTTATACTCCTGGAGAATTTTACCTTTTGAGGACAAGCAGCCTTAAACCAAAGCACAGTTGCATTTGTACAGTAGAAAGAAAAGCCCACTGCAATAAAAATACTTAGCATTTCTTCAGCACCTTCTGAGCACCTGGCAACTGCGGTCTACATTGTTGCTTCTCTATCTAGCAGCTGTTCCATGCCAACCTTCCTTCTCCCTGGTTTTGTGTTTCGGGAAGGTGACTGTATCCCAGTGTTAGGAGGAGCACATTGCCTTGGTCTAATTCAACCATGCTCCCTGGATTTCTGTGGTGGGGAATTGACTTAGCATGGAGATGTAATGTAACCTTGCCAATGACACATAAGGGGCTTCTAGCCAAGGTTTTCCTCCTCGGTGTAAGCAGCATCTCGGGACAATCTGCCCTCCTGCTCTCCTGCTGGTTGTTGCTCCATGGGGTTGTGCTGCTTGGAGCATCTTCTGCTATCTTGTATCCATTCAGAAGCTGCGTTGAAGATGGCACAGCAGAATGATGGTGAGTATCTGAGTCCTTAATGACATTAAAAGACACTGCTCAACAGCTTTGGAACTTCTCATTCTGGGAGATAATAAGTTCCTTATAGATATTTTTCATGATACTTTTAGTTGGGTCTTCTGTTATTTAGAGCCGAAAGCATCCTAATGAATGCCCTGTTGAATGTTTTATGTAGATCGTCTCACTCGATCCTCACAACTTTATGTTGATGAGAAAGCGAGGGCTTGGACAACTCAAATGACTTCCCAAATCACACAAGCAGCAAGTGGGGCCTCAAACACACATACTTGCCTTCGAAGTGCTTTGCCATCAACCATTATGGCCCCAAATCTGGCTCTTGCCTCTACCTACTTCTGTGACCTTAAATAAGTCCCTTAACCTTTTTGGGCCTCAATTTTCTCATCCATGAAGAAAGGAACTATACTGGGTGACCTCAAATGTCCTTTTCAACTCTAAAACTATAAGAATAAAATTTCAGCTCTAAAATTCCCCATAGAGGACCAAGTCCAGGTACCATTATGCAAGAATGGAGGTCTCGATTTTGTTAACTCCTTGGATGCAGATAAGATAATCCAACTCTGCGTAATGTAAGTAGAAACAAATGTATTGTAACAGATCAGGTGGATTACAGTCAGAGTAATGCCTAGGAATGACCTGGTGAGGAGCTTATACCCCGTGGCGGCCCACTGAATTCTGCAGCTGATGCCAGTGCTACCACCATACTGGGCACTGGAGGCCCTTGCTGGTGGCCTTAGAATGACTTCTAGACTGTTTTTTAATTCTTTACTTGCTCCAGGGTGAAAGTCTCAGATAGAAGCATTTAGGTCCTATGGACTTAAGCTGTAGGCCCTGGTTGCCAGGATCTGGGAGATCAAGTACCTTAGCGTGGGTTTCCCCTGGAGCAACCCTGAAACAAGGAATTGAGTGTGAGTGGCTTATTTGGGAGGTAATTCAAGGAAACACTGGTAGGGGAGTGGGGAAGTCAGATAGGGAAGGGAGTGAAACAATAAAGGGTTTGTTATCAAGCAAGTTCCCCTGGGAGCAACTCCAGCTTAATCCTGCCTGGGATTCTGAAAGACAGGGTAGGCCATGTGCCTCAGGTTTATCCCACTGAGAGGCATGGTGGGGGGTCTAGGCTATTTACCCATCAACTCTTGGCAGTCATTGGCTGAGGGTCTGCTGGGTAGGGAGGTAAAGTGTACATCCCTGGCATTCTCTGCTTGTCCTGCAAAGTGGGCTCTGCAGGCCAGAGCAAGCCCTCAGGCATTGAGTAAGAGGAGTTGGCAATTGGAGTCTGACATTGCACAAGCACCTGGTGTTTACTGCCTCTCACCAGCATTCTTACAAACATGGGAAGAAAGTAAAGATGCCAGGCAGCCCCAAATGATCAATACCCATCACAGGTGTCTTGTGAAATCTTGTCAAGCAGACAGCAACACTGTGGGGGAGGCTGCAGCCCACACAGACCTGGGGTGCTTGCAGCAACTGACTCGCTTTTAGGAAATGCAGCTGTGCAGGCCCCATGGTGTCTTGTGGCTTCCTATGTATCCTCTCATCTCTTATGGGACCATAATCTTCTCAAAGGCAGAAAGCACCTTCAACATTTTAAATTCCCTTACCTCTTACCAACTGCACTCTTTACAATGCTCGGCACATAGCAGTCACTAATACTTTAAAAATTAAGTTCAGTGTTTTCATAAATACCATAATTTTTACTTCATAGAGGTTGATGAAAAACTAGAATTGTTCATATTTAGAAGGACCCCGTAAGTCAAGCAGAGCACACCGTGTCCACGCCAAATCCCCTTTGATAGCATCCTTGTTGTGACCGGTGGTCACAGGTATTGTCCAAGGACTTCCAGGGGGCAGTGTGGTGTCATGGTGAAGAGTGGGGCTCGGTGGGTGGCCTGCCTGCCTTTGAATCCTGGCTGAGCAATTTATGCATAGTCTCGGGCAAGGTGTGCAATGTTCTTTAGCCTTAGTATTTTTCTCCACAAAATGGGGATAATTGCAGTGTCTGCTTACATAAGGCCGTAAGCGTTAAATAGAAAAAACAGATATAAACATAAGTCCATATACAAATAATATGCATACATATATATTTATATATCTATACCCGCATCTATATAAATACAGATATTTAGCACAGAGCAAATAACAAACATTCCGTCCCCAAGGTGGCTGTTATTATTCCAGAGACAAGTTATTCCATCCTCCTGAAGGTGGACTTTCTTATTTGGGAATAGCTGCTATTGTTAGCAAGTGCATCAATATATCAAGCCCAGATCTTTCAATATATCAAGCCCAGATCTTTTGTCCACACAAGGGTTCAATCTTCAAACTGTGTTTTAAATTTCACTCTCCCAAAGAAATAATTTTTAGTTTTATTTCATTTTTAATTGACAAATAATATTGTATACATTTATGAGTATAAAGTAATATTTCCATACATGAATACATTGTGGAATGATCAAATCAGAGTAACTAGCATATCCATTACCTCAAATATTTATCATTTCTTTGTGTTGAGAACATTTGAAATCCTCTCTTCTAGCTATTTTGAAATATACAAGACATTATTATTAACTGTAGTCACCGTGACATGCAGTAGATCACCAGTACTTATTCTGCTTGTCTGAAACTTTGTACCCATTGACTGATGTCTCCCCTTTCCCTGTTCAGCCCCCCTCCCACCCCAGCCTCTGGCAACCACCATTCTCCTCTCTACTTCTATGAGTCTGACTTCTTACGATTCCACATTTAAGTGAGATAATGCAAGATTTGTCTCTCTGTGCCTGGCTTATTTCACTTAACATAATGTCCTCTAGTTTCATCCATATTGTTGTAAATGACAGAATTCCCTGTTTTTTTTTTTTAAAGCTAAATAGTATTCTACTGTGTCTCTCTACCACACTGAATAATCCATTCATCTGTGGAGAGACTCTTAGGTTTGTTTCCACACCTTGGCTGTTGTGAATAGTGCTGCAGTGAACATGGGCGTGCAGATGTCCCTTTGGCATATTGATTTGTTTCCCAAAGGAATAATTTTTAAACATGTGTTGATCTTGTTTTGCCTTCTGAAACTACAGAGGATAATTCTTTTTCATTTGCATGATTTTCTTTTTCTTCTTCTTTTTTTTTTTTTTTGAGACAGTGTCTCGCTGCAATGTGATGCCCAGGCCGGAGTGCAATGGCGTGATCTTGGCTCACTGCAACCTCTGCTTCCCAGGTTCAAGCAATTCTCTTGCTTCAGCCTCCTAAGTAGCTGGGATTACAGGCACCTGCCACACGCCCTACTAATTTTTGTATTTTTAGTAGAGATGGGGTTTCACCATATTGGCCAGGCTGATCTCAAACTCCTGACCTCAAGTGATCCACCTCCCTCGGCCTCCCAAAGCGCTGGGATTACAGGCGTAAGCCTTGCGCCCAGCCATGATTTGGATTCTAATAAGAAAAGTGTGTTGTCACTCCTAAGTGTGTTTCCCAAAGTGTCTTCTGAAAATGCTACACTCCAGAGGATAAAAGTCACAATACCCACTTGTACCTTAAGGGCTCTGAGGAGTCCTGCAATAAATTGTTCCTAAAACTATCTTGAAGAATGTGACATCTTTTAATATCCCTGCAGTTCCTTGGCATGGATTTTGATTTGTTTGCTCTCTTTTCACCAACGTTCTTGATGTTGGCCACAAATACTACAGACATTGAAAATAAGTGTTTTTCTTTTTCACAAAAACATAATTTAATACTTTTTTTTTGGAAAGAAGTTAAAAAACTTCTTTTTCCACATCTTCCTCTTGCTCTTTTCAGAAGGGCATTTTCTACTGTCTGCACAATTGGAAAGAAACAAGAAGGGGACACAAAAAAAGCCTGCTCTCTCTGCACCTTTTTCTGCCCCTCATGTGGAAAACTCAGGTTTCTTAAATACCAGCTGCTCCCACCCCCAGCAGCTAGAGGTCATGGAGGAATTCCACATAGTACTAAGCTTGCTGCTCTTTCCCCATTACCACTGCCCTTGGAGAGTGGTTTTCCCACATTGTGAGCATAAAAAATTAAAACTCAAAAAGGCGGGCATCTTTTCACCAGAACCTTTTCCTCTGCACCCTCTTCTCAGTGCTCCTAAATCATCAGCTCTGGAGAGGAGTATCTGCTCCTTTCATAAAAGGAGCAACTGGGCTCCTCACCCAAGCCAGTAGTTTCATAAATACCATAAATTCAGTGTTTTCGTAAATACCATAATTTTTACTTTATATAGGTTGATGAAAAACTAGAATCGTTCATATTTAGAAGGACCCCATAAGTCAAGCAGGGCACAACTTGTCCATGCCAAACCCCCTTTGATAGCATTCTTGTCGTAACTGGTGGTCACAGCTATTGTCCAAGGACTTCCAGGGGGGAGTGTGGTGTCTGATGTTTTCACAGCAGAGCATGGCGGCTGGGTTCCAAGAGGGAATGTTCTAAACGTACCTTGAGAGAAAGCTCAGTTCCAGGATTTGAATGACAATGGCTGCTCCTCATTGTTTCTGCCCTGATCAAGGCGCTCCTTTTACAGGCAAACCATGTAATTAGGTTTGAGGGACAGTGCCTTGGGGAAGCACAGAGCCACAGGACCTCAGTGCTGGAAGGAGACCTGGAGATCACCAAGCCTAGACTTTCCCTTTTACAAATGAAACAGCTGCAGCCCAGAGAGGTGACGTGCTTTGACCCAAGCTGCAAAGCAGAGATGGCTTCTTCCTCTTGCTCCAAAGATATGATTCTTTACTTTCCTTTCTGCTGTTCTGTGGGTGGGGGTTATGGGGAGGAGGGGAGGGCATATGGTTTCACAAGTCTGATTTTTACCTTTCCCCCACTTGCAGCCAAGAAATGTATTGCTGTGCTTAAGATCTCTTTCATTCATTCGATAAACATTTATTAAGTGCTTACTGGGTGTCAGGCATTGTGCCAGGGCATTCTTTCACTGCGTTTGTTAAACAAACATGATTTATTTCTCTCTGAAGCTGGTACAATGAGGCCTCAGGCTAGTTGCTATATGCACAAAAGCATACCAGTTTGTATATTCTGCTTCCTGGCACCAGACACTTTGGCCCCAGTCACCAAAGAACCCCACTGGTGTTTCCAGCTCCTTGGTATCTCTTGAACCCAGACAGTCCATGTCTGAGGCCTCTGAATTAAAGCTTTACAGAGATGACCCACAGAATCTTTGTGTACCTGTCTCCTTGCAGAGGATAAGAGGTGGCCTCTTCCTTGAACACCCTGGTGGTAGTGTGGCCCAAGGGTGGCACACTTGTGCCAGCCCCCCCCTCCACAGTGCACGAGGCTTGGCTAAGCTAATTGGGGCTGTCTCTCAAATTCTTAAATTTGGCTTAAATTTGGTTGGGCGCGGCTCACACCTGTAATCCCAGCCCTTTGGGAGGCTGAGGTGGGTGAATTACTTGAACCGGGGAGTTTGAGACCAGCCTGGGCAACATGGCAAACCCCATCTCTACAAAAAATACAAAAACTAGCCAGGCGTAGTGGTGTGTGCCTGTGGTCCCAGCTACTAGGGAGGCTGAAGTGGGAGAATGGTTTAAGCCTGTGAGGCAGAGGTTGCAATAAGCTGAGAGTTTGCCACTGCACTCCAGCCGGGGTGAAAAATACATAAATAAATAAATCATACTTAAATTCAATAATTATTCACTAAGCACCTTCTATATGCCATTCTCAGGTCTAGGTACTTGTAGGTATCATTGAACAGAACAGGCCAAAATCTCTGCCCTTGTGGAATGCACCTAAGAACTGGCTGGCACCTCCCTGTGGATTCACTGGTAACTAAATCCAGAGAATAAATGACACATAAGACAGGCCCCAGAGGCTACTTACCAGGATGGAGTAAGGAAGTGATAATGAGGGCTTCCAGAGGAATAAACTTTTTCCACCGCCCAGGCTTTCTGGGCCCTGACTTTGCTGTGCTCTCAAGCAGCTATTGCCCATGTCTTTCCTTATAATTGAGAGCTCTGATCTCTGGACACTCCTGCAGCTATGGGCAGTGGAGGCTGTGCGAGGACCCTTACCTCCATCATTCAACCTGCAGAGAAGAGGGCTCTGTGGTGACTGGGGACAAGGTATCCAACTTATTTCTGCCATTGACCTGGTGGACAGAGTCTAGAAGGATGTTCCACTAACACTGTGGAACTCAGAAGTATTAAAACTCAGTATTTCCCTGCCCCATCAAGTCAGAAGACTGAAGAAGCAGCTGTTCCATTACAGCCAAGGTTTTCAAAGTGTGGTCCTTGGACCAGCAGCCTCAGCATCAACTGGTGTGTGTTACGTATTCTTGCTTAACAAGTTACTCTAAAACTTAGTGACTTAAACAACAAACATTTCTTCTCTCACAGTTTCTGTGGCTCAGGAATCTGGGCATGGCTTAGCTGGGAGCCTCAGGCTCAAGATGTCTCATGAGGTTGCTGTCAAGCTATCGGCAGGGGTGGAGATCTCATCTGAAGGCTTGACTCAGTTTGGGGAGGAGATCCACTTCCAAGTTCATGCATGTGGTTGTTGTTGGGCCTCAGTTTCTCATGGCATGAGCCTCTACATATGTCTGTCTTATAGCATGGCTTCCCACAGGGCAAGCGTTCAGAGAGGGTGAGAAAGCACATGAGATGGAAGCTACAGTCTTTGGAGAACATATGCTTAGAACTGACATTCCATTACTTCTGCCATATTCTATGCGTTAGAAGTAAGTAAGTTCAGTCTGCATCAGGGAAGGCTGATGTAGGAGTGCGGATGATTGCGTGCCTTATGCAAGAGGCTTATTTTAGAGCTGCCTACCATACCTGGAAACTTATTAGACATACAAATTGTTGGACCCCATTCCAGACCTACTGAATCAGAAACTCTGAGAGTGGGGCCCGGGAATGTGTGTTCTACACTCCTTCTGGGTGATTCTGATGCATGCTTAAGTTTGATAGCCATTGGCTTAGAGTAGGGGATTGGTGAACTTCATTTTAGGCACCAGGGGCCCCTACTATCTCTGCCTCAGCTACTCAGCTCTGCCACATAGAGGAAAAGTAGTTATGGACCATATGTAAATATTGGATATGGCTATGTTCTAATACGACTTTACAAAAAGAGGCAGTGGATGGGATTTGGGCCCCCAGGCTATAGTTTGTCCACCCATGCTTGAGAGTAGCAGGGACTTTTTATGTGATCAGCATTAGATGGTGTTACCTCCGTATTTTTTTTTCTTTTTAAATCAGGCAAAGCTGTTTTCTCTGTTTCCTTCCAGAATAGTCTGAGATAATTCTGACTCCCCAGCTCCTGAGAGATTACCAAGACTCAGAAAAAAGGATTGTGCATATGCTTGAGTTTTCTGACGTGTTTTTTTGTGGCTGCCAGTAAATCGCAAGCTCTTTGAGATAGTGTATGATGGAGGCTACGAATATGGGCTTTGGAGATAGACAGATGTGAGTTTGAAATCTGGTTCTACCGGCACTGTGAACATGGTGACTTAGCCTCTTTGTGCCTCAGTCTCGTCATCTGTAAAATAGAGCTGATGCTAGCCTGCACCCCACACAGTTATAAGCAGTTGTTCTAATTACCTACTGTCAGGTGACCAATCACCAAATTTAGTGGCTTAAAGCAACAACAGTTGGGCAGGTCTTCCGCTCCAGTGGTGTCATCGGTGGCTGCAGTCATCTGTAGGCTGGGTGGCGGTACATCCAAGGCAGTGTCCTTTGTCACTCACATGGCTGCCAGTTGGTGCTGGCTGTCAGGAGCACCTTGCTGTCTTCCACATGGCCTCTCTCTGTGGCTTGATGTTTTCACAGCAGAGCATGTGCACCTCTTGGGTTCCAAGAGGGAATGTTCTAAGCACAGACAAGTCTTGGGAGCTGCACAGGATCACTTCTGCAGCCACTGTCAGGACTAGTTCAGATCCCAGGAAAAAAAAAAATTGCTGCCATCTTTAAGCCACTCCAGGAGTAAATGAAAGTAACCACAAGAAGTGCTTGTCTCATGCCTGGGCTACAACAGAAAATAAATGCTAAGTACTTACATTAGGAAGCAGAAACTCTCTTGCCTGGTTCTTTGTGTCCTGTCCATGAGGGCTTATTGCTATTCAGTCAACAAGTGTTTCTTCAGGGCCTGCTGGATATCTCTGGAAGGTCACCAGTAGGATTCCTCTCCTCTCTACACTCTTTAATGATGTAGTCAGTTTCCTACACGGGTTATCATGACACTTTGGTTTCCTGAGAGCCCTGTAGGCCTAGCACTCTCCATTCAGAAGCTACCTGCCCTTCAACAAGCCCAGGGAGAAAAGAGGTGGGTTGGACTAGAGGGACGCTCTGAGATGATTTGATTGGAACAAGGGTCTTGTCCCCTCTCAGCTGCTGAGATAAGGATTCTCAGCCACAGAAAAGGACAGTCTGTGGGTAGACAGAGGGTCAAAGAGGACTGTCAAAGAGAGGAAATGCCCTCTTATGCTAATTCTCCATAATGGAGACTCCTTTGAAATCCGCCCCTTTGTTAGAAGCCCTTGGGGAGGGGAAGTGCTGACTACTTAATTCCCACTAGGACACATCTTTTGGACAATAAGCAGCCCCCAAATTTCACAGCATAAGAAAATGAAGCTTGTATTTGGAAAGTTTATTCTAACTGGGTGTGAAGGCCTATCTCAAGCTAGAATAAAGTAATAGTTGCCAAAAAAAAAAAAAAAAAAAAAAGCAGGTAACATGAGTTAAGGGGCTGGGTGTCCCATAGTAGGGACTGGTGAGGACTAGGGAAAATGGAGAGTGAGGCCCCATTACAGGGGTAGTTGCTGTCTATCTCCACTTGTGCTCTATGGGCAGTTGTGGCTGGATCTTCACATTTTTAAAGAAAAGTCTGAAATCTAGACTTTTAATTGGAATTTTCCACTTACAAAATGTTGGCAAATAATATAAAAATTTTAAACTACTATGTTGACCCATTACACACACACACACACACACACACACACACACACACACACACACACATCAGTGGTCAAAGTACTCCTGGCAGGTGTCCTGCAAGTTGACCTGCAAGAGATACAGGCAGGAGGCCGGGCGCGGTGGCTCACGCCTGTAATCCCAGCACTTTGGGAGGCCGAGGCAGGCAGATCATGAGGTCAGGAGATCGAGACCATCCTGGCTAACACGGTGAAACCCAGTCTCTACTAAAAATATAAAAAATTAGCCGGGCATGGTGGCGGGTGCCTGTAGTCCCAGCTACTCGGGAGGCGGAGGCAGGAGAATGGCATGAACCTGGGAGGCGGAGCTTGCAGTGAGCTGAGATAGTGCCACTGCACTCCAGCCTGGGCGACAGAACGAGGACTCCATCTCAAAAAAAAAAAAAAGAGATACAGGCAGGAGATTGGACCCTTTTCCTGAGCAACATTTCTCCTTATTGTTTTAGCTTGAGGGCCATATCACAGAAGAAAAAGAACAAGGGCAAGGAGACATTGGGTATTTATGGAATATTTTGGGGGTAAAATAGTTCTGAAAAAACAATACAACCTTTTATCTTTACTTATTTAGTCACCAGAATGATGTCACTGTGCATGAGTGCTGATCTCTAGAATATCAGCAAATGATTAAGTTTTGATAAGGTTCACATAAAAGAGCAAAGAAATGTCCATGTCTACCCCACTGACTGTTTGAGGGCTTGTGGTGTCTTCCTATTTTAGAGGAGGAAATAGAGATTCACTGAGGTTCTTTTAGGAACTGACTAGAAATCCCAAGGAAATCCTATTCTTGAACTGAAATACTAAGAATATCTACGCTTGTATCCAGGTAAAACTACATGTGTTGAAGAGAACTAATTATGACTAATATTAACTTGTGAAGATGGGAAAGCAGGAGAGATTTAGGTTAAATATAGGAAGTATTTAGAGATTAGAAGGGCTAAACAATGGAAGAAAGCGGAAGGCTTTTTTTTTTCCTTTTAACATGGAGTTTCTAAAAGAAAGAATGAAAAGCTTTCTTCCTGATGTACTGTGCAAGCAATTCTGCTCAGAAGGGGGTGGGTGAAGGAGGCACCCTATGGATACTTTTCCATCCTGTGAGTTTTTTCTTGGGCCCAGCAAACAAAGGCCCCCCAATTTACTAACTTACCAAAATGATTTACCAGCTGTCTCTTCCCCCAGGAGTTAAACAGGCAATAAAATAAATGAAATTCCTATTCTTTAGTACTTGATCCCCATAAATCATCACCCACCCAGGGTGAGCATTTATCTCTAAGGCGTCACAAAATATTTTAAATGCTATCTCCTTTATTTTGAATGAATTAGCAAAGAATCCAATGATGATAAATCTAAGTGTAATATAATTCTGCAAGCAGTAACTGATGAATTTCAGAAAATGGAGACTCTGTGTGTGTGTGTGTGTGTGTGTGTGTGTGTGTGTGTGTGTTTGTTTTGCAGGGAGTAAAAATTTTGGGGGGCTTCTCAGTTTCTTTTATTCTGTGCCAAACGTTTCCTAGGATTAGATCACTTTTGGAACTTCAGGTCCTCACAGAGCAGTTGATAGATAAGATCATATGGGATATTACTTTCCACATTTGGTTACTTATGCAGTCTATCTTGAACTAAAAGCTATTGTCCCAAATAGGGGGCTTTTGTGTGGTGCTGGTGAACACAGGGGTGCTATCCTGTCACCATGACAGCAAGCATTTGCATTAAGAGCAGGCTCCTCAGGCCACATTACAGTCATGTGGTCTAGAGGGACCCCTTTGAAGCTCCTGTAATCTTTTCCGAGCTGATTGTTAACATCTGAACATAATCATTAACCATGTTCTGTAACAGATAATTACCTCCTAGAGTTGGCATGTTCTATCCCTGAGTGGTCTGTGACATTCTTATAGGGTAAGACCTATTTCAGTGTTACTTTACCTAACCAATCAAAATAAAGCAATTTGATTTCTTAAAATCTGAGTAAGTTTCCCTTTTACAGAAAAATATTGTGTTGACCCTGACATCATGTGTATCTGTCATCCTGTGCCCCAGGGCTGTTCTTTGCCCCTGTATTTGAATACCTACCACTGGAAGCTTCCGAAACGCCACAGGCTCCTTTCTTCCTTCTGTATCTCCTCGTTTTCCCATGATGTCTGCATACTTATTGAACTTCTACTGCCAGTTTTTTGTTTCAGATTTATTGCATTCACTTACAATAAATATTACTGGCATATAGGCATACTTTTCTTTTTTTTTTTTTAACAAGTTTTCCCTCTGGATTTCTCCTTATTGCCTAACATCATTCCCTAAGACTCCCCAGGCTTGCGCCGTGACCAGGAAAATTCATGTTTCTCTCTTTGCTCTTGTACAAGGGAAAGCCTCCTGTTTCAAATTCCCTAATCTCAGCTTAGCTTTGAGGGGTACATTCAAAATTTCAGGAGAGCTAGATGAAATGGATGATAAAAAGAGTGCATGAGAGAAAAAAGGAAAGAAAAAAGAAAACTCCAAATCCGAAGCCATACTAGAGATTGATCTTCCTAACATCTAAGGATATGATTAAAGCACTGCACTATAATATCCTGTTGTTATACAAATAGGATGCAGAATCATTACGATAATAAAGAGTGCTTAGGTGTTTTAAATGTCACCTGGCTGGGGTACCCAGAATCTAGAGGTCAAGCATTTGATTGTGATACCCCAAGATACCTGTTGAGGGGTTGGCGTGGGGCCAGGAGGAAGGAGACTGTGAATCATACATGTCTACTCCCCACCCTGCTCATCTTTCTTTGCCAGTAAAATTTGACCAAAATGAGCACCCAAGCTATAAAAGTGCCATATTTTCTGAAATCCAAATTAGGACCCATGGCAAAGCCATCATGCTTGTGTTGGTGATAGAATCAATGTCTCCAAACTCATACTACTGAAGGAAGTAGTCAAACCTCTGCTGTGAAAGAGCAAATGGCCCAGGAGAAGAGGCAAAAAGTCTACCTGCTGGATGAGGGGTGTGGGGTTCCCTTGGGGAGGAGCTGCTCTGTGCTGAATACATACATACATACATATATATAATGGTGTCTGTATGTATATGTATGTCTAATATATGTATATATGCATGTATATTATGTGTATATATAATTTTTAAACGAGCCACTCTGGTCTTTAAAACAGCAGCTGGCTGGGCCACCTCTATCTACTCGATTTGCTTCTGGCTCCAGGTGACTGATTCCTACAGCATTACAGCTCCTCTTCCTCCACCTCCTGCTCAAAAAGCCCGGAAAATAGGGCCAACTCCCTATTTGTGCTGTACTCCAGGCAAAACTTCTATCATAATCAGCTCCCTTGTGATGCAGAAACCAATGAACTTGTGCTATGAATGCCCAATAGTGAACCGAATGATACATTTCCTTTTCCCAATTGAGCATTGTTTTATTTAATAAGCTCATACCTTTCCAATGGTGGGTATAAAATTGTCATGTGTCTGGGAAAAACAAATTGAGTTCTGATAGTTTGTGTGTGCACATGTGTGGAAACCTCTTTGATTAACACTAGCATGAGTGAGTCCTTCTGTGGTGAGGTGTTAAGATTGGGGGCACGGAGACCCCATGCGGCCATGTTTCTGAAGGCCTAAAGCAGAGGAAATTCTTGAGGTACAGAATATAATTATCCCAAATGGAAGGCAGCTGAGGTTCTGGAGTTAAGATTTCCTGCGCTTACACACAGTCGGGTATTTCAAGAATCTTGTCATAACCGATTGGACACACTTTTCAGGGATGAACGGCAATGTGCTGGGGCAGGAAGGCAGCAGCTGGCTGTTTGGCCAATCCATTGTTCTGCATTAATTTGACTTTATTTATTTATTTATTTTGGTCAGAGACCCAGTGGTGATGAGCTCATTTTGAATCTCTCTGCCTGCCACGTGTCAGTTCCAGAAATATTCCAACGCAACGTGGCATTTGTTATGTGTCGTGGGATCCAGGCTGATCAATTGGATCCAATCAACGTAGATGAGCTTTATTCACTAACAAAATTAATAAACATACGTTGTGACCTGAGCCAGTCAGAAGACAGCTTATTCATAACATAATAGCTCAGTGCCTCTGGGATGAACTGATCCAGTTCTTGATTCATCTCAGCCAGGGGGTCCGCAGAGGCACTGTCAGAGAGCTGCACTGATATCCCTCAGACAAACCGATTAAATCTGCACTAATCAGAGTGCCCAGTGCAAGTGCTGTCAGTGCCCTTGAATATTGCCAGGAGGATCAATTGCTTTGGCTTGGAAAAATAGATGTGTTTCTATCATTGATGGAAGTTATTATCTGGTGACAATGTTCTAGTACCTTGGTAACGTCTTTTAATTAAAACTGAGGAATAAATTCTGACCATGACCACATGTGTATGCTATTCAGGGAGCAGGTAGAAAGAGAGATTGAATTTTTCTATTTCTTACATGGAATAACACACAAACTCCATTCAATGGCTTACAAGAGTCAGCATTACTGACTTCAGTCTGCCATCTGATCATTCCCTGTCCCTCTCTCTTTGTGTGCTATTCTCCCCAGATGCTGGCTTGTGTTCCTGCCTTAGGACTGTGCTTGACAGCCTCTGCCTGGAATGGTTTGTCCTCCAGATGTTTGCATGACTGGCTCTCTCTTGTCACTTACATCTCAGCTTAAATGCCACCTCCCCATGGAGACCTTCCCTCATCACCACATAGTAAGTCCCCATTCCCTCACTCCCTATTACATCATCCTGGTTTATTTCCTTTCTAGCACTTAGTGCCCCCTGAAAGTCTCCTGCTGAACAGGTTATTTGTCAGTAGCGTAGCTCTCCTGAGTTCTCCACTGTGTCCCCAGTTGCTGGCACTGAGTCTGGCACGCAGTGGTGCTTAATCAACCTTGCTGAATGACTGAATTTCTCTGGCTCCTATATCTGCTTTTGGACAAGTCAGTGGATGTAGGGTTTAGAGGGCAGAACATTTCACCGAAGGGGTTAGATGCTGCTAGACTGGATGCTACCTCTAACTTACAGGGTGACCTTGGATAAGTCACTCAACCTTTTTGAGCTAATTGACCACTTCCTCAGCTCTAAGACAGTGTTTCCAAATGCTGGTTTTGGTTGAGACAGGAGCAAGTTGGATAATAGGTATTTTCTGTTTTAATCATTCGAGTTTTAATCTTGAAGGGGATGGGAATAGGCTATGGAATTTTATCCCAGATGAGATGGGAGAGAGGTACCTACTAAGGGGCCAGTATGAAAATCATTGAATAGCTTCCACACTATTTAACAAATATCCAGTCGGCGTACCATCTGGGAGAGTGGTTTTCTTTCGTGACCTGTAGCCAATGAATATTTACAGACCAGTAAAATTAGATTATTAGTAAATGAAAAAACTAACACTCACCTTAGAATAGTTTCTGCCTAGATCCCCAAGGTCCAGTTCCTCTCACACAGCTTGTGAAGAAGGCTTAAGCAAAGCTCCAAGCAGAAGCTGAGTTGTGAGTAGTAAGAAAAGGGTCCCTGTGCTCCCCTCCCCATGGGGCCCCAGGCTGCTCTTTTATCCTGTGCTGAGGACAACCCCATCCTTCATTCTTACTCAACACCTTCAGGTTCAGGAAGCCTGAAAAGCAGATTCGTGAGGGGGGTGGCTATATCCTTCCCAGCTTTAAAAGGCACTGCACCATAATGTGTTTTAAAAAGACCACAGCAGGTTGAAAAACGGCGAAATGCAAATGACAGAGTGCTTGTGTGAAAGTGGAGATACTACTCCCAAGGGTGGGGACTGAATGCTGTCTTCTAAGAAAAACAGAAAATGATGCTGTTAACTAAAAACAAGAACAGGAAAATCAACTACGCATATATTCTTCAAAGAAAACGAGGGGATTTTCACTAGAGGTTTTGGAGCAGTAGTTTTGTTTCAATAGATATGAGTGGAACTGATGTGATTTTCTGATATTATTACTTGTTTCTTGCATAGCAACCATCCAGCCTGCCCCACTACATTCATACACTAAGTGGAATACTTTTTATTTTCCTCCTGAAAACCAAAAGAGGAAAAAAGATAACTTTTCAGAGAAGCTTTCTATTGAAAGAAAACTCTCTGCTGCCAGTGAATAATTTTCCTGTGCTCTACACAAAACGTAGTTATTTTATATCCAATCAGCTTATGTTCACCCAGAAGTTATTATTTTTTATTATTATTAGTTTTTTGAGATGGAGTCTTGCTTTTGTCGCCCAGGCTGAAGTGCAATGGTGCAATCTTGGCTCACTGCAACCTCTGCTTCCCAGGTTCAAGTGATTCTCCTGCCTCAGCGTCCCAAGTAGCTAGGATTACACATGCCCGCCACCACGCCTGGCTAATTTTTGTATTTTTAGTAGAGACAGGGCTTCACCACGTTGTCCAGGCTGCTCTCGAATTCCTGACCTCAAGTGATCCACCCGCCTCGACCTCCCAAAGTGCTGGGATCACAGGCATGAGCCACTGAGCCCGGCTGCCGAAGTTATTTTATTGGAGGGAAAACATGATACTTTTTATTAAAAACTATTTTGTTTCTAAAAATTGACTATTTCATACACATTTATTAGGTTTCTGGCTATGATAATTCTATCGCTATAGCAGACCATTGGCTCTGCCAGGAGCACCTAGAAAATCTGGGTAAGGTACAAAATAAATGTATGTTTAAAAGCATCAGAAAGATACCACGCCTGGTATAACCTGAAGGGCCAGATTCTGGAAAAAAGAAAGGCTCATTGACATAAGCCATTTTTAAAACATGCTACTTTCTCCTTGGCACATTTTATGAGTTTAGGCCTGGGACAAGAAGCTGAGAATTCAGGCAGAGGATTGATTCCCAAGATCCAGGGCAGACTTCTGAGTTTTAAACAATCTCATGAAACTGCAGAGACAAAATCTAGAGTCCATATTTGCAGGGCAACCAGGAGTAAGGGTCCAAGATTCTAGAAAGAAGTGGAACAGAAGCACTAGTTTTCTCTTCAAGTCATTTACTGATTAATATCTGATTATCTGATTAATACTAAGGCAAAAAAAACGCAACTAGAAAGCCGATGAAACAGAATGGAATCAAAGGCAGTTTTGAAGAGACAAAAATTTCATTTCAGGGCCCATCAAGAAGGAATAGCCACAGGAAACATACTAGATTCTACGTTGGGAACCATGGATCTTGACTGGGCTGAGGAGATGAGCCTCCATAAAATGCTTGGCAGAGAATAGGGTGCACCTCCTCTGAGGGGCTATTATATAATGTAGAGCTTCTACAGCTTTTCATGTACAATATTCAGCATTCAATTAAAAATTATGAATTATACCAAGAGAAAAAAGTAAACTGGAAAAACAGATCAAGAAATGACCCAGACACCGGAAAGATCAGACATTGGTATTAAAATAACTGGGATTAATTATTCAAGAGAATACATGACAAAATGAAGAATTTAACTGAGAATAAGAATTTATATTTAAAAAGAACCAAATTCAAATTCTGGAAATAAAAAACACTACACCTGAAATTTAGAGCTGAGTAGATGAGTTTAACAGCAAATAAGACACAGGTAAAAAGAGTATTAGTGAGTTGTACAATAGGTGACTAGAAATATTCATAGTGAAGCATGGAGAAAAAAAGATAGAAAAATACATGAATAAGTATGAGACGTGCAGAACATGGTGAATAGGTCTAACATTTGAATTTGCATTTAACAAGGGAATGCATTTAACAATGGGGTAGAAGAATATTTGCAGAGATAGTCAAGAATTTTCCAAAACTGATGAAAGACATCAAGCCATAGATACAGAAACTCACTGTGAACCCCATGCAGAATAAATACAATGAAAACCATGCCTAGACACATTATAATAAAACTGATGAAAACCAAAAACAAAGAAAAAAATCTTAAGAAAAGTCAGAGGAAATAAAAAGATATGTTACTTTTAAAGGAACTACAATAAGACAGAAAGCTAATTTCATAACAGAAACAATAAGATCCAGAAGGCAGTGGCAAGATATCTATAAAGTGCTGAAAGAAAATAATCTTAGCCAGGTGTGGAGGTGCATGCCTATAGTTCCAGCTACTTGGGAGGCTGAAGTGGGAGGATTGCTTGAGCCTGGGAGGTGGAGATTGCAGTGAGCTGAGATTGCACCACTGCACTCTAGCCTGGGTGACAGAGCCAGACCCTGTCTCAAAAATAAAATAAAATAAAATAAAATAAGAAAATCATCATCAAGCTAGAATTTTACATTAAAAAATTGTTCAAAAGTTTAGCCTAGAAAGAGACATTCCAGGCAAATAAAGAACTATATTTCAATGGCAGAAAGATAAATAAATATTTTAAAGAATGGGCAAAAGGCATAAACAAGTATTTCCTAGAAGAAATAGAAATGGTAGATTAACATAAAAAAAGGAAAAGAGAGTAAAGAATCAAAATAAAACTGTTCTAAGTTCCAAAGCATATTTTGTAATTCATTAGATCTTTTGGCTGGATGAAATAATAATAGACACTATACCAACCTTGAATAATGAAGCCAGGAAGACAGAGCTTTATCTTTTCATTTTACAGAACACATTTTATCTCATCTGCTTTACAGGGAGGAAACACAGAGGCAAAGAGGTCAAGATACTTGCCCAAATTTATGAAGGAAGAGGTAGTAGTAGGACTCATATTTTACTGTCCCTGTAGTCTTAGCTCTTCTTAGACCCTTCGACTGTTAGTGGAAAAAGGCAGTTCAACACTGGTGCCTGTCCTCTTGGGACTTACATTCTAAGGGTAGGAGACAGACATCAAACAAATGATAAGGACTTTGAGGAAAAATGAAGCAGGTAAGAGGATAGGAGGCATAAAATAACCTTTTCGGAGAAATAGATCGGGGGCCTTCTGTCAGAGGAGGTAGTGTTTGAGCAGTTATCTAAATAAAGTGAAGGAGCCTCTCCCAGGCGGCTGCGGAAGATGGCAGAGGTGCAGGTCCTGGTGCTCGATGGTCAAGGCCATCTCCTGGGCCGCCTGGCGGCCATCGTGGCTAAGTAGTTACTGCTGGGCCGGAAGGTGGTAGTCGTACGCTGCGAGGGCATCAACATCTCTGGCAATTTCTACAGAAACAAGTTGAAGAATCTGGCTTTCCTCGGCAAGCGGATGAACACCAACCCTTTTCGAAGCGCCTACCACTTCCGGGCCCCCAGCCGCATCTTCTGGCCGACAGTGCGAGGCATACATGCTGCGCCACAAGACCAAGCGAGGCCATGCCTCCCTGGACTGCCTCAAGGTGTTTGACGGCATCCCACCGCCCTACGATAAGAAAAAGCGGATGGTGGTTCCTGCTGCCCTCAAGGTCGTGCGTCTGAAGCCTACAAGAAAGTTTGCCCTTCTGGGGCGACAGGCTCAAGAGGTTAGGTGGAAGTACCAGGCAGTGACAGCCACCCTGGAGGAGAAGAGGAAGGAGAAAGCCAAGATCCACTACTGGAAGAAGAAACAGCTCATGAGGCTACGGAAACAGGCCGAGAAGAACGTGAAGAAAAACTGACAAATACACAGAGGTCCTCAAGACCCACGGACTCCTGGTCTGAGCCCAGTAAAGACTGTTAATTTCTCATGCTTGGCCTGGCCTGCCCTTCCTCCGTCGTCGCCCTGGAATGTGCGGGACCCAGGGGCAGCAGCAGTCCAGGTGCCACAGGCAGCCTGGGACATAGGAAAGGGTCTTAGTTACTGCCTTCTGACGTTACTTGAAAGCGCTCGGAGAATTGTGCAGGTGTAATTTATTTATGACCAATAGGAAGAGAAACCAGTTACTATTAGCACAAGGGAGCCGGAAGACTAATTGGAGGGGCCCTCCCTTGTGAGTGGAGCTCCTGTTTAACTTTCTACCTGGTCATATACTATACTCTGCAGCTGTTAGAATGTGCAAGCGCTTGGAGACAGCATGAGCTTGCTGTTGTACACAGGGTATTTATAGCAGCATAGACTGGGAAGATGGGCAACAAAGGGGATACAGGCATTGCCTATGCTCCTCACCTGTATTTTGTAATCAGGATCAAATTACTTTTAAAGAAAAAAAAAACAAAGTGAAGGAGCAACTCATGTAAATGTTTGGGAGAAGAGCTTTCTAGGCTTCAAGCAAAAAGACCAGTATGACTAGAGCAGAAAGAGTGAAGGGCAGAGCGAAGTTGGGACAAATAGCTTTATGAAGCTATGGTGAAGACTTCAAGTTTTACTTTCAGTATTGTGTAGTCATTGGAAGACTTTGAGCAGAGAAATAACAGGATCTGACCTAAGTTTTGAAACAATGACCCTGACTGCTATGTGGAGAATAAAGGGCACTGACGATAGACTCAGAGTTTTATATTAGTCCAGAGGGTATTATATTAGCCCAGGCAAGAACTGATTGATAGAGGCCTGGACTAGGATGATAGTGGTGAATTAATGATAAATAGTTGTATTTGGAATATATATGCTAAATAAAGCCAATAAAGTGGGAAAGTAAATTAGTACAGCCATTATGGAAAATTGTATGAAGGTTTTTCAAAAAACTAAAAATAGAGTGACCATATAATCTAGCAATCCCATTTCTGCTTTGATATGATTAGGCTTTGTGTCCCCACCTACATCTCATCTTGAATGGTCATCTCCATAATCCCCGTGTTTCAAGGGAGATACCAGGTGAAGGTACTTGAATCATGGAGGTGGTTTTCCCCATGCTGTTCTCGTGACAGTGAGTGAGTTCTCACGAGATCTGATGGTTTTATAAGGGGCTCTTCCCACTTCGCTAGGCATTTCTCCTTGTTCCCTTGTGAGGAAGGTGTCTTGCTTCCCCTTCACCTTCTGCCATGATTGGAAGTTTCCTGAAGCCTCCCCAGCCATGCTGAACTGTGAGTCAATTAAACCTCTTTCCTTTGTGAATTACCTAGTCTCGGGCAGTTGTTTATAGCAGTATGAAGATAGACTGATACATGCGTATATGTCCAAAGAATCTGAAAACAGTATGTCAGAGAGATATCTGCACTCCCATGTTTATTGTGGCATTATTCACAATAGCCAAAATAGGGAATCAACCTAAGTTTCTATTGACAGATGAATAAAGAACATGTAGCATATATACCCAATGGAATACTATTCAGTCTTGAAAAAGAAGGAAATTCTATCATGTGGGACAGCATGGACATTATGCTAAATGAAATAAGCCAAGCACAGAAGGACAAATACCACGTGATCTCATTTATATGTAGACTCTAAAACAATTGAATGAAGAGAAGAATGGTGGTTATCAGAGACTTAGGGGTGGGGGAAATAGGGAGTTGTTCGTCAAAGGGTATAAAGTTTCAGTTAGACAGGAGAAATACATTTTTTTGGAATTTATTGCACAGCATGGTGACTGTGATTAAGAATAATATGTTGCTGTGGGAGGATTGCTTGAGGCCAGGAGTTGGAGACCAGCCTGGTCAACATAGTGAGACCCCATCTCTATTAAAAAATAATGAAGAAAAGAAAAAAAAAAGGCTGGCGCAGTGGCTCACGCCTGTAATTCCAGCACTTCGGGAGGCCAAGGCAGGTGGGTCATTTGAGGTCAGGAGTTTGAGACCAGCATGGTCAACATGATAAAACCCAGTCTCTACTAAAAATACAAACATTAGCTGGGTGTGGTGGCAGGTGTCTGTAATCCTAGCTACTCAGGAGGCTGAGGCAGGAGAATTGCTTGAACCTGGGAGGTGGAAGTTGCAGTGAGCCGAGATTGTGCCACTGCACTCCAGCCTGGGGGACAGAGTAAGACTCCATCTCAAAATAATAATAATAATAATGTATTACATATTTCAAACTTAGTAAGACATGGAATTTAAATATTCTTACCACAAAAGTATTTGAGGTGATGGATATGACAATTAGCTTGATTTAACAATTCAACATGTAAATATATAGCATCACTTTATACCCCATAAATGTGTACAATTATAATTTGTCAATTTGCAATAAACACAACAGAAAATAAAATAAAGCCCACAAGATTTACTACAGGATTATTTTTGTGGGATGAGGAAAAGAAAGGAGCTAAAGATGATCCCAAAGTCCTTAGGAACTGAGGGAATAGAGGAAACATTTTGCATTCGCAATACACCAGGACAAATACCGCTAGAAGTAAGAATAATGGGTGTATCAGCTAAGGCACCTAACATGAGCATGAGGTGGAGTGTGGCTAGGAGAGCTTTACTGTGCTCCCTTTATCTTCTAGTTTCCATTGTCTTTCTGATTTTGTAAGTTTTAATTTTAGTTCCCTTCTTGGAATGGTCATTGCCTGATCCTGGTCCACTGATCTTAAGACTACATCCAGGCATTACTACCAAACTGAACCCCCAAAACAGAGCTCCCTGGTCACCAGGATGGGCTCTGGCTCTTTGCCTTGAGCTCTGCACGGTCATCTGTGGAACCTGCAGCAGAGATCTAGCTATTAGGGGCAGAGTTATAGTAACTCACCAAAGAAGACACCTCCCTCCTCTCATTGGAACTGCAGGATGACATACCCAGCAGTGACCTCAGCCAGTCTAAGGGTACTCTATGGGTCTGTGGCTTAAGCTAGTCAAGGTTCACCCATGGAACTGAGAGTAGGGTCAGTTTTTCCCAGTGCACACAGTGGAGGTAGACATATGAAGGAAAATTAAACTTCCTTTTTAAAGAACTGGAGAAAATGCATGCTGAGTGGTCCAAATGGAAAATACCCATTCCATGAGGGAAGAGCATGCTCAGGAGATGGGTAGACAGAAAAGCACTTGGGAACATATGTGGTGCATGAACAATGACCCACCCAAGAATAATTATTGGGAGAACGTGATGTAGATAATCTATTCTGAGCTCATTTATAGATAAGCATCTCTGAGGACACACACTTAAGTTGAACCCCATCCCGCCTTTAGGCGTTATAAGGAAATGATAATGTGTGTGTCTAAGTCAGAGCTAGTCCTACCAAAGCACAGAAGCTTCTAAAAAATAATGCTCATGTGGACCCTTTTTCAGTCATCTTAGAAACCAGCCATTCCTCTCTCAGATTGAAGGCAGTACTAGTCCTGCCTCTGGTTTAGAGAAGAGTTCAGAGATGGAAGATGGCTGGTCTCACCAGATGCTGCATCACAGGTCATGCTGTGCTGGAGCTGAAAGGGATCTCAGAGGCTATTCAGTCCAATTCTTCAATTAGATGAGGAGAGGAAAAGCTTAGAGTTCTAGACACAAAATTACATATATATTTGAAGACTTACTTAACCTCTATGCATATTATATGGCCATTGTGCTCATAATTAGCTATTTCTGCTGGGTTCATGTCTGAAGGAAGGGAAACCAGACTGTTATGCTATATACCCTTTGTCTGTTCCTGTTAGTCATTCGTTGATTAGAAAAATGCTCACTGAGTATCTATCACATATCTGAAACTGTTTTCAGCTGAGAATACAGCAGTGAACTAGACAGACACAGATCTTGCCATTAGGGTCTAGAGGGAAAAAACAGAAAATGGTCAAATAGGTTGGGTGCGGCTGCTCATGCCTGTAATCTCAGCACTTTGGGAGGCCAGGGCAGGTGGATCACCTGAGGTCAGGAGTTCAAGACCAGTCTGGCCAATGCGATGAAACCCCATCTCTACTAAAAATACAAAAATTAGCTGGGTGTGGTGGTGTGTAGCTGTAATCCTAGCTGCTAGGGAGGCTGAAGTGGGAGAATCGCTTGAACCTGGGAGGCGGAGGTTGCAGTGAGCCGAGATCATGCCATTGCACTATAGTCAGATTATTTAGAAATTGTGGTATTATAAAGGAAATAAAACAAGGGTTGTGTAAACTAGTGAAAAACAAGGGAGAGCTACTTTAGATAAGGTGGTCAAGGCAGAATTCTCAAAATAGAGTAATTCAAAGAATTTAACTAAATATAATCTGAGAAAATTTCAGCAGGCCTTGTTCAGCTCCAGACCCCAATGACAACTGAAGTTTGGACATTTGAGGTGACCCTTGAGCTACTCTTCTGTCTGATCCCTCAGGTTAAGATGCCCTAAGTTGCTGGGAGCTTCACCAACTTGGCATGGTCCAATTCATGGAGACCATAGCCAAGAATGGCCTGAGAACCAGTGAAACTCCACACTGGTGGTCTGGAGAGAGGGAGCATCAGGACATTCAAGTTTTGTGAACTTTAGCCCTGTATGTTTCCAAACAGAGTCAGCAGTGCAGAACTTGGAATCCAAAAGTCTTGAGGGCCTCTTAATTAGTTCTTTGTTCCAGGAAAGAAGTCTGGAAACTTCATGCTGTTGAGAAAACTTCCAAAACAATGAACAACTTGGAATGCTCACAGATCATCAGAGCCACTCTCCTTCTTTCAACCTGGTGATAATATGTATTTATTCACATGCCCTTTGACCACTTCCCCCTCTTCTGTCACTCTAAGCTCCCTGAGAAGAGGATCTTCAATTCATTTATGCCTCCCGGAGCTCCTGGAACAGCACTGCCTTACAGATAGCAGGTACTCTATGACTGTTTATTCTATCAGTGAACCTGGCAATTTGCAGAGCTTATGTATCATGAGTCTGAGCTTTTTCAGCTGGGGCCTCCCAGAAAGGCTTGGCTCCTGGTCCTCCAGCAGAATAATTCCATCCTTGGGAGTTGAGAACCATCTGGAGTGGAGGCTCCCAGTGGGGAAGATGGAAAATCCAGCATTGAAATCAGGCTAGGCTAAAGACAGAACGCCCTCAGAACTCACATTCCAGTGAGGTCCTGAAGGTCTCTGCCTCAGCTGGAGTCATGGACCAGAATGGGGGCTTCTTGAGACTCCTCTTTGTACTCAGGGCAGAGGGCTGAGCATCTCACCTGCTTTACCATCCAGAATGCCAGGATTCGATCCTAGAATTTGTATTCAGATGGAAACCCTACTTTCCAGTGCTTTTCATTTTTGGCTTTGAATCAAAAGGAAAGTCATTCTAAATGAAGAACATACTTAATGACCTTTCCCGAATGGAAGGCAAGATGCCCATAGCCCACGATGTTAGTCTGAATCAATTCCTTTCCTAGCATGAAAAACAACAATAACTTCCGAGGAAGGGGAATGCCAGAGGGGGACCTGAAAGGCTCTGGGGGTACTTTAGACACTCAGTAGTTGATTGTTTCCAAAGATAAACCGATACTTTTACCTTGCTGGCTTCTGAGCAATTTGTGGGGGTATGTGTACCAGGCTTCAACAAAATACCATTGTGAGGCTGAGCACCAAGTGCTTTGTGTGAAGGCCAGATCTGTGTTGGTGTGTGATGTGCAACCACGTATGGGCAGATGCCTGCTGTTTGGAAAGAATTGCAGGGCAATTAAAAGACTTTTTGAGAGTTGGCAATATTGTTAATTCCTTTGCCATTTTATATGAGCAGGAGGATTAATTAGTGTTGGCTTTATGGAGTTATATCTAAATGTATATGTTTTGGGTTAGATATTTCTTTTTACTAGATTAGTCAGACTTGTTCCCAACTGTGCAGGCCACCTCATGGGATTCATTTATGCTTGCCTGAATGCTTCTTGTTTGCTGGAGTGTGTTATCCAGGGCTGACACCAGAACCATTTACAGCAAGGCTGCCTCTGTCCTCACAATATTACTTTTGAGGAAGAAATCAGAAGAAAAATGGGTAGGTATTTAGAATACAAGGGCAGACTCAGTCACAGAATTTCTTTTGTTTTTGTCAATTTCTGCAAATGACTTTTTAAAACAGTCTTATTTTCCCAATTGTATTTCTTTGATATTTCTTTGTTTTGTTTCTTTTACAGAAGACAAAAAGAGACAGAACTCTTTGCAGTAGGGGCATCTTTTTAAGGAAGCTCAGAATAGCCCTCCAGAACCATTTACCCAGACCTCTTCAATGTTCAAACATGAGCCTGTGAAGCTCCCAGTTCCTCCTTTTCTCAATTAAGCTATAATTAGCAGAATAGTTGTTCTTAGATACTTTGGTGACCTTGGAAATATAAGATATTCCAGAAATAGATGTATTCATGATTCTCTTATTGCCCATGGTAATGGGGGTGGTTTGTCTTATTCATTTCCCAGCACTGGTTCTAGCACATGGGAGTGTATAGTCAATGTTTATTCAATGAATGTTTGGCCCAGGGCTTGGGCCATCATCTGGGGAAGGGGTTCTCCATGTAGCTTGTATGAGGTTTACTGAGATGGATTGTTAGCAGAGTTATTCTAGGCTCCAGCATCCTGAGTTAGGATTCAGTAGATCAGAGGGAGGGTCCAGGAATCTGTATTGTTAACAAATGCCCTGATGCATTTGGATACACATGCCCTTTGGACCGCACACACTGCAGGGAAAACTGCTCTGGGGAAGATGGCATTTTAGAACTTCAGAGGAAAAGTTTCTCCCACCCAGTTTAGGCTCCTTCCCATTTTGGTTCATGCCCAGGTTCTTCTCTGAGGATCCCCCATGATGACTCCCTCCTTCTTGGGTTGTTGCTTGGGAAATGTCTCCAGGTGCCACCCCTCATCCACCTTCTGCTTTCAGACCACTGTGGAGTCTACTTTGCTCCAGATCAGATTCCTGCTGTTCCTCCGGAGCCACCTGAGACTAGCATGACTGGATGGGACCCTCTGGTTTTGCTCTGGAGTTGCACACAGTTACTGAGTGACCAGGGTGCCTGGTTTAGGTGACCTTTCCAGGCAGCTGTGCTGTGTGTTTGACACAAGACAATGAGTGATATTCATTATGTGAGCTTAGGTGTATGAGTGAGATGATATATCTAAACTTGGCACAGTGCAGGATTCAGAACATAGGCTCCCTATGATATAGATGTTTCTCTCTCAGTGGATGGAAACCCCTTGAAGGCTAGAACTAGGTCTGATTTGGAAGAGCTCCTGAACTAAACTAGACCTGGGATAGTTAATTAATTACCTGTCAACTTGACACATAACACTGGTTCACTGGGAGCCCAGATGTTTGGTGAAACATTATCCTGGGTGTGTCTGTGAGAGTGTTTCCAGAAGGGAATAGAATGTATGATAGGATAGCTTGCTCTCCCCAGTGTGAGTGGCCCCTATATAATCCACTGAGGGCCTAAATAGAACAAAAAGGTGGAGGAAGGGAGACTTCACCTCTGTCTGCTTAAGTTGGGACACCTGTCTTTTCTTGTCCTCATTCCAGGACTTACATCATTGGCTCTCTGGCTCTCAGGCCTTTGAACTTGGACCAGAATTACATCACTGGCTTTACTAGGTCTCCAGCTTAAGAATGACAGATAGTGGGACTTCTTCGCCTCTATTATTACATGAGCCAATACCTTATAATAATTCTCTTTATATCTCACTGGTTGTGTTTCTCTGGAGAATCTTGACTAATATAAGGCCTCCTGAGCACTGGAGCTAGAGCTGGCATTCACCTGAACATTAGATATCAGTCTAATATACTCACAAAATAAACTAAATAGCAAATAAAATAACTAAATAGCAAAACCCCAGGGATGCATCAGGTGGGCAGTCTTTAGCAACAGCTAAACACTGAAGGGGATGTTGACAAAGTGATATAGGAGGTAACTATGCACAAGGCCTTCCGAGCAGACCTGGTCAGTAGCACATGGCAGGAAAACATCTTCACATTCAGAAGCTGGGAATACTTAACACCACCCCTCCTCATCCTCTCCCCACTGCTGAAGGAGCAGAGAAAACATTTTGGAGCAGGCAGATCTTGGTGTGTCTGCATTACATAAGAGTTGTACTTCTATAATAGCATAAATGTGTGCAGTAGCTAACAAAGAGGAATGGCTGTCTGGTAAGAAGCTGTATTAGTTTGCGAGGGCTGCTGTAACAAAGTACCACAAGCTAGGTGGCTCATACAATAGGAACTTATTGTCTTGCAGTGCTGGAGGGTGGAAATTTGAATCGAGGTGTCAGCATGGTTGGTTCCTTCTAAGGATTGTGAGAGTCTGTTCCAGCTGGGCATGGTGGCTCACGCCTGTAATCCCAGTACTTTGAGAAGCCGAGTACTTTGGGAGGCCCAGTACTTTGGGTGGATCACCTGAGATCAGGAGTTCGAGACCAGCCTGGTCAACATGGTGAAACCCTGTCTCTACTAAAATACAAAAAAAATGAACTGGGTGTGGTGGGGCACACCGGAAATCCCAGCTACTTGGGAGGCTGAGGCAAGAGAATCACTTGAACCCGAGAGTCAGAGGTTGCAGTGAGCCAAGATCACGCCACTGCGCTCCAGCCTGGCCAACAGAGTGGGACTCTGTCTCAAAAAAAAAGTCTGTTCCATGCCCGCCCCCATCTTCTGGCGTTTTGCTGGCAGTCTTTGGCATGTAGGAATGTCACATTGATCTCTGCCTTTTATCATCACATAGTATTTTCCCCGTGTGCATAGCTATGTCCAAATTTCCCCCTATTGTAAGGATACCAGTCATAGTGGATTAGAGGCCCTACCTACTCCAGTATGACCTCATCTTAAATAATTACATCTGCCATGACCTTATTTCCAAATAAGGGCACATTTTGAGGAGCTGAGGGCTCCTTGTTTGCTTGTGTGTTTGCTTTGTTTGCTTGTTTGCTTGTTTGTTTGTTTAGAGATGGGATATTGCTAGGTTGACCAGGCTGGTCTCGAACTCCTGGTCTCAAGCGATCCTCCCATCTCAGCCTCCCAACGTGGTGGGATTACAGGTGCGAGCCACTTCATCTGGCCCAATTTCAACATATGAGTTTTTGAGGGACACGATTCAACCCATAGCAGTGTCAACCCATAACAGCAGTCAACTGTCTGCCACATGAGGTAAAGCAACACGATTAACTTTACCATGACAATCTCAGCTGTTCTACTTTCTTATTTGCATGTATTGTTTAATTCAGTCTAAAGGTAACTTGTGCTCTTTAAATGTTAGATGATAATAAAAACGATAAAATCAATTGGAAAAGGATAAGGTCTAGGAACTTCAGAGAACATAAAAAATTAAAAATATCATTACTGTCATTATCATCATCAATCCAGCCATTTTTGCATCTACCTACTTCCTTGCTATAATAGCCATAAAAAAACCCCACAGCCACTCTACTGGCAAATAATATTAAAGCCCTCAGATAGAAATCTAAGAAGCAATAACACTGTGTAGTTACTAAACTCCACACTCATGGGAATTGTTAAGTAACTCTAATCATTTATGAAATTTAGTCTACTGGAGTCATAAAATTGATTTTTCAAACATTTATATTCATTATTTAAACACTCGTTCCCAGACTTGGCCATAGAGAACACATAGAAAAGTCAGTTTATTCATTTCAGACATTTTGGGACTACGTACATGTCAAAATTTATAAATATTTTAAAAACCTTTTAGAGCTATAAAGTTATTATGTAATGTTCTCTTAAAGTAGCTGAATCTATTTATTCCAACTTTTTATTTCAATGGAAAGCATAGTTCCAAGAAAATAAGAGCATGATATTTTCTACTTAAAATCTTTTTTTATAAAGCTTATTAAGAGGCATCAAATAAAGACAATAAAGAACCTTGAAACAGAATTATTTTTAACTTTTAAAAATAATTTTTCAGTCCTTGCTGCTGTTCCCTGGAACTTTCTGATGAGTGCTCATCAGTGGGGCAGACAGGTGCCAATCTGTGTTGGCAATTTGTAGGAAGGAGGCACCTGACTGGTGGACCGTGTCTGACCCAGTAAGAGAAGATGCAGGCCGGGCCTGGTGGCTTATGCATGCCATTCCGGCACTTTGGGAGGTTAAAGTGGGCGAATTGCTTTAGTCCAGGAGTTTGAGGCCAGCCAGGGTGACATGGTAAAACCCTGCCTCTATTAAAAAAAAAAAACAAAAACCCAAAATTAGCCAGGTGTGGTGGCACACACCTGCTGTCCCTGCTACTTGGGAGGCTGAAGCAGGAGGATGACTTGAGCTTGGGAGGTGGAGGCTGCAGTGAGCTGGAGTGCTACTGCACTCCAGAGTGAGACTCTGTCTCAAAAAAAAAAAAAAAAAAATGTGTGGGCTCGGGGGAGGCTGGCTTCACTGAGTCATGTGCTATGTGTATGGGAAAAGACCCTACCCAAGAATGGCTGTGCCCCCCACATCATGAATTTGGAAGGGGCTGAGATTCATCTGAAGCTGCTCCATCCTGTGCATGGCCTTTTCTGTTCTTTTCCTGTCCTTTTTCTTTTCCTTTCCTTTTCCTTTTCCTTTCCCCTTTCCTTTGAGATTCATCTGAAGCTGCTCCATCCTGTGCATGTCCTACCTGCCTTTTCCTTTTTTCCTTCTTTTCTTTCTCTCTTCTTTTCTCTTTCAAGTTTCACTCTTGTCACCCAGGCTGGAGTGCAATGGCATGATCTCGGCTCACTGCTAACTCTACCTCCGAGTTTCAAGTGATTCTCCTGCCTCAGCCTCCCAAGTAGTTGAGATTACAGGCGTGTGCCACCATGCCTGGCTAACTTTTTATTTTTAGTAGGACGCAGTTTCACCATGTTGGCCAGGCTGGTCTCAAACTCTTGACCTCAGGTGATCCAGCCGCCTCAGCCTCCCAAAGTGCTGGGATTACAAGTGGGAGCCACCATGCCTGGTCCTGCATGGTCTTTCTCTTTCTCACACGATGTTATGCAAAAAAGGTCTCTGTCTAGTGAAGATGTCCTAGGTGACTACCATGCCAGGGCCACCACTTCTTTGGCTGGGCCATGGAAGAAGTATCTATGCCAAGAAACGGCCTGGGCCTTGGAAAAAATGTTTTCCTCATGCCCTCACACAGCAAGGGCAGACCAGCTAGGACTCTTTTCATGGGATATACACAGGGCCCTCTTCTGAACTGCAGAGCCTGGAAAATTTGTACGAAGCTTGTTCCTTCCCAGCAGCCCTGCCCTTTGATAAACTTCGATGTCACCAGCTGCTTTATTGCTCCTGCTTTATTGATGCCGCTCTCATCTCCTCTACCAGCCACACAAACATGGGGCACTCACTGGAGTGTTGCTATGTCTTTAAGTGAAATTCACATAACATACCATTAACCATTTTTAAGTTTACAATTCAGAGGCATTTATACATTCACAGTGTTTTGCAAACATCACCTTTACCTAATTGCAAAACATTTTCATCACCCCAAACGTGAACTCCACACCCATTAAACAGTCCCTCCCCCTTTGCCCCCACCTGCCCTAGCTCCTGGCAACCAGTGATGCAGTTTCTGTCTCTATGGTTTTACCTATTCTGGATATTTCATATAAATGGGATCATACAATTTATGGCTCTCAATGTTTGGCTTCTTACAGTTGCCAGGATTTTTTTCAAGGTTCGTCCATGTCGTAACATGTGTAAGGACTTAGTTCATTTTCATGGATGAATAATATTCCATTGGATGGATGTATCATTTTTTGTTTATCCATTCATTGATGAACGTTTGGGTTTATTGCTATTGCTATGCCCTCTGTTTTCTTTGTTTACTTCCTTTTTTGGGCAGAGAACCCTAGGCTAAAGTCGTTGACTATGGGCTCGTGGGCGTCTTGAAAAGGTGACATACACAGTGTGTAGACTCTGGGGGACTGAGCTTTACCATTCCAGAAAGTGTTTGTGTCTCTCTTTCTGAAAGGACTTTCTGACTTGATCAGCCACCAGCTTGGGACTAACAGCCCTTCCTGCAAGGGTGTTCTTCCTCAAATGGGTAGCACTTGCACTTTCCATGGAAAGAGCTGGTTTCATCTTCCTTTCCTGGGAACTCAGCATCACTCTTGCAGGTTGTCTTTCCTGTCTCATAAGCTTGCTTTTTGCTTACTTTTATTGCTCTCACATTTCTCCAAAGACTCATAACTTCTCATACTCCAAGCACAGAGGTAGGGCTTGGAGGTTGTGATATAAACCCAGCAAGTGGCTAGCTCTTTTCAGTGTTCATGTTTTCCCTACTTGAATGTGGGGCCTATGGAAATGTTAAGTTGCCTTGCAGTTTCAGAAATGCCAAGTGCTAAAAACATTATGTGTTTAATGGAAGGCCTAGGTGATTTTAAAAAACCTCAGCTATCAGGCTCCTTGTGGCTAATGGCAATAACACTGCTGCCCAGGTAGGCTTTGAAGGACAGGCCATAATTCTTACTTGGGGCTCTGCTCACTCCACAAGTCATTCCAGCTCCATCTTCAGTTTTGTAATGTTACCAGGGTGCCCATTGGTATTAAAGCCCACGGCGGCCCAAGAATTCTCCTGTCAGTTGTATCAAGTGTGTCCCTATAAGCTCTACCATGTACCTACAGTCCTAGGGCTAGAGCTGGTTTTGGCTTACTTTCCTCATTGAGACAGTTTAGGTTCACCCAGAGGTGACTCTACACTTGTAAAATCCCCAGTCTGCTGGCATGATTAAGTGATAGCTCTTTATTTTTATTTTTATTTTTTTTTACTATATGGAGTCTTACTCTGTCACCTAGGCTAGAGTGCAGTGGAACGATCTCGGCTCACTGGAACCTCCACCTCCCAGGTTCAAGTGATTCTCCTGCCTCAGCCTCCAGAGTACCTGGGATTACGGGTGTGCCCACACCTGGCTAATTTTATTTTTATTTTTATTTTTTTGTAGTTTTGGTAGAGAAGGGGTTTTGCCATGTTGGCCAGGCTGGTCTCGAACTCCTGACCTCAAGTGATACACCTGCCTCGACCTCCCAAAGTTCTGGGGTTACAGGCATGAGCCACTGTGCCTGGCCGACAGCTCTTTAAATGTGCAGAGTGTTCTCTACCATGAAGCCCAGGTGGGCCCTTATGACATATGGGGAAACCACTTCTAGCTGCATAGCATGTCGGGGGGCCTTGCTGGGCCCTTCTGGCCCACACCACTGATGCCTCCTTTAGTTTGTACTTTTAAATTACAAGAGTGAGAGGATCACATCACAAAGCCAAAGATTTCAGTTCTATTCTGGATGAAAGAAAAATTTATCCTAGCCCTCTCCGTGAATGTGTGCCTAATGAGTTAGAAACAAAAACCCATAAAGTTTTCCTGTTACTGTGAGGCTTGATTCACCTGTTTATTCAGGCTTTTCCTGGAGTTGGGGTGACTGACGGGTTGCGTGTGGTGGAAGGGCCTCCTGGAGACCCATGAATGACATCTGGGCCACTGTGTTTTTGGACGATGTTCATTAGGTCAGAACTGTGGACAGGGAGGAATGTTTTCATTACAAGGCTTGGTGCAGCTTCATGAGAAAAGGAATCTAGGGAAAGCTTCCAACACCCAAATTATGCTGCAGGCACAGGACCAATGGTGGCACTCTCTCTCCTCCACTCCCTCCTGCCTGACCCTCCCCTGTCAACACTGTCTCAATTTAGTTATAAGCAAGACCAAGCAGAAGTTCTCCCTTACCGCCTCTCTCCATGTCATTACACAAGCACCTTCCAGAAAGAACACAAGGGCCAGCTCTGAGAAATCTAGGGTAATCCGCTTCGTGACCTGCAGTGGAAGGAATTTGGGCCTTGTGCCAACATGCTGATGCCACGAAGGTTAACTAGTATTAAAAACAGGGTGGAGAACCCCATCAATAAATAAGAGGAAGTAAGATTTGGGACTGCTTCTGCAGCCTGATTAAATAGGGAGTTTTATCAGGGGAAATTCTGCACCCATATGGGGGCTCACCCTGGGTCCTCAGTGCTCACACTGCCCTCTCCTCCTACTCTCTCCTGCCATGTGCCTGTCTCCTGGGAACAGTCCCCCCAATATTGTCCGAAAAGCTCACACCTCCATGGTCTATTCTGGATAAATGCAATCAGTGAGGAATGTTTCTCTGTGAAATGGGACCTGAGGCTTGAGGTCCTTAGGTTTGGCATGAAAGGAGACAGGGGAGGTGGGACAGCCCCAGCCCCAGGGAGTCTCTCACTGCCTGCTCCAGGCCCTCAGCTGGGCACATTATGCAGGCTGACTTGATGTATACTCCCTGTGATCCTGTAAAGTACAAATGATTATATTCCAGATGAAGAAACATGGTCTCAGAGAAGTTAAGTTTATTTTGCTCCTTGCTGTTCTCGAAAGATTTGAGGTATTTAACAAAAGTGCTTATGATTCAAAAGGAAAACAATACAGGCTTGATGGGGAGAAGGAAGATAAAGGCAATGCTTGGAAGGCGTGATAAGCTACCCAGAAATGTACACCATGCTGGGCTGGTCGAGTGGTCAGAGGTGGCCATACGTTTGGCTCGGGGTTTCCTAGAAGCCAAAACAGAAGGAACACAATTTATATTTAGAAAAGTGAAGCAACTGACACAGGAAGTAGAGTAGCCAGGATTTGAACCCAGGTTTTTCCAATGCCAAAGCTCATTCATTCCCTCATTTGTTTGTAAGTTGGGACTTGTGTTACGGTCTTCAATGGAGGCTGAGGTCCAAGTCACAAGAAGTCCAAGGCACAAGAAGCTCAACTGCAAGTCCTGCCACACAGTGACAACAGCCACCAATGTGCTGTCAAGATTTGGATCAAACACTCCATGCCAGGCTCATCAAGAAGCAGCTAGATGGGGTCTGCCCCCTACACATTCCCCTCCCAGTGGCCCCTCCCTAGCCCGTATGGGTCCTCCTAGCACCCAGGCCATGTGTGGTGAGGGGCTGACATCTCATCAAGGGAGAGGGGATACTTTCCCTTCTTGGATGCCACATGTAAAGACTGGGGAACCATATGAAGGGAAACTACTTGGCTGGAGGTTTGCTGAGCTGTAGAATCCACAGGCTCACCCTATGCTGTCACCAAAATTCAGCATGATGAGAGAGCTCTTGGACAGGTCAACCTGGGTCCTCGAGGGAGAGGGAACATGGATGTAAAGACTGGTGCCCACACAGGCCTATACAGTTCTGAAGGCAGAGGCCCCCTGGAGTCGTTGGTACCAGTCAGACTTGATGGGATTGTGGGGCAGTGTCTCTGGGAAGAGGAGAGGGCAGCTCCAACCCTATCAGATTCTCCACAGCCCTTGGAGGGCAGGAAAAGTATCTTAGAAGGTTGTCTTCTTCTTGGCTCATTCTTAGAAGAGTTACCAGGGCAGGTAAAAACAAAAACCAGAACCCCAAAATCCTTTAAGGTAGAGACTTTGAACAAATTGTTGAAATCTATTAAGTCCTTAGTTTGTTCATCTATGAAATGGGCATAGGACCCTTTCCTCTACCCCCCTAAATTTTGTGAGGCTTCACTGAAACTGGTGTAGTATGTGTCTCATGGGCCTGACTCACATAGGTCACTTGAAACATGGTTGTGGAATCTGGTTTCATGTTATCTTTGTTTTTGTCTTCTTCTTTTTTTTTTTTTTTTGAGTCTGTTCTGTTCTGAGGAATCACCAGGATATACTGTTCTTGTGAATTGCAGTCCTGTCTTCTTACTTGTACTGCATTAAAATCTTCTGGAGAATTTTAAAAACACATATTCCTGAGCCCAGTCAAGTTTCTGTCTCCATCTGCCAGAGGGAAACACTAGAATCAGAAGGTTAAAAGCTCCCCAGGTGATTCTGTAGTGAAGTATGAGTACTTCTGCATCCGGCTATGCTTGGAAATCCTGAGTGGATTGTAGGTGTTATCCGCCCCTTGCTCAAATAGCACTCCTCTGCTTCTATAAAATTTGTGAAATTCCCACGAGGCTCTCACCTTGGCCTGAAAAGCAAAGTTATTTAAAAAGAGTGCAGAGAGCCATTGTTAACTACTACTATTCCAGCTCTGATGGCTTATTGGATCAGCTCATCAACCTCAGATGTCCCTGAAGGAGCAGGGCTTCTAGATAGATGCCCTTTGATGAGTGAGTCGCTGAGAATTATTCCAAGCCATAGAATCTTGCTTGGGCAGCCAGTGAGAGGTGGTACCTTGAAGAGGAAAGAAAGGGGAATAGAAAAGGAAGCTAGTCTCTCTCATTTAATTAGCCTTTGTATCATGAATAATTTTTTCACTTTTTATTTGAAATAATTTCATTCTGTAAAGTAAATAGATTAAAAACATTTCTGGCATATAAAGTTATAAAAATAGTACAAGGACTTTCTTATATATGTTGCTCAGCTTCTTCAAATATTAACCTCTCAGAAACCAATTCTATGATCAAAACCAGAAAACTAACATTGATAGGAAAGAACTTTACAATGAGAATTACAAACCATTGCTCAAAGAAATCAGAGATGATTCAAACAAAGGGAAAAACATCCCATGCTCATGGATAGGAAGAGTCAATATTAAAGTGGCCATACTTCCCAAAGCAATTTACAGATTCAATGCTATTCCTATCAAACTGCTAATGACATTCTTCACAGAACTAGTAAGAAAACTATTTTAAAATTCACTTGGAACCAAAAAACTCGAATAGCCTAGGCAATCCTAAGCAAAAAAACAAAGCTGGAGACATCACATTACCCAACTTCAAACTATACTGCAGGGCTACAGTAACCAAAACAGCATGATACTGGTACCAAAACAGGTACATAGACCAATGGAACAGAACAGAGAGCCCAGAAATAATGCCACACATCTATGATCATCTGATCTTTGACAAAGCTGACAAAAACAAGTCATGGGGAAAAGGCTGTCTATTCAATAAATGGTGCAAGGATAACTGGCTAGCCATATGTAGAAGATCAAAACTGGATCCCTTCCTTACACCATATACAAAAATCTACTCAAGATGAATTAAATACTTAAATGTAAAACCGCAAACTATAAAAATCCTGGAAGTCGACCTAAGCAATACCATCCTGGACATAGGAATGGACAAAGATTTCATGATGACATCAAAAGCAAAAATTGACAAATGGGATCTAATTAAACTTAAGAGCTGCACAGTGAAGGAAACTATCAACAGATTAAACAGCCTACAGAATGGGAGAAAATGTTTGCAAATTATGTATCTGACAAAGGTCTAATATCCAGAAACTATAAGGAACTTAAAAACAAATTTACAAGAGAAAAACAACCCCATTAAAAAGTGGGCAAAGGATAAGAACAGATACTTTTCCAAAGAAGACACATATGCAGCCAACAAGCATATGAAAAAACTCAATATCACTGATCATTAGAAAAATGCAAATCAAAATAAAAAAGAGATACCATCTCACACCAATCAGAATGGCTACGAAAAAGTAAAAAAATAACAGATGCTGGCAAAGTTGCAGAGAAAAGGGAACACTTAGACACTTGGCAGGAGTGTAAATTAGTTCAACCATTGTGGAAAGCAGTATGATGATTCCTCAAAAAGCTAAAAACAGAACTACCATTTGACCCAGCAATCCCATTACAGGGTATATACCCAGAGAAATACAAATCTTTCCACCATATTGACATGTGCATGCATATGTTCACTGCAGCACTATTCACAATAGCAAAGACATGGAATCAACATAAATGCCCATCAATGACAGATTGGGTAAAGAAAATATGGTACATATACACCATGCAATACTATGCAGCCAGAAAAAATGAGGTCATGTCTTTTGCGGGAACATGGATGGAGCTGGAGGCCATTGTCCTTAGCAAACTAATGCAGGAACAGTAAACCAAATACCATGTGTTCTCACTTACAAGTGGGAGCTAAATGATGAGAACTTATGAACACAAAGAAGGGAACAACAGACACTGGGCTCTACTTAAGGTTGGAGAGGAGCAGAAAAAATAACTATTGGGTACTAGGCTTAGTACAAAGGTGGTGAAATAATCTGTACAATAAATGTCTGTGATACGAGTTTACCTATATAACAAACCTGCACATGTACCTCCGAACCTAAAATAAAAGTAAAAAACCCAGCTCAGTGATCAAAACCAGAAAATTAACATTAACATGAAACAAATTACAGATTAATTCTGTGGAATTCAATTAAAATTTGATTTCAAATTTAATCATTCAAATTTCTTCAGTTATCCCACAGATATCCTTTTTTCTGGTTCAGGATCCCATCCGGGATCCCATATTACATTTAGTTGCCATATTTTTTTCCCAGCATCCTTTAACCTGGAACAGCCCCTCTGTGTTGTTTTTTTAAGACTGATGCTTTTGAAGAGTACTAACTGGCTGTTTTGTAGGATGAACGCCAGTTTGGGTTTGTCTGATGTCTCCTCTTGATTCAATTTAGGTTATTCATTTTTGGCAGGAATACCACAAGAGATGATGTTGTTCCCTACTAAGGACATTACAGGAGGTGGCACAAGATTAAATGTTTGCACTTTTAGAAGAACATCTTAGAAGGGCCTATACTTATTTTTACAATGAATACACAGTTTTTAGCAATAATGAAGAACAGGTGAAGCTGCATCCTGAACCTGCTCTATAAGCTCTCCTTCTCTGCCCTCCTGCACCACGTCTTAACCTTAGCGCTTGGCCTTTCTTTCCACATGCTTCCTTCGCTAAGCGTGTCTGCCTAGAATATAAGGACTCCTCTTAGAGGGGCGAAGTACTTTGGGAAAGATTTGTACAATTGCTCATGAAAAGAAGCCCAAAGAGTAATAAAAATGTAGTAACTGCCTCTAGTTAAGCACATTTTTTTTTTTTGGAAAGAAAATTGGATATAATAAAAGTTGAATGTGGTTGAAGAAACAAAGACGTTTATGCATCTGTGTGTGTGCAAGATTTGCCAATAAGGGAAAAACTTAAACAAACTGCAGAAAATATAGTTGTTAGTACAAAATTAGCTCATGTTTCAAGTGGGTAGGAGTGAAATACTTCAAAATAGTAGAGAAAGAGAGGAGCTGAATGGAACTGTGAATGAGAAAGTAAGAGCCAGGACATTTTTGCCTGCCCTGCACAGTTAGAGGTCACATAATTTTAGGATAAATTTTGCCAGAGTGACAGCATCCAGAATGTGCTTGTGTTGCATGGATGGATCGTTTGCCTCGCTTGGGTCCTTTAGGAATAGATTAAAAGCTTTATCATAGGAAAAGTATTAAAAGCACCAAAGACGAACTTCAGTTTTATAATTGTTCATCCATTTGATGATGTTGGCTGAGGTCAAGAAAAAAATAACCAGAGAATAAGAGGGCTTTATTTTTAGAGTTGAATGCCAATGACCTTATTTTTGGAGAAAATCATATTATACTCAACTTAAAAGAGGAAAACAAAAGAGAAAAGGACAAAATACACAGAAAAAAGAAAATACACAGAAAAACATTTCCTGGATCAAACACTTAAACATTTTGGCATCCTTTAAGATCTCTTTTTATCCATATACCCACAGAGAGGTTTGCCATCTTATAATGAGACTGCACATGCTGGTTTCTATCCTGTTCTCTTTTTAGTCCTTCTCTTTTTCTGCTTAAAAGTAACAACTGCTTATTGTAAAGAAAAAAAATCAAACGTTTTAGATCATATGTTTCATCCAAACGTTATGATGCAGAATATGAAAATCTCCCCTAGTGATAAACATTTAAATAGTTTGATGTATTTTACTTGATTTTCTCTATATCGTCTTGGAGCTTAGTTTTTTCACATAATGTATCTTAGGCCTAACACCTGTCTAATGGATATAGAGGGGGTCACTTGACCTTTTTGGCATTCGAAGTTTCTTTTCTTTGGAATATGGTGGTATGAAATGTGCATTGATCACCTGCCTCTTAGGAATTTCTCTCATTTCTTATTCTATATTTTGGGAGCATCTGTCTCCATTTGCTACCTCATCTCTGTTCAAAATTCTCCTGCATTGACTTCACGACACTGCTTCCCATCTCACCACCCTCTCCTTCCTCCCTGCTCTCCTCAAACCAAGGGCTCATTGCTGTTTCCTGATCCCTTGTCCAGTGTCCAGCCTGGTTTTTCATCTTGTTTCTCACACATGGCTCTTTCTCCCCCAACTCTGGCTTGGATCCCCCCACCCCACGGGTCTTCTTCCAGGGAGACTGCGTACCTCCTACAGCTTCAGCTCTTAAGTGGGACCCTAACTGGGAATCTATATTCATTTCCTAAGGCTGCTGTAACAGAGTACCACAAACTGGGAGGCTCACAACAACAGAAATGTTTTCTCTACAGTTCTGAATGCTAGAAGTCTGAAATCAAGGTGTTGGCCAGCTATGGTCCCTCTGAGGGCTCTGGGGGAAGATCTTTCCTTGCCTAAAATTCTAGCTTCTGCTGGTTGCCTGCGATTCTTGGCACTCTGGTTTGTAGATGCATCACTCTGTTGACCAAAAGAGTCAAACTCTGTAAAATGGTAGAAGAGATGTATTCTGAGCCAAATACAAGAGACAAATGGCTCATAACACAGCCCTCAAGAGATCCTGAGAACATGTGTCCAAGGTGGTCAAGGTACAGCTTGGTTTTATACATTTTAGGGAGACATGAGACATCAAATACACTTAAGATATACATTGGTTTTGTCCAGAAAGGGGGGACAAATGGAAGCTTCCAGGTCATAGGTGGATTCAAAGATTTTCTGATTGATGATTGGTTGAAAGAGTTAAGTTATTGTTTAAAGACTTAGGAATGTCTGGGTTAAGATGATGGGTTGCGAGACCAAGGTTTTGTCATGCAAGTAAGGCCTCCAGGTAGCAGGCTTCAGGGAGAGTAGATGGTAAATGCTTCTTATCAGATGTATAAGTTTGATAAGTCCATTTCCAAGTAAGATCACTTTCTGAGGTGCCAGGTACATATCCATTTTGGGGGGACCTTATTCAACCCAGTACACTGCTGTAGGTTATATTACCACTTTCCTTTTAGACATTTTTTGTTTGTTTGTTTTTTGTGATGGAGTCTCACTCTGTTGCCCAGGCTGGAGTGCAGTGGTGTGATCTTGGCTCACTGCAAGCTCCGCCTCCCGGGTTCACGCCATTCTCCTGCCTCAGCCTCCTGAGTAGCTGGGACTACAGGCACCCACCACCATGCCTGGTTAATTAATTTTTTTTTTTGTATTTTTAGTAGGGACAGGGTTTCACTGTGTTAGCCAAGATGGTTTCGATCTCCTGACCTCATGATCCTCCTGCCTCGGCCTCCCAAAGTGCTGGGATTACAGGCTTTAAGGCATTTCTTTGTTCATGTTCCGCAGATGTTTTCAACTCAATATGTCAAATAATAACCTTATTTTCACACCAATCCTCTAAGCAGAACCTGCTCCTTCTGAAGGGATTAATGGAGTCACTTTCCTTCCAGTAACAGGCTGGGGATCTTGGCATTTTCATTTCTTTTCATCTCAACAATCACTTGCCAGGCTCTCTGACTCCTCCATCAGCTATTTTCACATCCAGCCCTTCCTTTAACCATCACAGCCACTGTCCTTGTGTAGAGCTTTGACTCTGATGCCTGGAGAGGCCAGAGAACAAATATAATGATGAAAAGGGGGTGTGACACAGTAGGGAGGGACATGGACTCTGGTGGGCTGAGAAGCTGGCCTCCTCTGGAAGTATTCAAATCTAATTCCACCTCCTCCTCCAAAACTCTGGAGCTCTCAGTCTTCCTGTGTGCAACCCAGGTTCCACTCCTTGTGTCTCCAGCCTGGGTTAAAGTAATCATTTCTTTCTTTCTTTTTTTTTTTTTTTTAAGACGGAGTCTGGCTCTGTCGCCAGGCTGGAGTGCAGTGGCGCAATCTCGGCTCACTGCAAGCTCTGCCTCCCGGGTTTACGCCATTCTCCTGCCTCAGCCTCCCAAGTAGCTGGGAATACAGGTGCCTACCACCACGCCCAGCTAATTTTTTGTATTTTTAGTAGAGACGGGGCTTCACCGTGTTAGCTAGGATGGTCTTGATCTCCTGACCTCATGATCCACCCGCCTCGTTCTCCCAAAGTGCTGGGATTACAGGTGTGAGCCACTGCGCCCAGCCTAAAGTGATCATTTCTTAAATACATTACCCATGGTAGCCCCAGTCCATCCATGACAGAGAGACTTTCCTGAAATACAGATTGGAAGCTGCTGTTTTCTCTATTAAATTGTACCAGGGCTTTCCATTCTCTATGCTGGTGACTGGCTTCCAGTATGCAGACACACACATTAGGTAGTCTGCAAGAGGTGGACAGGAGGGAAATTTTGGAACTATGTATATTCCGATGTTAAAAAAGATGGAGGCCGGGTGCAGTGACTCACAGCTGCAGTCCCAGCACTTTGGGAGGCTGAGGCAGAAGGGTGGTTTGAGCTCAGGAGTTCCAGACCAGCCTGGGCAACATAGCGAGACCTCATCTCTACTAAAGATAAAAGAAATCAGCTGGGCATGGTGGCCTATGCCTGTAGTCCCAGCTACTTTGCAGGCTGAGGGGAGAGGATTACTTGAGCCCAGAAGGTCAGGCCTGCAGTGAGCTATTGCACTGCAGCTTAGGCGACAGAGCACAGCCTGCAGAGGAGCCAAAGCTTCACCAAAGTGCAAAGAGGGTGCCAGTGGAATTCATCCTTATGCCGCAATGGACATGAGCCCAGGGATAAGTTTTTAGTATCTAGTTTTAACTAAACTCTAGTAAAATGGACAAGGGGCTTAAAATTGCTTCAAGGACTGAAGAAGATACTAGTGTTGAAGTGCAAACAAACAAGAAGCTAAGTCTGGTTCAAGCCCTTGGTCAGCTGGTTTATGAGGTAACAGCAATGACAATCTATGGAGCCCTGCCAAGCAGTTGGCTAAACAAATTCAAAGTTGTGAAGAAGACTGTTTGAAATGCAGATGTTAAATAAAAGTTTTGCTAGGTAAATGTACATTGTGCTTTGAGGATGTGCCTCTGCCAATATGAGGCCATCGCAACCAGCAAGGCATTTAAACTTAAAATCCTCCTTTTAAGTTAATATATATTTTTATCTTTCATAAGATAGTATGACACATTAATGTAGTGAATCAGATATATAATTTCTAAGTAAATAAACACAAATACCCATATTAGCGTTATGTACTTAGAGATTTTTTAAATGAATGGAGTGTGTGATCACAAGTTTGGAAAACAGTGGTCTACAGAGTCAGGTTCATGCTCCTTAGCACTGCATGTCAGGCCGGTAGTCACAGCGCCTAACCTTTTTAACCTCGCCTCCACTCTCTCTCTCTCCATGGGCGAAATCTACGGCTTATGTGTCCTGCTATGGTTTGACTGTATCCCCCAAAAAGTGCATGTTGGAAACTTAACTGCCGACGCAGCAGTGTTGGGTGGTGTGGCCTAATGAGATGTGATTCGGCCATGAGGGCAGAGTGAATGGGTGAATGCCATTGTCACAGGAGTGGATTCATTACTGTGGGAGAGTGGGTTTGTAATAAAACAGGGAGTTTGGCTCCTTTTCCTCATAACTTCTACCACGTTTTGAGGCAGAAAGAAGGCCCCTGCCAGAGGGCAGCCCCTTGTTCTTGGACTTCCCAGCCTCTAGCATTGTGAGAAATAAATTTCTGTTCATTATAAATTACCCAGTCTGTGGTAGTCTGCTATAACAGCACAAAACAGACTAAAGCCAATTTGCACACTTGGTTCCTTGGCTTCGGTTGTTTTCTCTGCCTGTCAAAGCTCCAGTCTCCTCCTCTTGTAACGTTTCTCTCCTCTCCAAGGTGGGATCACACGCCACCTCCCCTGAGTCTGTCCTTATTCTCAGTCACTCTTTCATTCCTGTCTGCTCTTGCTCACATGGTTTCTCACACCTCTGTTCAGCTTCTACGCTTGGGCAGGTGCTGCTGGCTTGTGTGTGTGTGTGTGTGTGTGTGTGTGTGTGTGTGTGTGTGTGTTGACCCTGTGCTGCGTGACTGGAAGCTCCCTGAGGAGGAGCCTGACTATTCCTCATTCTTTGTCACCCCTCCTCTTCCCTTCTGTACTCCAACAAGGTACTTACCCATTCAATGCATTTTTTACAGAATTGACCTTTTTTTTTTTAAATGTTCTCATATTAATGACCTTTTATACTTGAGCACAGTCTACATTTCCTGTACAAAGAATGAGGATCATTAGTAATTGAGGAAATGATGAAATCCAGCCATTCTGACACTGTTCCTTATCTAGGATCTCTCGCTTTCTCCCCAAAGCTGCTTATTAGGGAAGTTTTTACAGTGATAGAACATGGCGAAAGAGCAGAGGACAAATCTCAGAAGGACAATGAGATAAAAATGGGAGATTTTCCTTCTGGTTCTTTTGTTACAAAAGCCTTGTTTTATAAACAAATTTATCTACCTGCCAATAGCAGAAGTCACTTCTTGGCTAGAAAAGCATTTTCTTTTCCTTTTTCAGTTCTGTAAAACTTATGTTGTATCCATTTTTAGGCAAAACAAAAACTTTTTTTTTTTTTAAACCTGGGTATGAATAAGTTATAAATATTAAATGCAAAAGAAGGGAGCTTTTATAGTCAGTATTACCTATGTTGTTACTAACCTCAGAAAGGGCTACTGAAGGGAGCTGTATGTGGCAAGATGCTGCCAGTTCTGTGACTTTCTTGTTTGCCTGCTGCATTACTTTGGACAGCTGCCTAGAATGACCTTTATTGTTTATGGTGGAGCTGCACATGTAACAGTGAAGAGAAATCTAACATAGTTGACTCCATCTTGCTTCTAACCTCACAAGCTAACTGCCTTTTCTCATTTCTGCATGCAGGCCGAGGTAACTCTGGTAGAAATTTAGTTTATAGTTTAATTTAAAGCAAAGGTGATAACAGTCCCTTCCCAAAACTAACCCCTGAGGAGATAAGGAGGGTATACACACTAATAACCATGTTGTATTAAAAATGTACAGGAGCCTTGTGACCTGACCAAGGACAAGATGTTTTGCAACCCTTTGGACTCCTGCTGATGCCTGGATGTCTGTGGTCACTTGTTACTGCCTGACCTCAACCCCTAACCTCCTCCTTGTTTCCCTTTCCCCAATATAAAAACAAGCTTGAGATTCATGCCTTTATTTTCATTTTTTCAAGATGGAGTCTTGCTCTGTTGCCCAGGCTGGAGTGCAGTGGCACGATCTCGGCTCACTACAACCTCCACCTCCTAGGTTAAGCAATTCTCCTGCCTCAGCCTCCTGAGTAGCTGGGATTGCAGGCATGTGCCACCATGCCCAGCTAATTTTTGTATTTTTAGTAGAGATGGGGTTTCACCATATTGACCAGGCTGCTGTCAAACTCCTGACCTCATGATTCCCCCGCCTTGGGCTCCCAAAATGCTGGGATTACAGGTGTGAGCCACTGCGCCTGGCCGAGATTCATGCCTTTAAAGATGGTTCTTTACAACACTAGTCTGCCATCTTCTTGGTTTGTTGGCCATTGAAATAGTCGTTTTGCTTCCCCCAGCACCTTGTCTCTTGACTTACTAGCTATTGTGCCGTGAGTGGTATGAGTTTTGTACCTGACAACACACATATAAACCAAACAAAAAAGTAATTTTCAATTATAAATCTCTTATAGTGTGTTTAAGCAAGCATAAGAACATGCATGTGTTGTAAGAATGATAAAAAGATAATATCTAGTTTTGGCTAAGTGGTGGGGCAAAGCACTTCTTGTCTCCTGTTGGCAGGAGTTTGAACTGGCATAATTTTTCTGAAAGAAAATTTGGAAAAATTCTTTAAACACTAAAAGTGCGTATTTTTTGATGTAACAATGCCATTTCTAGCAATGTATTCTAAAGATATAATTACAGTTTTGAACAGAGATTTAGCTATAAGGATGTTCATTGTAGCATTGTTTACAATAACAATGAAAATTAGAAATGACTTACATGTCCAATAATAGAATATTGGTAAAATAAATTATAGTTTTTCCATACAACAGAATAATTAGCAGCCAGTACAAACTGAGTTGTAGCAGAATTTTTAATGATACAATATATTGTTAAGTCAGTTAAGCAGGCCATAAATAGTACATTCAGCCTGACTGTAATTTGTTACAAAAAACAAGCATGTGCAACTTTGATTTTCTAGCTTCCTCTAGCAACAAGAGGCTACACTTGTTTTTAGTATTCATATCCTGTGGCTCTATTCCCCATCTAGTTTGATTGCATGATATTCTTTCTTCTAGAAGATTCCCCTTCCCTGTGTCTCATTACCTTAGCCTGGAGCTTCATCTCTTTGCAGGGCACCTCTTGTTCCCTTAATATCTCTCTTCATGAGGCTTTGCAGAAACATGGACAATGGGTTAATTCTCCAAATGCAGGTTAGACTGAGCTGTGATGTATAATGCAACTTTGCTGAGTGCTTGGGTATAATATATGGAAATTGCGAACAAAAAAAAAACTTAAAATTGATTATGAGATACATTTGCTCCTAGAAAACTTAAGCTTGTGTCAGTTTCACCCACTGTGTCCTGTAATGGCTGCTTCTTTCCTTGTCATCCAGCCCATGGCCATTTTGCAAGGACTAACTTATTACCTCTTGCCAGAGTGTCCTTCAGCTTTTCTCTTCCCAGGAGTCCTTGCCACCAATCTCTCTGAGACCCCAAAGAGGGAAAAACAGCTTCCCTAAAAGGAAACACAATTTGTAGAAATGAATTCCACCCACATGAAGGATAGTTACATTTACATTAATTGTGCTGAGTGATTTAACCTAGTGTGTGAAACCTCCTCGTTTCAGAATGGGATTTCAGAAAAGGCCATGAAAGAGATCTTTTTCTTGCCACACCTCTTACTCCCCCAAACAAAAGGACAACCTGACTCAAAAAGAAATATCAGCTATCATTCTGGAATGCAAAACTTCTTGTGATAATAAAGGAAAATACTATATCGTTCCCCTATGCTTTTGCTTTTTACCAATAGTGTTAATAACAACAAAAAAGAAATTCAGTGTCAACTAGAACACTTATTCTACCTATAGATGGGTGTAGAAAACCCTTGAGATGTGCCCTAAGATATAAGCAATAATGACCTCTAGGTGAAGAGTTTATTAGTTAACTATTCCTGTGTAAGAAATTATCCTAGAATTTAGCAGCTTAACACAACAAACATTTATTATTTCACAGTTTGTGTGGGGCAGGAATGTGAGTGTGGCTTAGTTGTCTTGGGGCCTCTCACAAGGCTGCAGTCAAGGTGGTCAAGACCCTTGATCTGGGTCTTAGCTTAAGGCTTAACTGGGAAAGGCTGTGCTTCTACACTTCGGTAGCTCAGGTACTGGCTGTTGGCTATGGGCAAGAGATGTTAGTTCCTTGCCATGTGAGCCTGTCAATAAGGCTACTTCCAACATGGCAGCAAGTTCTGTGTGTGTATGTGAGAGAAAAAGTGGTGGGGAGAGAGAGAGGGAAAGGTCATAGGCTTTTTAGTAGTCTAATGTGTTGGGGGTCCACAACACTCACCCCCTGGCTTTGATGATTCAGTAGGAGGACTCACAGGACTCAGCACATAGTCATACTCATGGCTGTGATTTATTACCGAGAAAAGATAAAGCAAAATCAGCAAAGGAAAAAGGTGCATGAGGTAAAGACCAGAGGGAACCAGGCACAAGCTTCCAAGTCCTCTGACAGTGCAGTCACACAGGACAAACTTTACTCCCCTAGCAGTGAGCTGAAACACGTATGAGATGTTTGTCACTAGACAACCTCATGGAAGACCCAATTCCCAGGGTTTTTATTGTGGGTTAGTCACATTGACACCTGATGTCTAGCACATACCCATATTCTAGATTTCCAGAAGGAAGGCTGATGTTCAACATAACTATTGTTGGCACAAATAGCTTAGGCAGAAAGTGAGTCCTTCTTATCAGGGCATGGGGGGAACCCTTTCTCATGAAATGCAAAGGCCAGTCTTGAAAGCAGGACTGTCTAAGGAGAACAGTCTCAGGCCTGCTATGTTAACTCTTTTCTGCACACCTAATCTTAGAAATGACACCCATTGCTTTTTGTGTATTGTGTTCCTTAGAAGTGAGTCACTAGGTCCAGCCCCAGGCAAGGGGAGGAGCTTACAGAAGGACATAAATGCTGGGAAAGAAGTGTCACTGGGGGCTGTCTTAGTGACTATCCACTACACGGGGTGATTTTACTTTTTCTCATTTGTATTTTCTGTTTTTCTCTCTAATGATACGTAGTACTTTTATAGTAAGAAAAAGCCAGAAAAACATAATTATGTATACAACTTTGGTGGAAGAAAATTGGGCTTCCTGTTGGTACCATCTGCACACGTAGGTGTGGGTTTTTATGGTGTAATAATTCTCGATGGTGTTAGAGATGGTGAAGTTACCTATGAGGAAACATTGGAATGTTTCTAGTTATAAGGATAAGTGCTGGATTTAAAAAAAGTTTGGTGTTTTTAACAGCAGCAACAGTGGTAGAGGAGCTGAAGTTGACAATAATTTGCGAAATGGCAGGATGTGGAGGCTAAGGGAAACTCACCAGGCTCCAGGAAGCTTCAGACCAAGGCAAATATTGTGCCTTGACATGTTTGTCAAGAAACCCTGCAGGTCATTGTTTAATGTATGTCAATGTGGGGACAGCTGCAGGGACAGAATGAGGAGGTGTGTAGAGGGTGGAGGATGGAGCAGAGCACTTCTACCCTGGGCTGTGTGTAGGGGGCGAGTGGCAGGGTAGCAATTTCACTGCTGCTCTGAAGGGAAAGAAGAGATCTGGGAGAGAAGGATGAGGTACCTCTTCCCTCTCTGCTTTTCAGCTCAGAATTTCAGAGAGGAAGGGACTCTGGCCTGGGAGAGGAAGATGAACCTATCATATAATGACTGAGAGCTGTTGCCTGCTGGTCTAGTGTTATGGTAGTAAAGATGCCACTAAACTTCAGAGGTAGACAATGGCACAGGGACTCAGGAGTACCCTTGCTGTCAGGCATCAGAATCATGGACATTTTATGAGAGAGAGGTGGGGGGCAGGGGAGGAGAAGAGCAATGCATTCAGAAGGTCTCCTCTAGCATCCACAACACCCCACACTTGTTTCATCTTTCTTCCTCACAGTCATTAAAACCTTCTAATGCGCTATTATTATTTGATTATGTTTGTTTTTTGTCTTTTCTCTCCACCTTGATATAAGTTTTATGAGGACAGGGATTTTGTCTGTTTTGTGTCTGTTGTATAAACAGGCACTCAACAAACATTGTAAAATTGAATTAAAAAACACATATGCTAGTACTTCCCATTCATTGCCTTGCTCTGTTGCTTATTGGTATTTAAATAAAACTGCATGTGTTTGCCTTTTAACTTTGTGAATTCATCTGTAGAGCTCCATGAACTTTAAAACAGATTTGTCAATATTATAAGTAAAATAAGCTAGACACAAAAGGCCACATATTGTATGATTCCATTTATATGAGATGTCCAGAATACACCAATTCATAGAGACAGAAAGTAGATTAGTGGTTGCCACAGGCTGCGGGGCAGAGGGAGTAGAGAGTGACTGCTAATGGGTATGGGTTTCTTTTCTGGTATAATAAAAATGTTCTAGAATTAGATAGTGATAATGGTTGCACCACTCTGTAACTATACTAAAACCCACTGTAGGAGAGAAAAGTAATATACTTTCCTCATCTATTGCAAGGTTCATGACTGACACTCCTATAACAAAAGACAGATTAACAAGAGAAAAGGGTAACACATTTGTATTAGTTCTCATGCTGCTAATAAAGATATACCCAAGACTGGGTAATTTATAAAGAAAAAGAGGTCTAATGGACTCACAGTTCCACATGGCTGTGGAGGCCTCACAATCATGGCAGAAGGTGAAGGAGGAGCACAGTCATATCTTACATGGCAGAAGGCAAGAGAGCTTGTGTGGGGGAACTGCCCTTTATAAAACCATCAGATCTCTTGAGACTTAGTCACTGTCACGAGAACAGCATGGGAAAAACTCGCCCCATGATTCAGTTCCTTTCCATTCAGTCCCTCCCATGACATGCGGAGATTATGGGAGCTACAATTCAAGATGAGATTTGGGTGGGAACACAGCCAAACCATATCAGCATTTATTCAACCAAAGTTTTATAGGACATGAAAGACTTCAGAAATGAAGAACCCAAGACTCAGGGAAAAGTGTCTATTTTTGTGCTTAGGTTTGATGAAGAATGGATAGTCATGTAGAAGTATAATTGGTCAAAAAGAAGGTGTGGCCTAATGGTAATAAACTGAGGGGAACATAGCAAGGCCTGTTTGTTCTTTCCTCTGGGCATAGGGCAGGACACCTGTTACATGAGGGTCTTATGACCTACTTTCAGGGAAAGCAGGTCAAAGAATTCTCTTATGGCCAGCTGTCACACAGAAAGGAAGGAGAAGGTCTGAAAATGGCCTTCTTGTTTCTGTTTTCTTCCCAATTTCCGAGGCATTGTATTTTGCAGTAACATGTCCTGAATCCTGATGCCACTGAATTGTGTACTTGAAAAGGATGAATTTTGTGGTATGTGAATTATATCTCAATAAGATTGTTACTAATGACCCACAGATTTGTCATTAATTTCCCATGAGGTAAAGGCAGTTGTTTCTTTCCACAGATAAAACCTAATAATATCTTTCTGCAGATATATCAGGTAGCTTGTTGGCCACCTGATTTTTAACTCCTTACCATCAGGTGATATTAGGCAAGTTACTGGCTTGACTCCTGGGGCCTTATTACTCTCCTTTGAATAATTAGCACACTAATACCTACAACTAAGGGCCATGTGGGAGGTCAAATGCATTGGCCCATGCGTGAAGCCTACCACTGAGCTTAACAGATGGACAATGAGCTCAGTCCCTATCCTTTCCTCCTCCTACCTTAGAAGACCTGTAAAGCACCTGGGCCAGTGGCAAAGCAAGTTATTAGAATCTGATCACTGAGGTAGGATCCATTTCCTGGCATCTGAAATAACACATCACCTCTTGAAGCCTGTTTCTCTGCAGCAGTTCAGCATGCTTACGTTCATTAGTTGTCACAGAAAGTCCTTGTCACTTGCTCTTCGTTCTCATTAAAATCCAGAGCACAGGCTTTATGACTATTACTGAGTGCAGACAGACTCCTCCATGGCTTCCTGTTGGCCGGGTGGCTCTGCAGCCTTTCCCTCACACACAGCAGTGCACTGGCAGATGCTTCACCGCCAGTTCTCTGGGGGATATATATATTCCTGATTTGTAGCATGTGCCAATTTTCATGGTGTAAATACTCCCACCATGGCTAATTTCAAGCTACCAATGTGATATTACCGAACACAGAGTAGGGAGGAGATGGGCACAGCCAGCTCTCTCTCAAGATGTGCAAATGTGCCCCAGCATACCGCTGCCTTTGTGGGATAATTAAACCATCACTGCTTAGCAGAGCTTGTAGGCAGCTACTAGACACAACTGCTTAGAAAGAAAGGGGTTTCCTCACATGAATTTTCACAGCATGGCACCTCTGCTGGGGCTTCTGATTTCTGAGAGCTCAGCATGTAACACACAAAATTATGAGCTTGAAGCTAGGGTTGAAAATCTGCACAGGGATTTAGGGAGGAGGTGAAGAGGTGGTTAAGATCCCACAGTAAGCCTGTTTTGGAGCCGTATGTATTTTCACCATGTGTGCACTGGTGTTGGAGACAGCACATTCAGGTCATTCAGAAAGCATCAGACATTATGACTTGCAGCCTGGAAGAACTGAGTTTATGCATATTTGACAAGGTCAGAATCACATAACTAAGGTCCAAGGATTACAGGATGCATGATAAAGAGGAAGGCAAAGGTGTTTGGTGAGTTGGCAGCCTCGTACACAGAAGCTATGTAAACCCAAACTAAGGAAGCCCGCAGTCCTCTGTTGGGCTGGCCCATCCCCTTTGGGGTGGCAGGTTAAAGATGGAATGAGTTTCTGAGAGCAAAAACAAATACTGATTGAGGTGATTATGGAAATGATTTTGAATGCTGAGGCTGTTTAGAGACTGTAGGATGGAATGTGGAGGTGGACGTGTGCTGTTGTTTGCTTTGAGAATCATCTGGTTAAGGACAGTGGGTTGGTTAGAGCAACCTACCTTCTATAACGAACAAACCCCGGTGATTTCATACAAACACTGTCTTTCTCACATAACAGTCAAATGCAGGAGTTTCTTGTCTGGCTGGAAGCGAGGCAGCTCTACTTCAGGTAATCATTCAGAGATCCAGGTTGACAGTGCTGTCTTCAACGTATGACTTTCAATATTTCACTGTCAACAATATCAGCCAGCAAATAGGGGAGCAGCAAGGAAGGAGAGAAGGCATACCTACTTTTAAAAAGTATTTAATTAATTATTTATTTATTTTTAGAGACAGAGTCTCGCTTTGTTGCCCAGGCTGGAGTGCAATGGTGCAATCATGGCTCACTGCAGTCTTGAATTCCTGGGCTCAAGCAATCCTTTTGCCTTAGCCTCCTGAGTAGTCAGGGCAACAGGTGTGTACCACCTAGCTTGGCCCATTTTTTATTTTATGTTTTGTAGGGACTGGGTCTCCCTATGTTGCTGAGGCTGGTTTCAAACTCGTGGCTTCAAGCAATCCTCCCGCCTCCGCCTCCCACAGCACTGGGTGTCACCAAGCCTGGCCTCCTATCTACGTTTTAACCACATCTGTTCCATTCACATTTCTCTATGGGCTCCCTTTTGCAACAGGAGCAATTCTTGAACTGAGTGAGCATTAATTGAAGACTCTGTGCCTTTATGACAAGTTCTGTGACTTTTCAATCATTGAGTAGACTCTGGCTGGGCAGCCGCTTCCCAAGAAAAGACCTGCATTACAGAGGGGAACAAAATCTTTGGTGGGCAGTAAGCTCTGTCTGCCATAGATAGGAGCAAAATGTGCCCAAAACGGTGCTAACCAAGAGTTTTCTTTTGTTAAGACTATCTGTACTTAAACAAGCTGGACAAGTTAGCATTTTATCTCATATGTTTCCTTTCAGAGGAAACTTCACATTAGTCAAGACAGTGTGGTTCTATGTTAAACTGATAGGGCCTGGTGAATTGCCCTGGGTCTCTCCCCAGCAGGGCGGTTCTTGAGGGTGTGGCCTTTCAGCACTGGGGGAGCTATTAACTGAAGGCCCCCTGCCCTTCCTTCCATAACAACTCCTCTGATTCTTAGTTCCTGAGGCTCTTGTTAAATCCACTAATTTACTAACTCACTGCCCTTGGGATTTTAATTGAAACCAGCATGAGTAACATGCTTTGGCAATTATTGGGACAAATAAAGTTTCATCCTTTACCCCCAACTAAAGTCACTTGCTAAGGATTCAAACCTATTCCATTTCTTTTCATGCCCAGAGATTTCTAGATTTATTTCCTCAGACTCAAGCCTGGAAGACAATGAACAGTAGATTAACATATTGAAAACTGATGTTTTGGCCAGAGAAAATATCTGTTCCTCAGTGTTTTGCATATGTAGGGGCACAGTGATCCACTTCATTTGTTCTCCTCATACAGAAAAGCAGACAGTTAATTTAGCTTATGGCAATCAGTGTAGATGTCAGGCAAGTGACCGGGCAAGACTGTGGTGCTGATTGCAACAAACAATGGGAGAGAAGGGCCCGGCCATGGCTTTGAAACTGCCTTTGCAAAATTATGATGGTGAGAGAAATCTGACATGGCTCATTCCATCTTGTTTCTAGCCTTACAGGGTGGTTGTCTTTGCTCATTCCTGGGTGTGGGCCAAGCTGACTTTGGGAGAAATTTATAGTTTAAATGATAATAGCCCTTCCACAGAACTAAACTGTTCTTGTAAAACTAATGAAAGGGCCACCAAGTTAGGGGGATGAAAAGGGCTAGAATTACCAGCCATTATCCTGCAGCTCATAAGATTTGCAACTTCCCCAATTACTCTTGCAGATAACATCACTATTGTAGAACCTAGGACTGGCCTTTTGAGATGTCTTTTCAGGTTTTTGCATTTCTAACAATGGGACGGCCCCACCTGGACCTGCCAACCAGTCCTGTGGCCCCCACCCAGGAACTGACTCAGCCACAATAGGACAGCTTCAGTTCTTATGATTTCCTCTCTGACCCAGCCAATCAGCATGCCCCCTACCCTAGCCCCTTGCACACCAAATTATCTTTGAAAAAAACCCTAACCTATGAGCACTTGGGGAGATTGATTTGAGTAATAACTGTCTCCTCATGTCAATTGAACTCTTTCTTTACTGCAATGCCATGGTCTTGGTAAGTTGATTTTGTTTGTGCAGCAGGCAGGAAGAACCCATCGGGTGGTTATAGCTTGCTTAGGTGAGCACTGTGCAGAGGAGCATGAGTCATCAGCTATCCCCAAGATATTCACAGCTCTGTTCAAATGTGAAGATTGGCAACTTCATACTTTTCTTTTGATGATGTTCCAAAAGCCATTTGGTGGGCTTTAATATTTGTGCCCAAGATAGTCATTCAGATGAAACCTCCTTTGCAAAAATTGTAACAGTGAGAAAATTAAGACAGTGAAAGAGACCTGACCTAACTGACTCCATCTTGCCTTTAAACTCCAAGCTGCCTTTGTTTATTCCCGGGGTAGGCCAAGCTAACTTTGAAAGGAATTTAGTTTATAGTTTAACTTTGAAACAAAGATGATAACAGCCTCTCCCCAAACAAACTCTCTCCTTGCTTGGTGTATTAGTCTGTTTTCACAATGCTATAAAGATACTACCTGAGACTGGGTAATTTATAAAGGAAAGCAGTTTAATTGACTCACAGTTCTGCATGGCTGGAGAGGCCTCAGGAAACTTACAATCATGGCAAAAGGGGAAAGCAGGCATGTCTTACATGGCGGCAGGTGGGAGAGTGAAAAGCCCAGGGGAAACTGCAATTTATAAAACCATGAGATCTTGTGAGAACTCCCTGTCATGAGAACAGCAAAGAGGAAACCACCCCCATGATCCAATTACCTCCCACCAGGTCTCTCCCTCAACACCTGGGGATTACAATACAAGATGAGATTTGGGTGGGGACTCGAAGCCTAACCATATCACTTGGAGACCAGGTTGCCTTTGTAAAACCAACAATTAGTGACAAGATTAGAGATTATGGTTCAGGAGTCTTGTAGCTACAGGCCACAAGATCACTAATCACCCCAGTTGCTCCTATAGATGGCATCACTATCATAAAGATTGGTGTTTGAGATATTTTTCAGACTCTGTATTCTGATGGATCAGCTGGTGCCACCCAGACCAGTAAACTGGCTCATCTCATGGTCCCCACCTGGGAACAAACTCAGTGCAAGAGGACAGCTTTGACTCCCTGTGATTCCATCCCTGACCTGACCAATCAGTATTCCCCATTCCCTAGGCCCCTGCCTGCCAAACTATCTTTTAAAAATCCTAGCCTCTAAATTTTCATGGAGGCTGAATAAAACTGCAATCTTCTGTTCAGCCAGCTCTGTATGAATTAAACTCTTTCTCTTTAGCAATTCCCCTGTCTTGATAAATTCACTCTGTCTAATCAGAAGCAAGATGAACCCATCAAGCTGTTACACAGCCTTCCACAAAAGACAATGGATTAATGCTACCAACTATTTCCAGGCAGCTCAGCCAGTGAGGGCTAAAAACATTGAAGATTTCTGTGTTGAAAATCCCCTCTTCCTATCTCACTCTCTATTGCCTCTCTGTAGCTTCTTTTTCCTTTTATTGTTGTCCTTGATATTTCACCAATGTGAACTTGGTAGGGAGTATGGCCCTCAGATGACAAACCAGATCCCAGACATTAGACCCTCCTAGAGTTAACACTGACCAGAGGTGTCTAATTGCCAGGATGGGGATATGCCTTGGAGCCAATTTTCTTCTACATGATTGGGGTGAGAAATTGAATGGCTCCCACAGGGCTCTAGGAATGTGGGTTTGGCTGCAAGAACTCCAAGTAGCCTGATATTATGGAGTCTTCACTGAACAAATGCATTTTCTGCACTAGTCAGGATGAAAAAATATCGATTCTTATGCAGACAAACAAGATCGAAATATTCAATTGTGTTTATTTTCTCTGAGTGACAATCCATCTATCTTTTAGTATTTCCCTTACTAGGAAAGTTTAATGTGGAAAAATACTAGAGCTCATTCAGGAACGGCAAATAGATAACATTTCACATGTGATCTCTAATAGATTGGTTGTGCCTGTCTGGAGAGTTATGCTAAGCAGAATTCTGACACTGCATCTACTTTTTGCATGAAAAACAGTCACAGTTGATTAGTAATGTCTGCCCTGGGTGCAGGAGTCAGAGCAGTAGACATGTTTACCACATTCACTCATTCATTCAGTCACCAAATATTGAGTGCCTATATTGCATGCAAGGGACTCTTCTAGGGGCTATGGCACAGTTGTAGTTGCTGAGGTTCTGTTCTAGGTAGAGGGCAGTGTTCTAAAAGCTGACTGTATTTACTATTCCTAAGTGACTCATCAATTTACAAGTCTTGATAGGTCAAATGATTCATCCAAGGCCACAAAATCAGTAAGAGTCAACAGGAACACAGGACTCTGACTTCCTTGTTGTCTACCTTGTGACCCTCTCACCATCACCTGGGTGAACTGTTTATCAGCAATTTTTATTCTAAAGCTGTAGTTGCAGAAAACTTCTTGACCTACTCCCATCTTTTTGTTCAATGGTGGACCTTCAATGTGGGCTGTAGCCTGGGAATAAGGAGACGTTTCTTCCTTCTTGGAACCTTCCATGCAGAATCACCTGCCGTTTTCAAGAATGTAACAGAGGCAGCAAAGCATGTGGAAAATTCCTCTTTGTTGGCAAAGACCAATGTGACATTTAGTTGAATGAGGATATTATTGAAAGGCCCTATAGGGGTTAACAGTGCCTGCGGGGAGTGGGAGCTTCATGGATCAAGGTATCACATGGTAGTTGGGTGAGTTTTTCCATGTCTGAATTCCAGGAAATTTTCCCTGATATGGTTCTGTTGTTCAAAGTAAGCCTGTTCTGCCCAGGGCTTTTGAAAGTAGGCGTGTCTAGATGGGTGGTGGAAGGGCACCTGGGGGGAGAGATTATATTTTCTCAGTAGAATCCAGTTTATTCCACCAGTTCCTGAGCTCCCCACTGCACACCCATACTTTGGGGAAGGGTGTGTGTGCCTCCCTGCTGGGCTTTTCATCTGAACTTCAAAGCACTGCAAAACAGACTACTCTGTCTCTTTTCCTGCCTGGTCTCCATGGAAAAATGGTGAGATCTGACCTCCTCCCAGTGTCTGAACTTCCTACTCAAAGCTTTGGAGGCCCTGGATTAAGATTCCAGGAAGGGCAAAACCCAAGCCACAAGTGGGGAAGGCTTTGTTTCATGCACATGAATCATTCTTTCAAAGAAATCATGAAGAGGCTCATTTATGTAACTGTGTCTATTTAAGGATTTTTCGAGAGGGTTTCTAGGAAGTTAACAAAAATCTGAGATATTCTAAAACACCTCTACCCATGGGGCACTGTTCTAACAAGCTCACTATCTGTCATTAGATGTAGCAGGAGTTGTTGGCGCCCGGCCCAAGTCCCCTTAGTCTATGGTGGACATCATTCATAGACAGCTCCTGTACAGGCACAATGGCTTCCTCGGCTCCCTGGATGAGAATATTCTCTGGCTGTGCTTCCTGGGAACAGACTTGAAGTGCTGGGGAATCAATACTCCAGGAGCCTCGCTCAGCCAATAAGGGACACAGTGATCAATTCTGAGATGTGTGCTGCACAGTCCCTAAGAGGGTCCCAGTAGGACTGAGTCCTGGCTGTCTGCAATTGCAAGTTTCTCATTTATACTCCTTAATTGGCTCGCTTCCCTTCCCTATCTCAACTTCCAGCTCAGTCATTGTGCATTCTGGTCACCTCCACAGAAACACTTGCACCTAAATCCTGGTCTCAGGGTTGGTTTATGGAGGAACCTAAACTAAGACCTGACAAACCTCTATGTCTTCTGCAGGGCCAAGCTGCCAAGAACTTCTTGAGGTCTGCAGTCTTCTCCTCTCTCTCTTGTTAGGTAGATGGATGTTTGCCCAGCCGGGATTTACCTTTTCCAGGGCAGGAGGCATCACAATGTGGACAAAGTAAGATCCACAACTTGATGGAGATACCAGACTGACCCAGAGAGACTGCATCATTACTAAGCCCAGCACCTGCCTGGGTGGTAATAAAGAGGGAGAGCTCAGTGTCAGTGGCCGTGAGATGACCCCCACCTGGTCATTGACACACCAGGTGGTGAGTGTGGATCAGCGTTTAAGAACATCCACATGATCCTGATGGGGGGCTAAAAGCAACTGGCTGGTTTGGGAAGACGAGTAGCTGGCAGTGCCCACTCTGTTGGGGACTGTGGGCAGAGGGAAGGTATGATCAAGAGATAGTCTCTGCTCTAGAGGAGCACAGGGTCTCTTTTCCTTGTGAAAATCAGTCTCTTTATTCCCTTTGAGTAGCTACATAAACCATCTCCTAGTGAATGCCAAATCCTCAGGCAAAATGGCCTTGTGTGCCTGGTGCAGGACATATTAACCATGTCATGGGTTTGAATCCATATTGGACCATGGTTACAACCAAAGCCAACTGACCTTCCTCCTCTTCCTGTCATAGCTGAGGTTGAATCATGTGACTTATCGGACATCTTTGTCTGCCCTACTTTTAGGTGACACAGCTAGGAAGAACAGTCACTCGTCCCCAGCCCAGCTGGAGGGCTGAGCCACGTGTCTATAGAGTATCAGTGACCTTCAGCCCCTGCTGCTTGTAACAAGTGTAGGGCCAGGTTCAGTTGTGTGGTATTGGCAGGGAAGGGGGAGAAGGAAAAGGGGGAAAGAAATAACCCTTTTGAAAGGAGTAGTCCTTATTTGAGAAATAGGAGGCATTCATTTTTGGTGCATTTCTTTCTTCCACACTTCCCTGTGGTGCCTTCAAAGGCCTGGCCTTGCCCGTGCTCTGGGCTCCTCTCCACTCCTTCAGGACCAGCTAAGCTGGAAACTAGTGAGCACTGGGAGGTGACCAAGTGCAAATGGGTTAACATGTTGCTAATGATAATAGCTAATACTTGTTGAGCGCTCACTTTGTATAGGCACTCTGCTAAGGACGGCACAAGAATTACTTTGTCTAATTATCTCAACAATCCCAGGAATTAGGCACTATAATTAGTTCTATTTTTAAGATAAGAAGCTGAGACACAAATGTTAACTTTCCCAAGATCACACTAGTAAGGAGTCGGGCCAGTATGTTTTTAACAAATGTTAATTCGGTACCTTCTATGTGGTATGAACCCCAAATATCAGAGAGAGGTCTCAGTTAATTTAGGAAGTTTATTTTGCCAAAGGACGCATGCCCATGACACAGCCTCAGGAGGTCCTAATGACATGTGCTCAAGGTGGTTGGGGCACAGCTTGGTTTTATACATTTTAGGGAGATGTAAGACATCAATCGATATATGTAAGAAGTACATTGGTTCTGTCCAGAAAGGTGAGACAACTCAAAGCGGGGAGGGGGCTTCCAGGACATAGGTAGGTAAGAGACAAATGGTTGCATTCTTTTGAGGTTCTGATTAGCCTCTTGAAAGGAGGCAGTCAGATTTGCATTTATCTTGGTGAGAAGAGGAATGACTTTGAGTTCTGTCTGTCCTTTGTACACAAGGAAATTCCTTGTGAGGAAGGTATGTAGGTTTTTTTAAAAAATTATTTTATTTTGTTTTATTTTATTATTATTTTTTAATTTAGTAGCTTTTTCAGGAACAGAATGTGAGGTAGGTTTGCCCTAAGCAGTTCCCAGCTTGACTTTTCCCTTTGGCTTAGTGGTTTTGGAATCCCAAGATTTATTGTCCTTTCACAGTGCAAGGCATTTATTCTAGGTGAACAAGACAGGCTCCCCCTCTAGCAGGTAAGGTCAGGTAAAAATCCAAGAGGCAAACCTAGGAGCAAACTCTAAGATTGTGATTAGTACCATGCAGATAATTAAAGGACTGAAGTGCTGGAGCTGCTCAGTGGCCCTTTTCACCTAGGGGATCAGAGAAGGAAGGCTTTTTAGGAAAGGTGACATTGACACTGCAGTCTTAGGTCAAGAAGCCAGCCTCTGAAGATGCTGGGGAAGAGAATTTCTGCAAACAGTTGCTGCAGACAACATAGCTGAGGCAAGGACAGAAAGGAGAGGGAGAGACTCCATGAGAAGAGGGAAGGGAGACGGGGCCCTTCCAGTGACTCCCATGTCACATTTTTCATGTGCCTTTCAAAACTGAAAGGGGCCCTGAGGCTCTCCTGTAGAAATTAGGACAGGCGGGTAGGTCTTGTGGTTAACAATGTGACGAGGACCAGGGCTCCCAGGGTGGGACCTGGTTCACACCCAGCCTGCTCCTGGGCTTGGCACTCTGAGCTCATCTGGGAGGCCAGGCTGTGCTTCAGCGTAGGAGTTACCCAGAGGTGTGGTCAGAGGGCTTTGTATCAGGCCCACGTTATCTCCACTCTTGGCAGGACAAGGTCTGCACAGCCGTCTCTGGGCTTGGTGCCAGCATCTCTCATTGAAAAACAGTGGCACTGATTGTAATGATGTTTTGCAAAGGAAACAAGAGAGAGAACGTGACGTGGGCTGAGATGATAGCTCACCACATTTCAGGCCCGGGCGAGTTCCGGTAGCAAAGGTTCGAACTCCTCCCTGAGAGTGTTTCCAGGAAACCCCAGGGTGTGAAACTATAGTGCCAGATGTTCTAGTAAAACGAAAACTTCCCAGAACAAATAATAACAATAACAGAAGGGTAAATTAGTCTCGTAGATATGAGAGAGAGTGAGCGAGCTCCAACACTGTAACTAGCAGGCACCTGAGTGGTTCTGGACAAATTCCATATGCCACATGTCTTGTTTCCTTCTATCCTCTAACCCTTCTCCTCTCTGTGATTTATGGGACCAGCCCGTCTGAACTGCTGAGAAAGCGATCTCAAAGAGGCAAGCAGCTGGCAAAAGGGGATGTGCAGCCTCCCACAAACAACACATTTCACACATTAAAAAAGACACTCCTGATGGCATGTGTAGACCACATGGTCAAGGCAAAGCTCGCCATCTAGGTCCTGAGCTATAGCTCTGTGCTATGGAAGGTGGCGTATGTGGCACACTATGCCAGCAATATCCCAAGGTGCTTGAATGGAACAGCTCTCCCAAACAGACAGAGTTGTGTGAGTTGCTTTGCAGAACAAATGCCTGAGAAAAGGGGGATACATGTGAGGGCTGAGGACTGTGAAGAGCTGTTAAGCAAACATCATCTACGTTAGGTGCTTTAAAAGTAGGTCAGGAAATTTTCATGTTCATGCCAATTCCACTGTAAACCTGGATTTCCTTAATGCCTAAGTCTTAAGATGTTCTGATAAAATCATTGCAATCTGGGCAAAGGTGAGGGTTTCACTGGGATGGACTCTCCTAGTTTCCTTGTGTTTGGTGATGGGAAGAACAATGAATGTGTCACAGATGTGCATGGGATCAAGTAGGGACTCTGTGCACAATGGTGTGTGTTGTTCCCTGCACAAAGATGTTTGGCCAAGGGGATGAAAGTGGGACTGAAACCCCTAGCCAGCATCCTTGGCAAAGTTATTTTCTCTGGTATGGGTCTGTCAGTCCAAGGAAGGGACACATTTTAAAAATTGGTTCTTCTAGCAGGATACTGTTTCTAATTCCCACAAAGATGATATTTTATGAATTCTTTTCATGAAGAAAAATACTTTCCATACCACTTTTCTATGATATGAATCTCTTCCTTCACTCCCCACCAGTTTTTTTTTTTAATTATTATACTTTAAGTTCTAGGGTACATGTGCACAATGTAAAGGTTTGTTACATATGTATGCATGTGCCATGTTGGTGTGTTGCACCCATTAACTTGTCATTTACATTAGGAATGTCTCCTAATGCTATCCCTCCCCCCTCCCCCCACTCCACAACAGGCCCCAGTGTGTGATGTTCCCCACCCTGTGTCCAAGTGTTTTCATTGTTCAATTCCCACCTGTGACTGAGAACATGTGGTGTTTGGTTTTCTATCCTTGTGATAGTTTGCTCAGAATGATGGTTTCCAGCTTCACCTATGTCCCTACAAAGGACATGAACTCATCCTTTTTTATGGCTGCATAGTATTCCATGGTGTATATGTGCCACATTTTCTTAATCCAGCCTATCATTGTTGGACATTTGGGTTGGTTCCAAGTCTTTGCTATTGTGAATAGTGCTGCAATAAACATACGTGTTCATGTGTCTTTATAGCAGCATGATTTATAATTCTTTGGGTATACACCCAGTAATGGGATGACTGGGTCAAATGGTATTTCTAGTTCTAGATCCTTGAGGAATTGCCACACTGTCTTCCACAATGGTTGAATTAGTTTACAGTCCCACCAACAGTGTAAAAGTGTTCCTATTTCTCCACATCCTCTCCAGCACCTGTTGTTTCCTGACTTTTTAATGATTGCCATTCTAACTGGTGTGAGATAGTATCTCATTGTGGTTTTGATTTGCATTTCTCTGATGACCAGTGATGATAAGCATTTTTTCATGTGTCTGTTGGCTGCATAAATGTCTTCTTTTGAGAAGTATCTGTCCATATCCTTCGCCCACTTTTTGATGGGGTTGTTTGATTTTTTCTTGTAAATTTGTTTAAGTTCTTTGTAGATTCTGGATATTAGCCCTTTGTCAGATGGATAGATTGTAAAAATTTTCTCCCATTCTGTAGGTTGCCTGTTCACTCTGATGGTAGTTTCTTTTGCTGTGCAGAAGCTCTTTAGTTTAATTAGGTCCCATTTGTTAATTTTGGCTTTTGTTGACATTGCCTTTGGTGTTTTAGTCATGAAGTCTTTGCCCATGCCTATGTCCTGAATGGTATTGCCTAGGTTTTCTTCTAGGGTTTTTATGGTTTTAGGTCTAACATTTAAGTCTTTAATCCATCTTGAATTAATTTTTGTATAAGGTGTAAGGAAGGGATCCAGTTTCAGCTTTCTACATACGGCTAGACAGTTTTCCCAGCACCGTTTATTAAATAGGGAATCCTTTCCCCATTGCTTGTTTTTGTTAGGTTCATCAAAGATCAGATGGTTGTAGACGTGTGGTGTTATTTCTGAGGGCTCTGTTCTGTTCCATTGGTCTATATCTCTGTTTTGGTACAAGTACCATGCTGTTTTGGTTACTGTAGCCTTGTAGTATAGCTTGAATTCAGGTAGCGTGATGCCTCCAGCTTTGTTCTTTTGGCTTAGGATTGTCTTGGCAATGTGGGCTCTTTTTTGGTTCCATATGAACTTTAAAGTAGTTTTTCTCCAAATCTGTGAAGAAAGTCACTGGTAGCTTGATGGGGTTGGTACTGAATCTATAAATTACTTTGGGCTGTATGGTCATTTTCACAATATTGATTCTTCCTATCCATGAGCATGGAATGTTCTTCCATTTGTTTGTGTCTTCTTTTATTTTGTTGAGCAGTGGTTTGTAGTTCTCCTTGAAGAGGTCGTTCACATCCCTTGTAAGTTGGATTCCTAGGTATTTTATTCTCTTTGAAGCAATTGTGAATGGGAGTTCACTCATGATTTGGCTCTCTGTTTGTCTGTTATTGGTGTACAGGAATGCTTGTGATTTTTGCACATCGATTTTGTATCCTGAGACTTTGCTGAAGTTGCTTATCAGCTTAGGGAGATTTTGGGCTGAGATGATGGGGTTTTCCAAATATACAATCATGTCATCTGCAAACAGGGACAATTTGACTTCCTCTTTTCCTAATTGAATACCCTTTATTTCTTTCTCCTCCCTGATTGCCTTGGCCGGAAGTTCCAACAGTATGTTGAATAGGAGTGGTGAGAGAGGGCATCCCTATCTTGTGCCAGTTTTCAAAGGGAATGCTTCCAGTTTTTGCCCATTCAGTATGATATTGGCTGTGGGTTTGTCATAAATAGCTCTTATTATTTTGAGATATGTCCCATCAATACCTAGTTTATTGAGAGTTTTCAGCATGAAGCACTGTTTAATTTTGTCAAAGGCCTTTTCTGCATCTATTGAGATAATCAATAGTTTGGTTCTGTTGATATGATGGGTTACGTTTATTGATTTGCATATGTTGAACCAGCCTTGCATCCCAGGGATGAAGCCAACTTGATCATGGTGGATAAGCTTTTTGATGTACTGCTGGATTTGGTTTGACAGTATTTTATTGAGGATTTTTGCATCGATGTGAGTTGAGAGAAGAAGGCTTCAGACGATCGATAATAACAAACTTCTCCAAGTTAAATGAGGATGTTTGACCCCATCGCAAAGCAGCTAAAAACCTTGAAAAAAGATTAGATGAATGGCTAACTAGAATAAACAGCATAGAGAAGACCTTAAATTACCTGATGGAGATGAAAACCATGGCACGAGAACTACATGACACATGCGCAAGCTTCAGTAGCTGATTCGATCAAGTGGAAGAAAGGGTATCAGTGATTGAAGATCAAATGAATGAAATGAAGTGAGAAGAGAAGTTTAGAGAAAAAAGAGTAAAGAGAAACAAAGCTTCCAAGAAACATGGGATTATGTGAAAAGACCAAATCTATGTCTGATTGGTTTACCTGAAGGTGATTGGAAGAATGGAACCAAGTTGGAAAACGCACTTCAGGATATTATCCAGGAGAACTTCCCCAACCTAGCAAGGCAGGAGAATTTCCCCAACCTAGCAAGGCAGGCCAACATTCAAATTCAAGAAATACAGAGAATGCCCCAAAGATACTCCTCAAGAAGAGCAACTCTAAGGCATGTAATTGTCAGATTCACCAAAGTTGAAATGAAGGAAAAAATGTTAAAGGCAGCCAGAGGGAAAGGTTGGGTTACTCACAAAGGGAAGTCCATTAGACTAACAGCAGATCTCTCAGCAGAAACTCTACAAACCAGATGAAAGTGGGGGCCAATATTCAATATTCTTAAAAGAATTTTCAACCCAGAATTTCATATCCAGCCAAACTAAGCTTCATAAGTGAGGGAGAAATAAAATCCTTTACAGACAAACAAATGCTGAGAGATTTTGTCACCACCAGGCCTGCCTTTCAAGAGCTCCTGAAGGAAGCACTAAACATGGAAAGGAACAACTGGTACCAGCCACAGCAAAAACATGCCAAATTGTAAAGACCATCGATGCTAGGAAGAAACTGCATAAACTAACAAGCAAAATAACCAGCTAACATCATAATGACAGGATCAAATTCACACATAACAATATTAGCCTTAGATGTAAATGGGCTAAATGCTCCAATTAAAAGACACAGACTGGCAAATTGGATAAAGAGTCAAGACCCATCAGTGTGCTGTATTCAGGAGACCCATCTCATGTGCAGAGACACACATAGGCTCAAAATAAAGGGATGGAGGAAGATCTACCAAGCAAATGGAAAACAAAAAAAAGCAGGGATCGCAATCCTGGTCTTTGATAAAACAGACTTTAAACCAACAAAGCTCAAAAGAGACAAAGAAAGCCATTACATAATGGTGAAGGAATGAATTCAACAAGAAGAGCTAACTATCCTAAATATATATGCACCCAATACAGAAGGACCCAGATTAATAAGGGGAGACTTTAACACCCCACTCTCAACATTAGACAGATCGATGAGACAGAAAGTTAACAAGGATATCCAGGAATTGAACTCAGCTCTGCACCAAGTGGACCTAATAGACATCTGCAGAACTCTCCACCCCAAATCAACAGAATATACATTTTTCTCAGCACCACATCACACTTACTCCAAAATTGACCATATAGTTGGAAGTAAAGCACCCCTCAGCAAATGTGAAAGAACAGAAATTATAACATACTGTCTCTCAGACCACAGTGCAATCAAATTAGAACTCAGGATTAAGAAACTCACTCAAAACCACTCAACTACATGGAAACTGAACAACCTGCTCCTGAATGACTACTGGGTATGTAATGAAATGAAGGCAGAAATAAAGATGTTCTTTGAAACCAATGAGAACAAAGACACAACATACCAGAATTTCTGTGACACATTTAAAGCAGTGTGTAGAGGGAAATTTATAGCACTAAATGCCCACAAGAGAAAGCAAGAAAGATCTAAAATTGACACCCTAACATCACAATTAAAAGAACTAGAGAAGCAAGAGCAAACACATTCAAAAGCTAGAAGAAGGTAAGAAATAACTAAGGTCAGAGCAGAACTGAAGGAGATAGAGATACACAAAACCCTTCAAAAAAATCAATGAATCCAGGAGCTGGTTTTTTGAAAAGATCAACAAAATTGATAGACCACTAGCAAGACTAATAAGAAAAGAGAGAAGAATCAAATAGATGCAATAAAAAATGATAAAGGGGATATCACCACCAATCCCACAGAAATACAAACTACCATCAGAGAATACTATAAACACCTCTATGCAAATAAACTAGAAAATGTAGAAGAAATGGATAAATTCCTGGGCACATACACCCTCCTGAGACTAAACCAGGAAGAAGTTGAATCCCTAGATAGACCAATAACAGGCTATGAAATTGAGGCAATAATTAATAGCCTACCAACCAAAAAAAGTCCAGGACCAGACAGATTCACAGCTGAATTCTACCAGAGGTGCAAAGAGGGGCTGGTACCATTCCTTCTGAAACTATTCCAATCAATAGAAAAAGAGGGAATCCTCCCTAACTCATTTTATGAGGCCAGCATCATCCTGATACAAAAACCTGGCAGAGATACAAAAAAAGAGAATTTTAGACCAATACTCCCCAACAGTTTTTTTTTTTAAACACTTCCAGAAATGTCTTCTGGGATCTTAATAAGTGACATACAAAACAAAGATTCAGTGGTAAAATAAATTTTAGAAATGCTGGGTTAACCACAAAAATATTTCTTTTAATTGCAGGATTTCTCAGAGCATTTATTATATGACCTGCATTATAAATTTCCCAGTGGTGGTTGCAGTGAGTAGAATTTCCCAAACATAGGTAACTGCGGTAATATGAAGGGTGGTTCCCCTCCAAAATTCATGCTGAAACTTAATTTCCATTACAACAGCGTTAAGAAGTGTGGCCTTTCTGAATTAAGTCATGAAGGCTCTGCCCTCATGAGTGGGATTAGAACCCTCACAAAAGAGTTTGAGGTTGAATGGAGTGTCCTTTTTGCCTTTCTGCCATGTGAGGACACAGTGTTTGTCCCCTCCTCAGGATGCAGCAAGAGTGCCATCTTGGAAGCAAGAGAGCAGACCTCACCAGACACCAAACCTACCATTACCTTGAGCTTGGACTTCCCAGCCTTCAGAACTGTGAGAAATAAATTTCTATTATTTATAAATTACCCAGTCTGTGGTATTTTGTTATAGCAGCACAAACAGAATGATACAATGACTGGGGAAGCATCTTAGAGGACTTGTGTTCTGTAAATACTTATAACACTGTTTTAAATTATCAGTGCTTCATTTCTTGGATTTCCAACTGGGAGAAGATTGCCCTGGGAGCAAGTCATTGTTTGTTTTATCAAATGAGAGTGAGTCAGCACAAATTTCAACCAAGTGCCTTGACTTCCTAGTAGAGTCACAGCTTCCTTCGTGGAACAGATATCATGCCTTTACAAAAGCACTGAAGGAATATTTGAGGGTTCACAAAGCCTTTAGCACATGGGAGGGCTTCTCTTTGGATGGATGCTGTGGTTTAACAGCCACTGGACAGGATCTCCATCATAGACAAGATTTTCCAAGCATCAACGACCAATGTGATTCCTTGGAAACTAAGAGGTTTGGACAATATCTAAGAAAGAGAATAGGAAGAGGTAGCAGAATTAAGAAAAAAAAAAATTTAAACTTGCTGGCAATAAAGAACCATCCAGAAAATGTCTGACGACTTCTCTGACATGAATCTTTCAAATATGAAAAAACATCTGTGACATCACCACCCCACTCCCCCACAAAAAAACAAACAAGAAACCAAAAAGGTCAGGATGTTCTATGTCCTTCTACTTCTTTCCCATGTACTTCACTAGAGTCGCTGTAGGATTGAGGGAAGTTTATGAAGGGCTAGAGTTTCTAACCAGACCTACGGACCACAGCTCTCCTTATAGCCCTGAAGACTTATAACCCAGAAGGGTAAAAAAGGCCTGACTGCCAGGTGGGTACACAAGCTCTCTGCTCCACTGACCACAGGTAGTGAGGGGGCCAGCCTGAACTCCAGCACAGAGTGGAATTTGAGAACATGTTCTGTAGCTAGTTACTGCTCCTGGAAAGCCAAATAACAACAACTTCTCAAGGCCTCTCAGGGTTGGGAAGCTGAGAAAGGAAGTCAAGGCACTTGGTTGAAATTTGTGCTGACTCACTCTCAGCTTCCCACTTCTCAGCTTCTCTGTGTGTTTGTAAGCCACATAATAAAGAATTTGGTGAGTTTTAAAAGTAATTTCCCTTTTTGTACACTGAGCTATCTCCATGAAAGAAGTTCTACAGATGTTTGAGAAGAATGACCATATGTTTTGGTTTGCGCAGACAGTCCTGGTTAGTGCTTACTGATTGATTAGCGATTGTTAATTATTTTTAGCTCCTCATTTCACTCCCCTAAGTGTCCTGCTTGGGTGATGAATTACACGATCTCCCTACTTACAAGTGGGAGAAGTGAATAGGTGGAAGAAATGCCATCATTGCCAAATTTCTAACTATAAATGGATGTTTCTCAAAGGAATGACAGGCTATCAGCTGTATCTATATCAGCTATATGTAAGAGTGTAATTAGGGACATAATGAAGATCCATTTGCAGACAACCCAAAGGGAATGATAGGAATTTTAGGACAAATGAAGGAAAACACCACCTATGTGACGTGAGCAGGTTGCAGAGAGAGAATTGGAGTTGGCTGTGATGACTGTGCAGCTATGGCTGCACCAGAGGCTGCAGCGTGGCAAAACTCATGATCAAGTGTCTTGTAATTCTTATATTTTGTTGCCCATCAAATTCTATACATAGAAATAATACCAAGAAAGGTCCAGGAGGGAGGAAGCAGTGGGCTGTCTATGCCACCCTGCCATTATAGGGAGTCTGTTCTCTGTTGCTCCTGATTTGAAGTTCAAAATACTCTCTCAGATTCCCTCATCACCCTCACAGGCAAACACTTTCTCTGGGAGCTGAGCAGGGCTATTTGTAGGCGACTGTACTCTGATCACCATTCCATCTCTTCCAATCTGACTTGCCTCTGCCATGAAAGCCACGTTAATTATCAATATATAGGCCTTACAGTCCCCAATTCACCCTGCAACTTTCAATGTCTACCATACGTGCTGTAATGGATGGAATTCCTGTATTCATTTCTTTACAATGAGTACTATTAGGCTTTCTTATTAGAGGGCACTGGAGGACACTGTAGAAGAAAGAATCTCCTGGCCACTTTCTGCTGCTGCACAGTTGATGATGGGGTGGGTGCAATGACATCTAATGGTGCTTTGTCTTAGACATCAGCCCAGAACCCATGGCCCTTTGGCAATCTTGTGACCTGGCCTACCTTGGGGATCACCTTCCCACAGCCCTCCCAACATGGACATTGTGTACTCCAGGCCTCCTACTCACAGTGGTTCCCCAGCTCCCTCTGTGAGCCCTCCACCAGCTGGCCTTGCTTGCTCTCTAAAAGAGCTGTTTCCTGCCTGCCTGGTGACTGTGGACCAGCTCTGGTACAGGCAACCCAGCAAACTGCTCTGCCATTCACTGGTCTGCAGTTGTATCTTCATTGTGGTCTGAGCCTCAGCCTCTTCCAGTATTACTCTTTCTTGGTACTGTCCCTTAACCCTAGTATGTCTTTTAAAGTTCTTATTATATCTTACAATTCTCCTATCATGGCTTAATTCTTCATGGTAAACATTTCACTTTTAAAAGAGATTTATTAAGAATTTATTGTTTGAACCAAAAGCTTTATTAAAAACCTAAAAAAGTATAATATATACTCATGCTGAAAAATGCAAATAATATAGAAGGGTATACATTGAAAATTGAAGATCTCATTCTTCTCCACTCTCCCCACTTTTGTTTTATAATCATTTCTATGTCCCAACTATAAAAATCATTTATAACTTTTAATGTACTTTTCTACAAACTTTCTGTGCATCAATAAACATACACATAGATGTTAACTTTCCTGTTATGCTCTTAACACAGTTTTGAACCCTACTTTTTTCTTTAGTTAATATATATTGGGCAGCTTTCCATATCAACACATTTTATTTTTAAAATATTTATTTGTTCATTTAGTTATTTATTTTCCAAGAAATACAAATACATACTTATGAATATCAAACATCAAAGAGGTATAAAAAGAAAAGTGGGCCAGGCATGGTGACTCATGCCTGTAATCTCAGTACTTTGGGAGGCTGAGGTGGGCAGATCACGAGGTCAGGAGTTCGAGACCAACCTGGCCAACATGGTGAAACTCGGTCTCTACTAAAAATACGAAAATTAGCTGGGCGTGGTGGTGTGCACATGTAATCCCAGCCACTCAGGAGGCTGAGGCAGGAGAATCACTTGAACCTGGGAGGCAGAGGTTGCAGTGAGCTAAGATTGTGCCACTGTACTCCAGCCTGGGTGACACAGCAAGACTGTCTCAGGAAAATAAAATAAAATAAAAGTTTCCTGAATTACCACTACCTCTTTTAATCATTTTGGCTACCACCATAATTTTAAAAATACACACACATTTATATGCAGGTATACATTTATTTGAGTCATCAACTTTAGACAGTATTTATTAATTTTCCCATTTAGAAAAAAGAAGTGCAGCTCGCCACCAGCACTCATTTAATTTTACATAAACACGCTCTTCAAGGTCAAGCAAATCTGACTGATTTTCAGTGTGAAAATAAAATATCAACACTGTTCTTGGAGTTATTTCTAAATAGAACCAATATCAGAATCTTCCGAATAATCAGAATCATCTATATCGGAAAAGTCAATCTCATCAAATGAATCTTCAAGGGCCAACAAGTGTTCGAGAATTCTAGCATTTGACATTTTCAGCGATCGAGAATTACTGTATTTTGTTAATATTAATGGAAATACCACCACTAAAAACAGAATGCTATCAATAGAGTGATGTCTTTTGTTTGCAAAGTCAATATACTAGAGCAATTTGAAAATGTGAAAATAATAATAAAAATGAGATATTGCATAGCAAAGTTATCTCAGGGTAAATGTGTGGCTACAATTCCAACCGCCGAGTATTCTCAGGGCAAATGGGAAAAGGGTTAATTCCTTAATGTGTAAAATAAGAAATGTAGGATGTCCTGGCTTCTTCCACTTCTATCACCCTTGTTCCCTCTGAGCTTTGGTCAGTCATTGTATTTTTTCATATCCTCAAGATTTACATTTGTTGGTTCCATGTACATTTGCACATTTGCAATCAGACTTTCTACTTTGTATGTAGATTCTAAAGGTTGAATTTGTGGCTCATTTCTGTAATCCCAGCACTTTGGGAAGCTGAGGTGAGAGGATTGCTTGAGCCCAGGAGTTTGAGACCAGCCTGGGCAACACAGTGAGATCCTGTCTCTACAAAAACTACAAAAATTATCTGGGTGTGGTAGCACATGCGTGTGGTCCCACCTACTTGAGAGGCTGAGGTGAGGGGATTGCTTGAGTGTGGGAGTTCGAGTCTGCAGTAAGCTATGATCATGCCACTGCCCTTCACCCTGGGCAATGGAGTGAGACCCTGTCTCAAAAAAAAAAAAAAAAGTTGAAATGCAATAAATACCATTTATAATATAATTAGGTAACTATTAATCCTAGTAAAACCAACTAGCAGGAATGAAGATTTAGAGAAGGAAATGGCATTCTATGCCACAAACTAAAGACTGTCTCAAGTCAAATGTATTAGTTTTTCTTTACATTGTTGTTACCAACCATGGGTTCTTGGGCTCTCAATGTAATAGAGATTGACATGAGGCCAAAAGAGTTTTCCTAAACAAGGCTTTATGGGAGCTTATGCTCAGACAAAGGGAGACAGCTCAAAAGAGAGATAATTCCCTGGCTCACTCTCCAAAAAGACATGGTATGGCTTTTTTGATTAGGCAAAGCTCCAGAATTGACATGGGGGTGGAATATGCAGGCTGGGCTGGGCAAAGCACATGAGGGGTAGGGTATGCAGGTCAGCATTATCTGGTTGCAGATGGTTATCTTGAGTCATGGGTCTCATGGGCCACCTGGTGGTCTGCCCTTTCCCAAAAAGGCTGTGAATCAGTTGCTCAGTCTGCCTTCCCAAGGTGGGACACTGCAAACTTCGTTGTCTCCTAATGCCAGTTCCTGGAATTTTTTATGTAAAAGGACTATCAGTGAGGTAGTGGTGTGGGCTTTGTGATCAGTGGGAATGCACGAAAGAAGGCTCTAATGGGGGTGAGCTGAAGCCAAACCCTGTCTCTACTCTGTCTCAATGTGATAATTACTCAATTTTTTTTCACAATTTAGTTTATATTATATATGAAGTGATTTTTCTGTACAGTTTTTTTTCCTGGAGTTTCTAATTATCTTTCTTTTTTTATTGTTGTTTGACCAAAGAAACATGTCTTTAAGAGCTTCCAGTTTCTTAATCGTAAATAAAGCCATCTTGTTTTTGAAGACCTTCACAGAACCTGGTGATCTTTTGTTTTAATTTGGATCAATTGCTTCCTAAGTTGCTTTGTAAGACTGCAAAAATTGTTGTGCTAAATTTTCTTTTCACTGGGTTCTTCTAGTTACTTCCTTTTTCCCCAGAAAACATGTATTATTTTTTCTTGCATTATTTTTTGTTGTTGTTGTTTAAGGCTATGGAGAAATGTAGCAGGAGAAGTTGTAGACAAAATCCCTCAGACACCAGATTGTGGAAGGAAAGAGTTTTATTCAGCTGGGAGCACTGGCAGACTCACGTCCTGGTAACCGAGCTCCCTGAATAAGTAATTCCTGTCCCTTACAAGGCTCTCAACTCTAAAGGGGCCGCGTGAAGGGCGGGGGGCGGGAGGTTGTGATTGATTGAGCAAATGAGGGTTACATGACTGGAGGCTGCATGTACCAGTAATCAGAATGAAACAGAACAGAACAGGGAGTTTCACAATGCTTCCTCATACAATGTCTAGAATCTAAAGATAACACAAGTGGTGAGGTCAGGGGTTGAATTTTAACTACCAGGCCCAAAATGTGGCGTGGGGCTGCCTATGAATTTCACTTCTGCCTATTCTTTTAACTTCTACTTTTTCAGCAAACAAGAAATTAAGTATAAGACAATATGAGAAGTGGTCTCCTCTCTCATTTCCCCCTTTGAGACCCTCACTCTCTAGTGGGAGTTCTCACTTTCATCCTCACTACCTATGTCTTCCTGCAAGACAGATCGATAGTGATTCATATAGTACACTTGTGCTGAAGCATTTTGGTGACTAAGGTAGCAACAAAGCTTTTTATCATTTGGAGGAGTACAGGTAGCACACAAGGGAGTAGGTAGGTTCCTATTACTACTATAATTCCTATTATAAGAGTTTTAAATCCTCTTATCACTGGGAACCATTTTCTAAACATGGCCCCAGGATCAAACCCATGCCACACTTGCACAGGCACATGTGCCAGCTTTGTTATGTCTCTAACTATGTCTTCGACTACTTGCCCTCGATCATCTATGTGTAGGCAGCAATTAGTAAGGTTAAATTTTCCACAGGCCCCTCCTTCAGCTGCTAGTAAGTAGTCAAGAGCCAATCTATTTTCATAGATAACATTTCTCATCTGAGTTTCTTGTCAGGCCGGTAAAGTCAAGGCTTGGCCGGTTTTATTAGTGATGATTTCTAAGACGGCTTGCAACCGTATGATTCGGTTGAGCATGTAAATGGGGGTCCGTTATCCCCACAAGCCATCTTGTGTCCAAGTAGCAGGCCCATAGTATTGTATAATTCTTTCAGGGGGCCATTCGTCATCTTTCCAATTACCTATGGCCATGCTTCTCCTTTCGTGGGAAGCATAGACAGGGAAGCCTAGAAGTTCACCTGTTTTTATGGGCAGTAGGAAGAAAGATGGTTTAATAGTGCCAATAACACAACTACCTGTCCATTGGTCAGGCAGCTTAGCATAGGCTCTATGCCCACATATCCAGTATGTGGATTCAGTGGCAGCCATCCAGTCCCGATGGGACTCCAGGTGGGTCCACACAGTCAGCAACTTTGGAAATTTACTAAATGGATTCTTTTCAGTGTAGTTTGAACTCCACCAAATGGCTGTTTTGGTAGTTGTCCACGACAACTGAGCCATCCTACAGGGTGGGTAAATTCTTTTCCTTCTCTAGCTATGCAATACTGCCCAATAATTGAGGCTTTTAGGACCCAGAAGTTATCAGGATGATTCTTTTGGGCTGGGAATTCACAGGGAACGGGGTCTGTAGGCACTAATTCTCAGGCTTCCCATGGCCACTGATCTCCCATTATGGTTCCTCCACAAACATAACATGAAGTGACATTAAGAGACCAGCTACATGCTCAGCTAATTGCAAAAACAAGTTTCTAGTTTTTCCTGGAATTTCTGGTACCAGCACATTTAGTTCATTATAGAAAGTTTGAAACACTGGTTGGGGAAAGCATTTTTGGACTTCTCCTCATATCAAGATATGGACTCTGGGATCAAGACCGGTCCCATCAATTCCTAGGGTTACATATTCCCCTGTTTTCCAGTGGGGATCTAGTGGGTTAGCAATTATTAGTTCTAATGGGTTGTAATTTCCACTAATGCCAGAAGAGTTACTTTTTCCTTTCTGGAGACTGACGGGGTCTTTGTCATCTTTTTTAAGTAGCCCAAATGATGCAAGACCAGTATAAGCAACCTCCACAATTTCCTAGTTCATGACATACATACTTATTTTCTATGGTCAAATAATTACTGGAAATTATAGAATAACTTTCTGCATTGTTAGATTTCTGAAAATGCCTTTATTTTGCTCTCATACATGATTCATATTTATCTGGACCCCTAAAGTCTAGTGTATCAGTCTGGTCCAATCAGGAGACAGAAATTACAGAGTAATTTGAACAGGAAAAGTAATATAAAGAATTATAAACTTTAACAGAGAATTGGAGTAATGAGGAATTATTAAGTAAAAAGGAAAGAGAACTCTAAAAAATATAGGAATGACAGATACAAGGAGCCATTCTACCCCTGGGCTGAGACAGAGCACCCAGAAAGAGCTCCCCTCCTCCTCTCCTCCTGTTCCCAGAGCTGAGATCCAGGTCTTGTTGGAAAGGACATAGCCATGGCTCACTGCATAGCAGGGGAGTCACTGTGGTACCACGCCAGTTGGAAATTGATCTTCTAAGGTGCTATGGAAAGCTGGTCATGGGGTGGTGTCTCACCAGATGCACTGCACTACAAAACTGCTCAGAGGATGATTCCAGGGGAACAGACTTCCAGCCTGCTGCTGCCAGCCTTGTGCTACAGGACTTGGCTACTGGAGAAGCTTTGTAACTGCCCAACCAGTTCATTTTGCTCACTGCCTAAACAGAGCCAACTTATAAAGACAGGGGAATTGCAATAGAGAAAAAGTTTAATTTACACAGAGCATGCTGTATGGGAGACCAGGTATCAGGGGTTTTTAAGGATAATTTGGGGGGTAGGGGACCCAGTGAGTCAGGAGTGCTGATTTGTTGTGTCAGAGTTGAAATCACAGGGAGTTGAAGCTGTCCTCTTGTGCTGAGTCAGTTCTTGAGTTGTGAGCCATAAGACCAGATGAACTAGTTTATCTATCTAGGGTGGTGCCAGCAGATCGATTAGGGTCTATAAAATATCTCAAGCAGTCATCTTAGATTTTATAATAGTGATGGTATCCCCAGGAGCAGAACCTTGCAGCCTCTAGCTTCATAACTCCTAAGCCATCATTTCTAATCTTGTGACTAATTTGTTAGTCCTGCAAAGACAGTCTAGTCCCCAGGCAGAAAGGGAGTTTGTTTTGGGAAAGGACTGTTAAAGTCTTTGTTTCAAACTATAAAATAAGTTTCTCTTAAAGTTAGTTCAGCCTATGCCCAGGAATGAACAAGGGTAGATTGGAGGTTAGAAACAAGATGGAGTCGGTTAGGTCAGATCTCTCTCACTGTCATAATTTTCTCAGTTATAATTTTTGCAAAGGCAGTTGCAGCTTGATGCTGAAGAAGCTGCTCGTGCTATAGGAGCCCACCAAGGGAACATTCCAGAACCAGCAAGCAAATCAATCTCTTTTCCCCAGGGATGTCTCTTCAGGGCTCTCTACTGGCAGTGTTTCAGTGATACCAGGTAAGGGAAAATACTTAAAGGATCCAGATCCATTTTCACAGAGCAAGCAAAAAGGGAGAATTTGGAGCCAAGAGGCCATAAATCAATAACTGGCATGTGTAGGTACAGAATGACTCGTGTCATTAGAATGTTAAAGAATTTGCTCGATTGTCTTCTGATAGCTTGTAATGCAGATGAGAAGTCTGATGCCATCTTAGTACTTCTTCATGGGTGACTTGTTTTTCCCTCTCTGAGAGGTGTTAGAATATTCATCTTTGGAGTTCTGAAATCTCATAAGAAGGTGTATAAATGTCACTTTTCCCGCAGTTCACCTGCTTGGGAGCCTGTAGACCTATCCCAATCTAAAGACTTGAATCTTTAGCTCAAAAAATTCTTATGTTTGTTTATCCTATTACTATTTCCTCATGCAAATTTCTCTTCTCTCTCTTTTGAACCAGTTTGTCTCTTGTCTCTCTTGTCTCTCTTTTGAACTCCTACTAAACAGATGTTGGACCCCCTGGATTGGTCTTTGTCTTTTTCAACTTTCTTTTCAAACTGTAACCAAGTACTCCCATTTTTCTAAGAGGTGGTTTAATTAATTTTTCCCTCTCTCTCTTCTTTTATTTCTTTTCTTCTTTTTTCCCCGGTTCCCCCACCTCTTAGCCCTTTAGAAATGCAAATATAACCTTCACCTCCCCGTCACCAGACATTCCCTACAGGGCAAGTTCATCTGTCTGCTCCAAGACAGACCTCTCCTTGAGAGTTGACAGTTGATTTGCAGACCAACGCATGCTCCCACAGAACTCTCACCTCCAGGGGCTTGCCTCAGGTAGGTATGTTAAAAGCATGCCCATTTGGCCACTTTACAACTTGGAAAGCACCAACTCAACTGCCCAGTAGATAAGGAGCCCCTGCCCTTGCTCATTTTCTCCCCTACCTTATAAAAGTGTCTACTTTCTGTTCCAAAAGTGGAGCACTAAGGCAGGACATCTGTGCCTCTTCCCCAAGCTAGCTTCAGAGTAAATATACTTGCTTCATATCAGACTTCGCTCTTTTTAATTGGACTCTCTGCATGCAGTGAGCAACTAACCCACATTTCAATTACAAAACTTTCTCTTTGTCACTTAGTTTGAAGCTCTTTGAGATTTCCTTGGCTTTGTTTTGCAGATACCAATTCAGCCTTGGCCACGTCTATGTTAATATTCCACCTCTCTGTTGAATAATTTCATTTTGTCAATTATATTTTAAATATCCACGTACTCTTCCTTTATTCCTGATGCTTTCTTTTCATAGGAGCATTCATATTTTGTGAAAGCAAAATCCTCTTGAATCTTTCTGAGGATACTCATTTAGAATTTTTAAGTTTTCTTCTATTCCTTGAATTTTCTGGTTCCTGGGAGGGTTTAGTTGTTTTATTTGGTCTTTCCCTTTCATATTTCTGATTTCCTTCAAAAATCTAGCTTCTTTGAGATTCCTTTTATTTATGAATGAAGGACTTAGGCTGACTGGTACAGAGGGCTGAAGTAGGTTTCTTCTGTAGTTTTGTAGGAAGGTTTTCCCAACAGATTCTTTAATGGGATGGCTGATTTTTGGTGTTGGGTAAGTAGGTGAGTTGTCCCAGAAACCAGTCCACTTTGATCCCCAGCTGCGGGGTATACAAATTGAGTCCTCTGATGTAAGGGGCAAGTGGTGTCCACCTCAAACATTAATAGGACATGAACCTCAGCATATCAAAGGCTGTTTTCTGAAATACTTTGACTGAGATTTTCAATTTTATACCCCTTTTATAGTCTCAATGTGCATGAAGGATTTATGAATTGATTAACTTTTTATCAGCCACCTATCTTGAAAATTGTTATCTCTTGTTTAGTATCTTATTTCGGAAAGCAGCATCTTCTTGAATCTTGTTTTCTCTGCCCAATTTTTCATTTTAATTTTATGAGATATTTATGACATTTTTGAGATATTTATGAAATATACACATAGGAAAAATTCCTAAGAGTGTGTGAAAGTGTGTTCAGTCTTAACTTTGAGAATCACTGGGTTAGGTGATGGAAGTGGTTGTGGCTGACTCAATTATTAGCCATCTCAGGGTTTTTCAAACAATTGATGTTATTGCCTTTTCCCCACCTACACCTCCTCAAGTCACTGCACAGAAGCAGCAGCCAGAGGACAGAGGAAGGGGAGAAAACCCTGCGGGTAAGATGGGTCTTGTGCCACCATCAGCTTCACCCCTGATTTACTATGTGACCCTAGGTAATAACCATAATTGCTCCTATTGGCTGAGGGCTTCCTATAGGTCAGGCACTGTGCCAAGTCTTCTACATGCATATTTCCAATCATTTCTCACAACAATTCCATGACAGCAACCCCATAATCACCCCAGGCTTACTGAGGCTCAGAGGGAATACTACGATGGTTACGTAACTCTGTGAATATATGAAAACCCACTGTGCTATATGCTTTAAATGGGGGAATTTTATGGTATATGAATTGTATGTCAATAAAGCTGTTATTAAGTGGTGTATTTTTTCCAATCTGAAGTGGAAGTGATTAAAATTATGAATAAGATTAAGCATCTTTTCTTATGTTTAATGGTAATTTTTTTCTTTACATAACTTTTATTCCCTTAAAAAACTTGGGTTGTTGGCCTTTTACTTACTGATTCATAAGAGCTCAAGATTGTTCTACCGCATGTTACAAATATTTTCCTATGTTGCGATTTGATTTTTTTTGCTTTATTCATGTTCTTTTTGCCCATGAGAAAATACCAATTTTTATTGAGGTAAATTCATTCAACTTTTCTTTATGTATTTAGGGATTTGCATCATGGTTATTAAGGTCTTCTTAACCCCAACATCAGCCTCAGGGTGATTAAAAAAAATCCATGCTTTCTTCTAGTACATTTATGGTTTCTTTTTAAAATGTTTAATGCTTTATCCATCTGGAATGGGAGTAATGTGTAGAAACCTAGCCTATTTTTTTTCCAGATGGTTGGCCAGCTGTCCCAACATAATTTAATAATTAATATATCTTAGCTTCATCCATCAGAAATGTCATGTCTACCATGTATTAAACTCCCATATGTGTTTGGTTCTACGTTTATACCCTTTATTCTATTTCAATGATGTTTCTGTCAATTCCTCCATCAGTACCAAACTCTTTTATTGGTGAAGGTTTATAATTAATTTAAAACATGGTGAAGTTCTTGCTTCTTTTGCTTCTGTCTGGGAATTTTCATGGCTTATCTCTTATGCTTAATTTTTTTTTTTTAAAGGATGACTTTAGTTTAAATGATCAAGTTCCAATAAAAGTTTTGTTGGGTTTTTTATTTGATAGTGTAGAATTTATACATTTAATTAGAGACTATTCCCTGCATGATTAAAGATGCTCTCCTTCCTGGTTTCCTCCAACCTTTTGATTTCCCAGCCCTGTCTCTTTCACTCTTTGATGGTCCCCAGAGTTAGGTCGTTGGTAAGAGGACCGTATAATTTATGGTCAAACCTGGGACACCTGAGATTAAACAGTTGCTATTAATAGTGATGCTGGGACAACAGGTGTAAACTAGGACTATCCCGGGCAAACCTGGATGTATGCACCCACCAGTCACTGGCCCCATTCCAATGTACAATTCTTTTCCTTTGTGATCTTAACCATTGCCATGGCATCAATGACAACCCATGTGCTAATTATACTAAAGTTTGCATCAGACTTTTCTCTTGAGCTCCTGATCCCATATTTCTAACATTACACCAAGTATCTCACCCACATGCCCCTCAGCCACCTCAAACTCAAGTTGGATTCAGCATCCCTTCAAAGTGGGCTCCCTTCCTGCCTCTCAGTGAACTCAGCCATCCTGTCGTTAGAGCTGGATACCTTGCCAGGACCTGGAACTCATCCAGCTCCCTCGTTGCCCCTGCCAGTCTCCAAATCCTTTCAATTCTATCACTGACATAGCTTCTGGATCCACCCCCACTTCTTATCATTGTCCTTGCCTTACTTAGGGTCTCATTACCTCCTCTCTGGATCATTACAACAGCTTCCTTTCTGCTCTTCTTGCTCTAGGTTTCTCTCACTTCAGTTCAGTCTCCTATCAGAGTGAAAATGTTTAAATGTGATTGAGTCACTCACCTGCTTAAAGATTTGTGCTGGCTCCACCTTGCCAATTCCTTGTTATGGTGTGTAAGAACACAATCTAGTTCTGGCCTCCAATTTCAGTTCTCACATCTCCTGACCCAAATGTACTTTGCTAACACTGAAAGTCACCCCATTGCCCAAATACACCCTATCCTGTCCACAATTCTGTTTCCGCATAAGCTGAGCTCACTAAAATGCCCTCCCTGTTCTTCTCTACCAAAAGAAACCTCCTCAAAAAGATAAAACCTTGTCTTCTTTGTGAAGCTTTCCCCAATTCTCCCAGGCAGTGATCTCTCTTTCTAGCACTCCTGAAACTCCTCTTCCTACCTTCCATCCACCCGTTACACTGTGACCCCGCTGTCTGTTAGATGTCTCCCTCATGTACCAAACTGGCTGCTCATTAAGGGCATAGATGTGTTTCCCCAGAACATGGTATTTGAGTGCTTGATAGATTTTTGTTAAATAAATGTATAAATGATCATATGAATGGTTTGTGACTACCTATGAATTCCATTAGGTAGTCACAAACCATTCACATTATCAAGAGCAATATCCAAGGGCAACCTTATAATAAATTCAAATTATTAATAGTAGGAGTTATATAGGAGGATCTACTTTAGGTATTATTTTAGGCCTTTCAGAGATATTGTCTCTTTTAGTCTTCAAAATAGCCTGACAAGATAGGGTTATTTTTTTTTTCTTACCCGTTTTACTGTTAAGGAGTAAACAACACAGGTTGAAGGAGATTGAGTAGCTTTTTTAAAGGAGCAATAGCTAGTAAGTGGGATTGGAACCAGTTCTACTTGACTCCAGAATCCACTCTTTTCTCCCTTTCTAAGTTCACTTGGAGACAACTTTTCCCTCCCAACATTGCCAAACCTGGGACACCTGAGATTAAACAGGTTGCTATTAATAATGATTTTTTGGGATCACATCTGTTTCTCACCATCCTTGACATCTCTTTTTCTCTTCCCTCCTTATCTCTTCACCCAGAAGCTGGTTCAAGGGCCTATGGTCTCTGGCTTATGACCCCCAGGTTGTTCCCAGCACCCTCAGGCCATCGAGGGGTCATCTATTACTGCTGTCCAAGGTGAGAATGAACTGATGTGAGAAGCAAATCTGCTTCTGTGTACCAATGGGGAGGGCCAGACAAGGCTCGTGGGTCTCCTTCTTTCCTCCAAAAAACACATAATCCTTTAACAGGGGTCCCCTGGAGACACTGCCTTGTTTGTTGTTCAACACAGAGTGGGTGAGATGAATGGTGGGAAATAAGGCCGAGAAGGAAAGACCTCGTGGAAGCTGCTGCTCAGGCAGATGTTTCAGGATGCAGGAGGCTCAGGCCACAGCATTAGAGGCTGCCTGCCTGGCCTGTGGGCAGAGCAGTTTCAGTTCATAATCTTATTTAAACATTATTACAATGAACAATACATGCTTATTGTAGCCAACTTAGATAATTCAGCAATCACAAGGAAAAAAATCACTCATAATCTGGCTATAATGTGTAAACTTTAAAACATTTTTTTCTATCCCCCCTTTTCCTCAAGGAAATAGTGTTCTTACTGTGAATACATTTGGATGTATATATTTCATGGTTATTGAACAGTCTTCCTCCACACCATTTTGCATGTGTTCATGGCAGTCAGGTAGATACACTTCAGCCACTGTCTTGGCGTGGCCTCCTGTGGTTTAGGAATGAGGGAGCTGGGACAATTGAGGAGGCAAATGGCAGCATCAAAGTCAGATGACTGACCCAAGGCCACCTCACAATTCTATAACATTTGGCTTAGACACTGTAAGTTAGGACAAGAAGGAGCTTTGGAAATGACCTTGCTGGGCATCTCTTTATGTTTGAAGACACTGAACTGAGAGGAGGCGGCTCTTGCCGTAGGCCCCTGAGGCCATCACTGGCAAGTAGGACCTGGAACCCAGGAATCCTGATTCTTTGTCCAGAGCTTTTTCTGCTCTTTCACAAAACACCATCTTGCCTTCTTAGAAGAGTGTGAAGAATTTGGAGAGATTTCACTGATCGTGGTGACACAGAGGTTAGAAGGTAAGCGCTATGAGGGAAGAAAAAAGCAGAAATTATGTGGAAAAGAGAAAGACAAAGTATGAATGATCATGATCTTTATTAAAGTTTGAGGTAACTGTAATTAAAATGCGGATGGACTGTTAGGGATTCTGATAGATTATAAAGAAGAATTGGAGAGAAGGATGTATTTTTTGATTGTCAGTAGAGTGGGTTATAAAGGGTCACAGCTGATATTTACAATAGGTAACCATGGTGTCAGGAAGGTGGCTTGAAGTAGACCTTCAAGGAAAGTGATAGTATACCCTTTGAAAGTAACTTGCTCAGGTCACAGAGCTATAATTGGCCACTCTGAGCCAGATAGAACCTGCGTGCTCTATCTCACAGGACTATCTGAAATACCTCTCAGAACTGTCCATCTGGGGAAAGAAAAAAGGGAACATCTATCTGTTGGTTTATTTGCCCTATGGTCAAGTGTTGCTCTGCAAAGTGTTAATTCCCCTGCGCTTCTGGGTTGCTCTTATCTGAATCCATCCTTCCTGGCTAGTCCCAGGGTGGGACATGAAAAGCTTGTAGAGGAGAGGTGCTATCAGGTCATGCCTGCTTGAGCTGGTCAAAACCTAGACAGAACTGGTCACTGAGGATGGATAAGAGGTGAGGCAGGGAAGATTAGGAGTTGTGTACAAGAAATATTCTATATATTTGAACTAGAATGCAAATCTGGCTGGTTCCAGACAGAACATCCTGTGCAGCTGAGACTTCTTTTATTTCTAAAGACTTTTCAATGTATATTTCCTCCAAAGCTTATATTCTTTTCATCATAGCCCACGGGGTAGGCTGCCATGATTGTTCCTGCTTGAGTCACATGATACCTCTAGAACAATCACTGTGGCCAGGGAGGCATGTTCTATAAAATGACCGCTGCTCTCTTTAAAATCATGTTTGGAGCTTAGCGAAAGGTACATTTCTCAGAAGACAAAACAGTGGATGTCTCTTGTGATAGCAAATAATAATAATAGTTATCAAAACCTCTGATTCAAAGGCTCATGGTGCTTTCAGTTTTACTTAAAGCTCAGTTTTCATAGGAACTCGGTGAGATAGGTAGAAAATATTTCATACAAGAGATAAAGAAGATCGGTGCCTCTTTGGAAAAAAGCCTCTAAAATATTTGTGGGATCTCCCTGGTCTCTCCCCTCTACTAAGTGCACAGAGAAAGAACACCTTGAGTATTGCATCCAGAAGGCTAGGCAGAGTTGGTATTATTTGAAGCAAATTGGAAAGGAATTTCAGAGATAAAGACTTAAGAATAGTTTTAATGGCTTTATTCCACAACAGCCTTCCAACATAGATTCAATTCAGTGTTGCCCAGTGGATTACAAATTTGAATGAAACTCAAAGGAATCATTCCACTAAATGGATTGAGACATTCTAGCCAAAGGATGTGGGCTTATTGCAGAGTCCCCTTGCCATGGGTGGAATGGCAGAGCATGCCATTTCTGAGCTTTCTCTACCTGGCACCTTTGTTCATCACACTTAGAACTTCTTTGGTTGGTGAGATGTGGACACTCAAAATCCTCTGGCCTGTTTTAATTGGACCTTTAATTTCATTCTTTGTCCTGGTTAATTTTGCTAAATAAACCAAGGCAAGCAGGTGGCTTCATGTGGTTACTATTGTTACTATTAAAAGCTATGATTAAGACAGCTCTGCACACCTAGTTTTAAACTCAGGCCTGACTATCCTACTTTCCTAACTCCATCCCAAATCCTTTGTAAGACTTATTTATTTATTTTTATTTATGTATTTTTTTTTTGTAAAACAAACAGGATGGACAGCTGCACTCAAATTTGTATTTTGGATAGATTCACATCATTTTCTCAAGTAAAAAGCACATGCTTTCAGTACATTTTCTTTTTTTCTCCCTTTTTTCCCCCTGGTGCTGGAGTTCATAGAATTCTAATTCACATAAGTTTTAATATTTCACCCAGCTGGACTGTGTGTTAGGGGCTAAGTTTTCCTTTCCCCTCATCTCAACATTTGTCTTTGACTCCTCCATTTGCATCTCTGTCTCTCTGGATTTTTCTTTCTCTATTCAGGCCTTTCTCCATAAATTTTCCTGTAGAACATAAAGGAAAAGACAAATTCCTGATTTGACTTTCGGTGCTGGGGTATTGTCAGAGACATTTGAACCAGAGTGATTGCATCCTGAATAGGGGTAAAATGAGTCTGAGACCTACTGGGCTGCATTCCCAGGAGGTTGGGCATTCTGTCACAGGATGAGATAGGATATTGGCACAAGGTACAGGTCTCAAAGACCTTGCTGATGAAACAGAGTGGGGTAAAGAAGTCGGCCAAAATCCACCAAAACCAAGATGGTGATGAAAGTGACCTCTGGTCATCCTCTTTGATCATTATATGCTAATTACAATGCCTTAGCATGCTAAAAGACACTCCCACCAGTGCCATGACAGTTTACAAATGCCATGGCAACGTCAGGAATTGACCCTATATGGTCTAAAAAGGGGAGTAATCCTCAGTTCTGGGATTTGCCCAACCTTTTCCCAGAAAACTCATGAATAATCCACTCCTTGTTTGACATATAATCAAGGAAAAAGCATAAAAATAGCCAATCAGCAGCCCTCAGGGCTGCTCCATGGAGTATCCATTCTTTTATTCCTTTACTTTCCTCATAAACTAACTCTCACTTTACTGTATGGATTCAACCTGAATTCTTTGTTGCATGAGATTCAAGAACCCTCTCTTGGGGTCTGGATTGGGACCTCTTTCCAGTAACAGTATGAAGGTGGGGGAAAAAGGCCCCATCTCAGAATAAAGAAATAATAAATAAGGGATAGATGGTAAGAAATTCTGGAATTCTGGGGGTAGGTTTTGGAAATTTTTTCCCTAGAAGAGGGTAAGGATCAGCATGTTGAAGCCAGCTCCAACTCCAAGTTCAGTAATGTCATTTTGATAACTTGAAATTGGCCATAGTGAAAGTACACCACCCAAATTGACATACATTACAGGTCTCTCTGGAATGCTGATTGTTAAACATTTACTAATGAATCATAGGCATTTCCATAGAGTGTGTTTGCGTTATTACAGCTAGGAGGCCTGGGTTATGTTTTCCTAGTAGACTTTATGTAAAAAGCCCATTTGTTCCATTGCCCCTCCCCATATCAGGTTCATTGGGTGAGGTGCCAAAGGCTTTGTACCAGGTGTCTGGAAGGTAGTGTTCCGATCCAAGCTGCTCTTCTGCCTGGAACTGTCTTCCTCAGGTAACAGCTTGGCTCTCATTGCTTCCTCCTTCTCTTCCAGTCTTTATCAAAAGCCACCATCTCAGTGAGGTCTTTCCTGACCACCCATTTGTCCCTGCAACATGTTCATCACTGCACATCCTGTCCCACTTTCTCTGGGCTTTTCCACGTCCTCTATCATTTTCTAACTATATACTTCATACTATATACTATATTATGTTTATTTTGCATCTCTCCTTCTGGAATTAAGCTCCTCAGCCTCAGAAATCTTTGTTTGCCCACTGGTATATCCCAAGCACCTAGAACAGTGTTCAGCACACAGTACATTCTGAATAAATATTTGTTGAATGAATCAAATAAATAATCCTATCTCTAAACAAACTGGTATTACAATTTGGTGAAAGGTATAGAATGGCAACTCTAGTCTTCTAATCTGCAAAATAATGATGTATTTTGTTTTATTTAAGGGGATTTTTTTTTTTTTTGCTAGAATCAAGTGAGATAATATACAGGAAAGCAGTACTTTAAAATACAAAGAACTTTGTCAAAGTAAAAGGCGTTTGTACTGAATGTAATTGGTTTCTCATAAAAAATAGCCACATTATCTGAACTCTAATTTGATGTTCCTTCAGAGGGTATTACCTCCAGAAGGAAGAAAGGGAGGAAGAAAGGAAGGAAGTGGGAAAGAAAGGAAAGTTAAAGAATAGCAAGAAACAGAATAGGCTGCCCCAGACTGAGCCTGCTCTTGTTAATGTACTACTATTAGGACGATACTATTTTTAAAATGAGGGTTGAAACTGCCCCTCATGCTTGGCTAATGACATGGTTACATCATAAAAAAGTCATTCTTCTCTGGCAATAAAATGCTACTCTTTTAAAATCAAGGGATTCTTATAGAGTAAGAAAAAAATCAGTTGCTTACTGATACCTGGAAAATTAAATTCATTTCACATGGGAGGAAACTTTGCCTTCCAAAGAGCTATTTCTGCATTAGAAGAGAGACTGATTGTGGAGTTCTATGTATTTATGAGATACCTGTGGCACAAAACACTCAGTTGTAATGTGGTTTCATAGAAAAATTATGAAGTAAGTTGCCAAGGAGAACCAAAATCCATCCATCCATCCATCCATCCATCCATCCATCCATCCATCCATCCATCATGGCTAATGTCATGGACTCTAATTCAGAATTTTGGATGTGAATTTTACCTCCATTACTTAATAGCTGTATGATCTTGGGCATGTCTTCTTCACGTAATTTCCTCATCCATAAAATTGGAATAATATTAGTTCTCACCTCATAGGATTGGTCTGTGGATTAAATGAGCTAATATACATAAAGCTCTTAAATAGAGCCTGATATATAATAAGGACTATGTAGGCATTAACTATAACTAATTTAGCCAATATTTATAGAAACCCCACTAGGCGCTTGGTAAAATGAGGCTGAGACTTACTTGGCTGCATTCTCAGATGGTTGAGGCATTCTAAATCACAGGGTGAGACAGGATGTCAGCACAAGATACAAGTCATAAAGACCTTGCTGATAAAACAAGTTGCAGTAAAAAAGCCAGCCAAAACCCACCCAAACCAAGATGACGAGACTGACCTCTGGTTGTCCTAATGACTATACTCCCACCAGCTCCATGACAGTTTACAAATGCCATAGCAACGTCAGGAAGTTACCCTATATGTTCTAAAAAGTGGACCCATGAATAATCCATGTGTTTTTTAGCATATAATCAAGAAATAACCCTAAAAATGGGCAAACAGTAGTCCTCAGGGCTTGTCTATGGAGTAGCCATTCTTTTATTCTTCTACTTTCTTAATAAACTTGCTTTCACTTTACTCTGTGGACTTGCCCTGAATTCTTTCTTGCACAAGATCCAAGAACCCTCTTGGAGTCTGAATTAGGACTCCTTTCCTGTAACAAAGCTATTACTTATAAGTGGCATTTGAAGTGCAGGGCAGTCTTGTGGGGTGGATCCCTCAACCTGCTACTCCAGATAGATAGATAGTGCCAGGTTTGAACTGAATTAGATGACACCCAGCTGGTGTCTGCTGAATTGGTTGGTGTTTGTGGAAAAATCTCACACATGTCGTATCAAAAGTATTGTGTTGAGTGGTGTGTGAGAGTAGGACGTTTTGGTTTTTCCTATCTTTTAACCATCTGAGAATGCAGCCCAGTAGGTTTCAGCCTCATTTTACACAGCTCCTATTCAAGATGGACTTGCTCTGATTCAGACACCTCTGACAGCTTGTCATCTAGTCTCTTGACCTACCAGTTATATATCAGGGTTTCCACAACTGCCTCCTTGGTTTCAATTAATTAGAGCAGCTCACAGAAGTCAGGGAAACACTTGCATTTACCCATTTATTACAAAGGATATTTTGAAGGATACAGATGAACAGCCAGATGGAAGAGATGCATAGGGCAAAGCATATGGGATGGGATTCAGAGCTTCCATACCCTCTGTGGCAGGCTACCCTCAAGGAACTTCCATGTGTTCAGTTATCTAGAAGTCACCAACCTAGTCTTTTTGGGTTTTTATGGGGGCTTCATTATATAGGCATGGTTGATTACATCATTTGACATTGGTGATCAACTTAACCTTCAACCCCTCTCCCTTTCCTTGAGGTTGGTGGGGTGGAGATGAAAGTCCCAACCCTCCAATCCTGTCTTGGTCTTTCCCATGGCCAACTCCCACCCTGAAGCTATCTAGGGGCTGCCAGGTGCCAGTCATCTCTTTAACATACAAAAGATACTCTTATTACACTGAAGATTCCAAGGGTTTTAGAAGCTGTGTGCCAGTATATATGTGTGTGTGTGTATATACACACACACACTATATATATATATATATACACACATATATGTGTGTGTGTGTATATACACACACACTATATATATATATATATATATATACACATATATATATATCTTATCATAAATCACAGTGTCATAGTACTAGGCACACCTTTCCCTATCATTATTCATTTGTGAGAACAATTTTAATAGTTGCATAAGTATTCTGCAAAATATATATGGATATACCTTAGTGCAGTGCTTCTCAAATTAGTCTGCATTAGAATCACTTGGACGCTTGTTAAAGCAGATTGCTGGAAGTTTCTGATTGAGTAGACCTGAGACACTTCCTAAGGATTTGTGGGGTTTTTTTTTGTTTGTTTGGTTTTTTTTTTTTTTTTTGAGATGGAGTCTCACTCTCTCACCCAGGCTGGAGTGCAATGGCGTGATCTCGGCTCACTACAACCTCCACCTCCCAGGTTCAAGCGATTCTCCTTCCTCAGCCTACTGAGTAGAGGGGATTACAGGTGCGCAGCACCATACATGGCTAATTTTTGTATTTTATTTTAGTAGAGATGGGGTTTCTCCAAGTCGACCAGGCTGGTCTCAAATTCCTGGCCTCAGGTGATCTGCCTGCCTCGGCCTCCCAATGTGCTGGAATTATAGGTGTGAGCCACCTCACCTGTTCAGAATTTGCATTTCTAACAAATTCCTGAATGCTGCTGATATTTTCCTTTGGGGGCCATACTTTGAAAACCACATCTTAGTCTATTTAACCAATTTAGTATATTTAACTGTTTTTTGAATAGTTTGTTTACGAGGTGTAACTCTGCCTAGGAAACCTCTGGGCAATCAGAATTCTTATCAGTCACTGACAGGTAAGTGTGAGTGAGTTTATTAGCTTAATGAGGACTATAAATCAATCTCCGAGATTCCTATATCAGATACACCTCAGGCAGCGCTGTAGAACCTTATAGCCTCACCTGTACCTTATTTTGTCCCCTATCCTGGGGATTAGTAGTCATCAGGGAGAGGTCAGACCAGCTTCATGCAGGTGCAAGGAGCCCAGCCATGATTCACCTCAGGCCCTCACTCCTACATCTCTGAACACCCACCACAGAGCTTCTCTCTTGATGCCTCAGTGTGGGATTCCTTGGGTATCCACTAGGCTTTCAGGTTGTACCATTCAGGGCAGTTAATGCCCCACCCCTCATGTTGGCAAACTCCACAGTGCATCCCTCCTTGTTTTATCCTCCCTCCATCCATCTGCCTAGAATCACACTTCCCAACAAAGTGTTCTCTTTTAAGTCTTGGTCTCAGGCTCTGCTTTCTAGGACACTGGGTTGGTTAACCCCTTTCAGTGCAAAATGTACATGCTATGCCACTTTCTTCCATGTTTTCTTAGTGAGGGAAAGGCAGAAAGCAAGAGTTCTTAAGTTGGGATAGGTGAATCAGGCTTCAGGAAGTCTGTGAACTCTCTAAAATCATACACGAAATTGTGTGTTTGCATGTATTTTTCATTTTTTTCTGGGAGAATCCACTGCATTCAATAGGTCATCAAAGCAAATAACCAAGAAGTGATAGAAAAGGGAGAAGAAACAAAAGGAAAAATTTAAGATCTAAGGCAATGTTTGAGAAGACAGATAGAAATGGGATACCACATGTAATCTGCTGAGTAGCTGGGGTGATGGCACCAGGGAGGTGGTGGTGTCGGGAAGTGATGGTACCAGGAAGGTGATGGTACCAGGAGGGTGATGGCACCAGGGAAAGGAAAAGTATAGAAAAAAAGTAGGAAAGTATAGAAAAACAGTAGGGGTGAAAAGTCATGATAACTTTTTCCCACCCATCATAAGGGTCATGGCCAACACTCCAACCAAATGCAGGTTAACAGGAGAAAAGCATAACAAATTTATTTAATTAGGATCTATGTGACACAGGAGGCTTCAGAAATGAAGACCCAAAAGCCCAGGGAAAACTGTCTATTTTTATGCTTAGATTCAATGAAGCTGTGTAGAAATGTGATTGGACAAAAAGAGGATGATCTAATGGGAATAGACTAAGGGGGAAATCCATTAAGCCCTATCTGTTCAGATCCTTCTCAGACTCTCTGTGTAGCATTCCTTCCTCCTGGGTATGGGACAGGACCCCTCTGAATGGGGGTCTTCAAGGGAGAAGAGAGAGAGTGATCTTTCTAGGTTTTATGGTTTGCTTTGTGGGAGAGGAGTTTTAGTTTCTATGACCTGCCCTGGAGGACAGCAGTTTTGGTTTCTATGATTTGCTTTCAGAGAGAAAGAAGGGCAGGAGACGGGAGCATGGGAGGTCAGAAAGATCCAGTTTCTGAGGTTCTTCCAAACTCCATTAGTTCAAAGTACTCCACATGCCAAGATGGTATACTTTGGGGTATTATGTTCTGAGCTCCAGCAAATAGATGAAAAACATGTTTCTCTGATGTTCAGTTGGACCTAGGTCAGCAGCTGGCATTCTAGGAATGCTCAGATAGCCCATGGTGAACATCCACATTGGAACTTTCCCCTCTCTGCAATGGAAGCCTCTGTTTCCTGATTTGTCAAGGAAGGTGGTTGGTATTAGTGATTTCTAAAGAACTTTCAGCAAGAAAATAGTGGCATCTTCTGGTTCATATCCCTGTGGTTTGATTTTTGGTGGTTGCTCCCTTAGGAAGACCTAGCATTCCCTGGTTCTGCCAGGAGTAGACTGAAGTGGCAGCTTTCCTGAGAGCCCAGCTCTGTCCTCAGCTTGGTCTCTATCAAGCCCTCACCATCTGAAGTGTCACTCTAGAATGAAAATTACATTAATTGAATTTTGGGGGGTTGTGCCTTTGGAGGAGGCAACCCGAGAGTCAAAATCTAATTTACATACTGATAAGAGTTGAAAAATGATGCCTTCTAATGAACAAAATGCCTGCAACTGGTCTGGCTTGATATTAGCATAAAAGGGTTAATCACTTTGGCATACAGTTAGAAGGTAAATTTTCCTGCAAAAATCCATCAAAATGAAGGGTTCTCTCCATTGCAGTTCGTAAGTAATACTGACAGGCCTGAGAGCAGAAATCAGAGTCTGATGAAAGACCAATGTTTTGACCCTGTTCTATTCATTGGTTAAATTTCATTTGGTTGGTGAGAGCCCTGAAGAGTGAGGTGGGGAAATCCCCAACATCTGGGAACTGGCAGCCCATGATCGCCTTGGCTGGAAGCTCCCAGTTTAGTTTCTCTCCTCCCTTCCCTTTGAAAGGCGAGGGGTCAATAGCTCAAGGCTGGCCAGACTTCTACAAGCTTCACAGGACCTTTCAACTCAAACTATTTTCATGACACCACCTAGCCACTTTGATTGACTTCTGTTTGCCACCAGAATTGTCAGATTGTTTTAGGCTCAGGTCTTTTTGGCCTTCTTGAGTTTTTATTGGTCCTCTGTTAAGGAAGTGAGGTCATGATCAGGTGTGTGTGTGTGTGTGTGTGTGTGTGTGTGTGTATGAAGATGACTCTGACTTTGTATATGAACGTTCATGGCAGCATGCTTATAGCCAAAAGTGGAAATAAACATCCATCAACAGATGAAAAGATAAACAAATAGTGGTATACCCATCCAATGGAATGTTACTCATTCAAACGAATGAGATAATGTTACAGTGTGGATGAACCTCAGAAACAGCACACTAAATGAAAGAAGCCAGGCCCAAAGATCACATATCTCATGTTTCATTTTTGTGAAACATCCAGAATAAGTAAATCAGATTGGTGGTTGCTATGGGTTGGGGGCGGGATGGGAGTGATGGCCTAACAGATTTTCTTTTGGGGTGGTTCAAAGGTTTTGGAAGTTGGCATAGGTGTACACAACATTGTGAATATACTAAATACCAATGTATTGTAAACTTTAAAATGCTTAATTTTATGTTATGTGAATTTTACGTCAAAAAGAAAACTTGATTATTCTGAATGCAATGTGGAGGATGGATTAGAAGGGGCAGGTTGCAAGTCTATTGCAATGGCCCAAGTGAGAAATTATAATAGTTTGAACTAGGGTCATGTCTATGGAGGTAGAGAGGAGCAGAAGATCTGAGAGACATTTGGAGGTAATTGTTAAGGATGTACACCTGCAAAAGTAAACCCTCATATTGAGAGGGCAGTCCTCACAGCCCTCGCTCGCTCTCGGCGCCTCCGCTGCCTGGGCTCCCGCTTTGGCGGCACTTAAGGAGCCCTTCAGCCCGCCGCTGCACTGTGGGAGCCCCTTTCTGGGATGGCCAAGGCCAGAGCCGGCTCCCTCAGCTTGCGGAGAGCTGTGGAGGGAGAGGCGCCGGCAGGAACCGGGGCTGCGCGCGGTGCTTGCGGGCCAGCGCGAGTTCCAGGTGGGCGTGGGCTTGGCGGACCCCGCACTCAGAGCGGCCGGCCGGCCCCACCAGCCCTGGGCAGTGAGGGGCTTAGCACCTGGGCCAGCGGCTGCTGTGCTCAATTTCTCGCCGGGTCTTAGCTGCCTTCCCCCGGGGCAGGGCTCCGGACCTGCAGCCCGCCATGCCTGAGCCTCCCCCAGCCCTCCGTGGGCTCCTGTGCGGCCCGAGCCTCCCTGACGAGCACCGCCCCCTGCTCCACGGTGCCCAGTCCCATCGACCACCCAAGGGCTGAGGAGTGTGGGCGCATGGCACGGGACTGGCAGGCAGCTCCACTTGCAGCCCTGGTGTGGGATCCACTGGGTGAAGCCAGCTGGGCTCCTGAGTCTGGTGGGGACTTGGAGAACCTTTATGTCTAGCTAAGGGATTGTAAATACACCAATCAGCACTCTGTATCTAGCTCAAGGTTTGTAAACACACCAATCAGCACCCTGTGTCTAGCTCAGGGTTTGTGAATGCACCAATGGACACTCTGTGTCTACCTACTCTGGTGGGGACGTGGAGAACCTTTGTATCTAGCTCAGGGATTGTAAACGCACCAATCAGCGCCCTGTCAAAACAGACCACTGGGCTCTACCAATCAGCAGGATGTGGGTGGGGGCCAGATAAGAGAATAAAAGCAGGCTGCCCGAGCCAGTAGTGGCAACCCGCTCCTGTTGCCTTCCACGCCATGGAAGGTTTGTTCTTTCGCTCTTTGCAATAAGTTCTGTTGCTGCTCACTCTTTGGATCCACCATGCGTTTATGAGCTGTAACACTCATTGCGAAGGTCTGCAGCTTCAGTCCTGAAGCAGCGAGACCACGAACCCACCGGGAGGAACGAACAACTCCAGATGCGCCGCCTTAAGAGCTGTAAGACTCACCGCGAAGGTCCGCAGCTTCACTCCTGAGCCAGCGAGACCACGAACCCCACCAGAAGGAAGAAACTCCGCACACATCGGAACATCAGAAGGAACAAACTCCGGACACACTGCCTTTAAGAACTGTAACACTGCGAGGGTCCGCGGCTTCATTCTTGAAGTGAGTGAGACCAAGAACCTACCAATTCTGGACACAATATCACATGAGCTCCAATGTGGTATCGAGATGAAGGGGAAAAGGGAAATGGGGAAATTTTTTGCTGGGGGTGTTCCCAGATGAATTCTTTGCTTTATGTGCTTAGAACTCCTTGCTTTTGTAGGTGGACGTGTGGTAAAATGTGTTATATTTGCAGCCATTGTACAGCTATGCCATTGTGGAGAATCTTAGGCTTCTTGTGGGGAAAGTATCTGGGAGCTTGTGTGTTGGTCACATTTCTATCATGTCATGTCTGAGATGCCTCCCTGGAAGTGAAGACAGCCGTATCAGAAGTACTGATCCAGCACTGGATGGGAATCTCACACACACATGCACACACACACGCACACCCCGCATACCTGCTAGGGGCTGACAGCATATGCTTTGATGTGCATTGGCACGGATGAGTCAATACGCTTGTTGAAACCAGAGAGAAAAATATGTCATGTTTTTCCCAAACGGTGTTAAGAAAGTACAAATAAAAAGAAAAGCATTCAAACTGACCACATGTAATTAGACTAGGTGAATACCCTGCCTTCCTCATTCCCTCACTGAGCCTCCCTAAGATATGCTTTTGGAATAGATACATGTATTTTTTTTTTTCCACAACAGGAGAAACTCGTCTTGAGTGTCTTCTGCTTTTATTATAAAAATAGTTGGATTAATGAGGCACTGACTGGCAGTGGAACAGTCTAGCAGATCCCATTAATCTGAATGCATCACATCTGATATTATTGTTCAAAAGCCCTCTTCCCTCTCCCTCTCTTATCATCTTTCTCCAAAATAAAGAATATTATTTTTTAAATTTCGAAAGCAATGAAGGCCCCAGTGAGTGTATTTATCATGAATTAATCTCCTTCCTAGGAGATTGAAGGTCCTCTGGGTGGGCCTTGCTGCTAATATCATCCTCCTGAGTGTGCAGTCATCTTCTAATAAGCATGGTCTCTATCATTATTGCTTAATAGCTTTATTAGATTACCTACGACGAAGGCTGTCCCAGGCCTTAGTCAAAGACAGTTTAGACAGTTCCGTTGGAAGGGCTGGCGGCCTGGAGCAGGATGACACCCCTGGGGCTGGAGTGTTGAATGGAGGATGTGTCTCAACCCCCCTGGGCCTGCTCTTGCCTCAAAGTACTTAGTGGTTGGCCCAAGGGCTGGCACTCCTCAGGGCCCTGGCCCCTGCCTTGGGTATGCTAAAGTGTGAGTAAGTGTTAGAGTGCTCTTGACTTCAGTCCTTATATGTATTTTTAAAAATGGTGCGAGGTGTGATAGGGGTCACGCAGTGAAGCAAACCAGAAACCAGCAGTGAAATCCAAATATATTTATGAAAAGAAAAAAAAGAAGAAGGATTTCTGAAATATAACTTTGGAAAATTTTAGAGAAAAAAGTATATATACACACACACACACACACACACACACACACACACACACACACACATATTTTTAATTTTTATTTTTGAGACAGCATCTTGCTCTTATCACCCAGGCTGAAGTGCAGTGGCATGAACATACCTCACTGCAGCCTTGACCTTCTGGGTTCAAGCGATACTCCTGCCTCAGGCTCCCCAATAGCTGGGACCACAGGTATGCCACCACGCCTGGCTATTTTTTTTTTTGGAGAGATGGGGTCTCACTGTGTTGCTCAGGCTGGTTTCAAGTGCCTGGGCTCAAGTGATGCTCCTGCCTCGGCTCCCGAAAATGCTGGGTTTACAGGCATGAACCACCATGCCTGGTCTATTTTTTATTTTTATTTTTTAATACCTAAGTTGTACATGAATCAATCATAGTTATAAAAATTTTAGATGTAGCTAATTATTTGCATCCACTACCACATAGAGATCATTCTCTACTTCCTTCCCCCTCCTTTCTCATGACACCTCAAAAACTTCCCTAAGAATAAAATTCTTGAGCAAAAACGAAATTGTATATTACACATGCATTGAAGAAATTTGGGCCTGGTTTGAACTTATCACAATCTGAATATTTCTTTAGAAACCAATGTTTTCCACTTTAAAGAACCCCTGGCTCAAATGCTGGCATAGAATTTTATAAGACCCTGAAGCTTTTAAAAGAACAATAACGTTATGAAAAATCCAATGACATGGTTAGACCGTAGAAATTATTAAAGTTTAGTGGAGAAAGCGATTCAATTCTTGGATGAAAAAATAATAATAGCATCCTAGCTATGAGGACTGGAGCAAACCTTTGGTGTCATTTGGTCTTGAACCCTCATTTTATAGATGAGGAAACTCAGGTCTTTCCAAGATGAAGGTTTTCTTGAAATTGACACTCCTGCTGTACATGTATTGTCCCTGATATTTAAAGTGGTGCCTTTTGCCAGTCAAATAGAATATTCTTTTACCTTTTGATTGACTCAGCTTGGTCATCCCATTGTCCTCAATATGCTCTGCTAGTTTATTCAACAAATACACCCTGAGCACCTATCATAGCCAGCCCTGCGGGGACCAAGGTGGCAAGCCCAGGTCTTTGGAAGAAAGGAGCCCACCAAATACACTAGTGATTATATTATATTAAGCCCTATAATAAAGGCAGAAATACATTCTTGTTTGTATGCCTTTGTGGGTTTTTTCTGCCTCTAACTCTCTTCCTACTCCTTTATATCCCTTGTATTATCTTTTATGACCTAACTATGCCTTCAGACTACTGTAGCCCACAATGATTTCTCCCCTATGACCTTTTTATGCTCATAGTTAAGGTGACAATATTTGAGATGTTTATTGTTATCTCAGTCACAATAGGTTAGGTTACACTGGGGAAACAACCTCAAATTTCTGTGGTTTTACATAACAAGATGTATTTCTCATTTATACTACATCTGCCATGTAGGTCAACAGGCGGCTTCTGTTTATTGCAGTCATTCAGCAGGGTCCCGGCTGACAGAGGCTCTGTCTTGACATGTGCTTCCATGATCACTGCCACGAGGAAAGGAGGTTGGGGTTCGGTTTAACTAAGTGGTTAAATATTTTCCCTGAAAAATGACACCCATCACTTCTTATTTTCTTGTCCAAAACAAGTCCCATGACCACACCTTACTTCCGGGTGGGTGAAGTACAATTTTTTCTTATATGTGGATGGAAGAGAATCTGAATATTTATGAACATATGAATGATTACCACAATTGTATAGATCTTATTAGTCTGCTAGTATTTCAGGTATGTTTATCTAATTTTATCAAATGATAAAAATCTTAAAGGTAGGGGACCGTGTCCTCCTTTTTTTATTTTGTAAAACCATGTCCAGCAGAGGGCACAAAACCAGATCCTTAATACATTTTTATTTGACATTTTGATTTGAGATTTTGTAAAATCTTGTTTAAGTCTAGTTTATGTTTTCTTCAGGATCTGGACTTAACTTGTAAATTGAGGAGCTTCAGAGACATCTAAAGCTCTATGCTGTTTAGTATTCCTTGCTGGCAGAGCCAAGGGAGGAGTTTTCCAGGCAGGAAGCGTGAACTCACTGAGGCCTTTTCTAATTCTCAGACCTGTCTAAATGTCCTCAGTGATCCTCAGTCGTTTAACGCCACTCCCAAACTGTCATTTGTTCAGTTTATAACAAACCGGGCTGGTTGACAACTCAGTGATCAAGTGTCAAGAGTAGACAGACAGATGACCTTTAGAATCCTTCTGAGATTCTTTAAAGTTTCTTTCAAGGAAGATGGCGACAAAATAAATCCTGTCCCTTTAAATTTGCCGACATCCTCCTGAGACCCAGGGCCTGTAAATAGCTGGGTACTCATCTTTATGAAGCTTCCATATCTTAAGCTCTTGAGTTCCATCCATCCAGGCCTGTTCACAAGTACTCAGTTCCTGAGCTCTTACTTCACCTCTTGTCTGTGATGCCTCCCAAAACTGTGAGTGCTTAAGACAGACTCAAAATTAAAATTCAGTGTTCTTTCAAACCGATTATTTACATTTCTGTTCAACATTTATTTTAAGAAGAGGCTGCTTGAGGAAGAATTGTGATGCTTGATTACTGATGGTAGCACAAAAGCTCTCCTCTGCTGCCCTAAAAAAATCAGCTCTGACTCTGTATCAGTTACCAACATAATACTATGTAACAAACCAATCCAACATTGTGGTTTAAAACAATAGCCATGTAAGGGCTGGGCACTGTGGCTCACACCTGTAATCCCAGCACTTTGGGAGGCCGAGGCGGGCGGATCACGAGGTCAGGAGATCGAGACCATCCTGGCTAACATGGTGAAACCCCGTCTGTACTAAAAATACGAAAAATCAGCCGGGCATGGTGGCGGGCCCCTGTAGTCCCAGCTACTCGGGAGGCTGAGGCAGGAGAAGCGTGTGACCCAGGAGGTGGAGCTTGCAGTGAGCTGAGATCGTGCCACCACACACCAGCCTGGGCGACAGAGCAAGACTCTGTCTCAAAACAGCAACAACAAAACCAAAACAATAGCCATGTATGATTTCCCATGGGTCTATGGGTTCACCAGCCAGCTGTGCTCATCTGGCCAGTCTTGGCCTCTCCCAGCTGGGCTCATTCATGCATCTGTTCAGCTCGTGGGTTAGATGAAGGTGAGACAGGATATTTCCCTTGACCCCTTTGCAGGACTTGTGAAGGGGTGGTTTGTTTACTCAGCCTGCAGCTCTGAACCCCTCATGGTGGGGGGCGGAACACACAGGTGAGTAGGTACAGGAGCTGGGGTGAATGAACACTGGAACTGGCTGGTCGCTCCTCTCTGGCAGAAGCAGGCTTTATGTGGGTCCTATGGCAGCATCCAAGTGTGTTACAATGCTCTTTTAGCTCTGCTGTCTGGAAGAGGGTGTCTGTGACCCCTGCAGCTTCAGAGGGCATGTGTTACAATCAGTGCTGTTTTAGCATTTGCTATCCACAAATGGCTAAGTGTCACCCAACTGAGTGGAGGGTCAGGGTGCCAGCCTTTTACACCCTGCCCTCTTGGTACCTGAGTTCTTGTCCAGCGTCCAGGAAGAATCAGGTCACATGAATGAATTGAAGGGTGGTGTATGCAGAAGATTTTATTGAGCAGTGGAAGTGGCTCTCAGTGGGAAGGGGAGCTGGAAGGGGGATGGAGTGGGAAGATAATCTTCCCCTGGAGTTCTGCCATCCTTGGCTGAACTCTTCTCCAAAATCCTGCTGTCAGGCCATTCCTCTGAAGTCAAGCTGCTTTTATCTGACATCCAGCTGCTGCTTTTCTTCTCTCCTTCTCTGCTGCCCTGCTCTGCTCTCCTGCTAGTGGAACTTGGGGTTTTTATGAGTACAGGGTGGGGGTGGGGCTGGCAGGGGTGGTTTTGGAAAACCAACATTCTGATGGAAAAACAGGGATGTGTGAAGTTCTCATTTAGGGCTGAGGATCCAGGTTTGCCAGGGACCCCACCCTTTTCTACGTAGTATTTCCCTGCCTTATGTCCATATCAAAGGCTGCTTCATTGAGGGCCACAGCTAGGATTGCTTTGATCTCCTCCATGGACCTGTCACATGCCCATGTCTCACGCCCACACATCCCTTTGGCAGGCTAGCTTCCCTGGGTTCTCGTGACAGTCACAGAGAAACAATGGAGGAAACAGGAAGACTCACACATTTTGAAGAGCTTTTTAATGTGTCAGATTTGCTACTGTCCCATTGGTCAAAGGAGGTCACATGGCCCAGAGTCAGAGTGGGTGGGGCCTGCACAGTTACAGGATGAAAAGCCTGAATTTAAGGAGGCCATTAATTAGGGCTGTTCATGCACTCAATCCACAAGAGGCCGCAAACACGCATATCCCACACTGACAACCAAAGTTTCCAATGATCAGGACCTACTATCTCAGAGGCATTTATTTTGGGAGGAAATTTGTGTTCCGTTGCTGCGCATTTGGGAAATTACTAAGCTTTTACTGTGTATGATTGGACACCAGCTGGGTGAGGTAGGAGTGGGACCACTGGACCCTTCTTTCATTTGGGTTTGAGACTCTGGCTGCTCTGAATTACTAGAGCAATCTTGTGCAATGAGGACTTGGTCATTGTCATTATTATGGTATTGGTCATGCATTTGCAGATAGACGGTAAAACTGATGTTTTTCCTCTTGGTGGGATTTAAATTTAGAAGGGAAGGGCAAGGGATACAAGGTTTTCCATATAATGGCTTTACTCCCTAAGGAGATGTGGTCGGTCTTGGAGAGACAATAATGTCCTCAATCACAATTCAAGAGCCACTAAAATGATGTAATGCAAACAGTTTTTTTTATCAAAGGCCACAGAAACTAATTTATATGTTGTACTTTTCTGACCCTTTCTATCTTCCTAACTACAGGAGATAAATGATAAATATTACTAAAATATTACACAATTCCAGAGGGATCCCAGAACCTCTTCAACACTGCATTTGTATTATGTTGTAAAACTTCTCTTTAATTTGGCAGAAAGTATGTTTTTTTAAAAAAATAGTTTTTGGAGTCTGCAAAGAAATGCCTTGTTTGAAGTGAGTTCCTTATCTCATTCAAACTGGGACCTGCCTGTTAGCTAGGCATGCCACATTAACTGCAGCTCACATGTAGTGCCAGGGGCGACCAGGCTGTTGCTTAACAAGGATGCATAATAGCTAATTGCATTTTAGGCCATTGGTTTGTCACTGTGACAGTGCCAAGTAACGGTTTCACAAGTGAAGCAGTGAGTCCAATTCTGACTCACTTATGAGCCTGAAAATCATAAAACAGTCTGCTCCCCAGGAATATGATGTTCTCAAGGATTTTGGCTTGTACTGTAGCATGTCCCATCCACTGTCAGACTTGATTGAAATCTGTGTCTCTATTATGGATCCTTGATGTCAATCATCAATTGTCATAATCCTCAGAAGTACTTACTTAGTCTTTTCCCACGTTCTGCATCAATAGCCTGTGGAGACAAAGGCTGCAAACCAGGAAGGCAGTGTTTAACCTTCCTAATTAATGGCTTCAGATGAGAGAACATCTCCAAGGTGCTCAGAAGAAAGAGATTCTAAGGAGATTTTATGCATTGCTCTTTTGAGATGCTTTGCATGCTGGTGTATAATTTGCAAGTACATAAGGAAGTGAATGCTCAGAATATAATATTCAGAGCCCATCTATTTATGTTTGTGTTTAATAAGTTCTTTGTAAATCTCAATTTAGCAGATGTCTTCTGACTCTAAATAAAGCTCTTCATGAGGGAGTCAGTGTGGCTGTATGACAAAAGTCACATTATCATTTGAGTACAAATATTTGCAAAATAGAACAAACTGGAAAATTGAGGGGAAAATACCCACTGGAATTTGTGACTCATTAAATTCTCATGTGCATGACATATTGGGAAAAACTGTGCAGTGCTTCGTTCAGAGGATCCTTTCCCTCTTCCTTTCTTGGCTTTTGGTGCTAATAAAAACTTTATGGAATGTATGTGTATGTGTGTGTCCTCTCATGCCCCACTTTTTGCATGAGAGCATGTTCCTAGATGCGTTTATAATGTGGGTACGTGTTGTATTTTATGTTGCAAAGTCCAAAGGGTACATGAAATGGTCACTGGTCCATTGGCAGGCTTATTTCTAAGGGATGTACAATGGCTTTGTGCCTGTAATAGCCTGCTCCTCACCCATGCTCAAGTCTTTGCCCCCAAGATGACATCTCTCCAGTCTCTATCTCCTTCCTCTCTTCTGAATTTGCACGTTCTGTCTTTTTGCCACTATATGTCATTCTGTGACTGCATCCATGGTGTTTAGGTTGTCTTGGTTCTGATTTTAGTCCCAGATGTTGACATTCAATCTCTATCAGCTCCATCTTCTGTAATCTCTAAGCAGTCTTGTTTCACTTCTACATTGATCTGAGGTTTGAGGGGTCCTGGCTTCTCTGGGAGATGAACTTAAACAGAAGGGGCACCAAGATGGCATTTACAAATCTCTCCAGAGCTTCAGCCTTACAAAATTAGTTATATTCCCCCAAAATAAAACTCCCTTGCTAATCTGCTAGGGTGCCTCCACCAAGGGAAGGATCCAAATAATTCTCAACCTGATTTATGTTTTTGGCCTCTGTTACTTCTAGAACTAAGAATTCCATAAGTTTATTACACACTGTGTAAAGTAACATTTTTACTTTCTCTAAGACATCATCCTTCAAGCCTTGATTCTAGAATGTGGGGGCTCTCAACCCTGATGACTTCATCATAGCTTTTCCTGATTTATAAGTATCCAAGCCTGGCGAACATGGTGAAAACCCTATTCCTACAAAAAATAAAAAAATTAGCCGGACATAGTGGTGTGTACCTGTAGTCCCAGCTACTTGGGGGGCTGAGGTGGGAGGATCGATTGAGCCTTGGAGGCTGAGGTTGCAGTGAGCCAAGATCATGCCACTGCATTCTAGCCTGGGTGACAGAGCAAGACCTTGTCTCAAAAAAAAGTGTATGTGAGTTTCCTTCAGACTTGGAGTTTCCAGATTGAGAATTTTATTTATTATGATTAGATGACAATGTTTCTATTCATGGGTGCAGACATAACTGAGAAGACAGATGCCTAGCCAATAATTCCTTCTGTAGGCTATTCAGAAAAGAACTGCCCTTATTTGCAGTTTCCATCAGCAGGAAATACCCCTGTTTGAGGTTTGTTCTCATCATTCACTGTCTTCTTATAGTAAGCCTACCATGTCTTATGTCCAAGTTTCCTATCCAGTTAGGATTCTTTTTCCTTTGCTCTGAATGTTTCCACTTTCTGATATTGTATTTAAATATCCAATTAAAGCATTATTTTCCGTACTGCCAATTGGTATCTCCCATTGGCATTTTGATAGGGGGATTCCCATCTATGAATCATCCAAGTAGAGATGGAAAGTAAGGTGGTTGGATACTAAGTTCTGGAGCTCAAAGGAGAGATCATAGGTAAAAATATAAAGTTGGGGTCATAAGCATTGGATGATATTGAAGCCATGAGAATGGATGAGGTCTCTCAAGGAGATAATGTTGAGGAGTGAGAGGAGAATGTTGTTATGACTCAACTCACAATGACACTTCAATTCTACCTGGTTGATATTCTGCTCATCACCTGATTACAGTTATTTGTTTATGTCTTCACTTGTACAGTACTGTATCTTACAGCACAAAATTTCTTAGCTTCTTTCAAAGATTTGATTTTTAACTGTTGTTAGTGGTTTCTTTTTTGGTAATTACAACTCATCGAAGATGTCATTCAGAAAATCTTTTCTTTTTGTCCCTGGTAGTCAGGGAAATGATGCCTCTCCAAGAGCGACTGTCCATCTATCTCACCCTTGCCTCCTCTCCTACCACCACCTCCTTCCTCACCTAGTTGAGATGTCCCGAAGAGAGTTGTATGAAAGTCACCAATACCTCAGGATTAGGAGAAGCATCTAGGCTCCAGTAGGCAAATATTTCTCAGGACCATGGTCAGCATAGCACACTTGTCCTGATTTCCACTCTGCCCTCTAAGCCTTTTTCTTCTCCTTTTAAAACAGGGTCTTGCTATGTTGCCCAGGCTGGAGTGCAGTGGCTATTCACAGGTGTGATCCTAAGTGCACTGTAGCTCTGAGCTCCTGGACTCAAGTGATTATCCTGCCTTAGCCCCTTCAGTAGCTGGGACTACTGTGCCTGGTTTCTCCTTAGGTTTTAGTCATTGCTATGTCTGTGAGTCTCCATCTTCAGCTCCTGGTCTCCGTGATTGTTTCTGTCTTCCTAGGGTCAATAAACAGTGTTTGTGTAGATGAACTATGTTTCTCAAAGTTTTCTCTGCTGCTCATTTCCCACTGTCACATCTTTCAGCTGTGTCAAAAGTCCAGGAAAAGTTGGACGAGTTACCCCTCACACACTAAAATGATGAATGAAACTGGGAAAACTCTAAGGACACAAATGTGACCTATGTGATAAGCTTATATATGGCCATGAGAAAACAGTTTTTCTGTGTCTCCCAGTAGAGTGTCAGTTTGTGTGAGAGAGAAATGGACAAATACTCTTGGAGATGAGTAGCCATCAAGAGATTGCCAGGGAGGGGAAAAAAGCTTTTGGGATGTCATTTTCAAATACATGCATTTATCAAGAAAGAACCATAAGTCAACCAACCTCAAATGCAATATGAGAAATAACCCTACTGGCAGTTGAGAGTTGGGAGCTCCTTCCTCAAGAAGGAATATGTGAGATCTGCATGTTCCAGTCTAGCAGCTTCTGCAAACTGGAAGAGTTGTTCTTCGCCCCACTCAGTTAGGGATGGAGCTTGATGTCATGGTGAGATCCCTAAGAACATGCAGAACTTCCTGAGCATGAGTAGTGTGGTGCCTCGGAGGACACACTCTGATAGCTTTGAAGCCAGTGGAGGATATCCAGCTGTTTTTAGGGTTGTCCTGATGTGTGGGATGTGTTTAATCTTGGGTTGCATGTTTATGTTCATAATTATGCAGACTGCTTGTGACTCATAATTGTGTGCATGCCATCACGGGCGTGCCTCTGGAGGCATTCTCATGAGATTAGGGAAATATCTTGATGGGGTTTGTGGGTCAAAAGATTTGATTGTATGATGGATTCCTGCTCTATTCCTTTACCCTAAGTTAGAGTGTATTCTGGTCTATTTCTAGGATGTTGCCAGTATGTGTGTGTGTGTGTGTGTGTGCATGCGTGTATGTGTGTATTTTTTATGATAAAATAAGAATGCCTACTTTCAATTTGGTAAAAAAATCCACCCAGCTCTCAAAATAAAGTAACTCCAAATCCGCTTAGTAAGAACATATTCTTATTAGAGCTTAACTGTGGCTGAAGGGTGAGGGACAAAAAGAAATCTCTGGAGTCAGCAGGATTGCCCAGGAAGCTTGCATTCATTGCCAGTATCCACTCTTTTCTGGTTCCTGTAGCCCTGTGTCCTGGCACTGTGTTCTTAGCCTCTGTCAGTTCCTTCCTGCTGTGCCCCTGCTCAGCTGTGAATACTGAAGCCTTCACAGGGTTAGAACTGCCCAGTGATTGAGCATAGCTTTGCATTCTATCAGTGTGAATGTCCACCGTGGGTGATGCCTGGATTTAATCTGCAACCTGAAGGGATAATCCTTTGGTTATCTAAAGGGCACTAGATACCCAGAAAGCTGTAGCCTTTATTCCCCCTCATCATCACTATGTGGACCCTGTCTGCATGAGGAAATTTCTGTCCCAGTTTTGAGTTTGTCCACCATAGTGGTCTCAGCATTTCTTAAAGCCAAGCCAGCCCACACCACCAACATATTTAAAATAGTATGTTCTTACTCTCATAAGTCTTGTATTGCTGTTGGTTTCATTAGTTGAGTATGTTACAGGCTAAACTATGGTCTCCTCTAAGGTTCCACGAGCAATTTGAGGCCAAGAGAAAATAACTGTGACAGTATTATGTTATTAATAACATAAAATCAATTCACTCATTAATTGCATGAAACCAAATAGACAGTGGGGCAGCAACGATTACAGATTTTCTCTGACATGGTTCCCCTCCTCAACCAGTTCCCTTTGGAGGCATGCTAGGCTTGTTGGCCCACTGCCCTCATGATAGCATGATGGCAGGAGAGTAAGAGGACTGAAATAGCTGAGTGTCTCTGGGCTGGATCTTCACACAGTCTTTAATTTGGCGAGTCATGTTGTAGGCATGGTAACCTAATTATTTCCTGGACAGAATTAACTACACATGTATATTCACCTTCTCTACCTTACTTGCTATCAAAGATCACATCTTTCTCCAGGGCCCTGATGCTACTTTTATATCCATTCTCTCCTGCATCACCAGTTACTCCTTCTGAGCTGGTGATTTCCAACAGCATATAAATATGCTGTAAGATCTCCCATGTTAAAAGACTTTCTCTTGACTCCACTTTTCAGCTCGCCTAAATAGAGAAACTTTTGGAATGCATTATCTGTACTTACTGCCTCCATTTCTTTATCTCTCATTCATACTTTAACTTCAGTCAAGTTTCTCCCCAGCACTCCCACTTAAATGTTTTTTCTGTCCACTGAAACCATTCTCCTTAAGGGTAGGTACCAATGGCTTCCATGCTGTCCATCCAAAGGGCTGTTCTCTGGCCTCATTAGATTTGACCTTTAAGCAGCATCAACCACTCCAGTTGTTGGCTGGTTGACCTTTTCCTCCATTTACCATCACTTCCATCTCTTGGCTTCCAAAAAACACTGAACTCTGTTGGTTTTCCTCCAATATCATCAATTGATATGGTTTGGCTCTGTCTCCACCCAAAATCTCATCTTGAATTGTAGTCCCCATAATCCCCATAATCCCCATGTATCGGCGAGGGGCGGGGGCGGGGACCAAGGGTGAAGGTAATTGGATCATGGGTACGGTTCCCCTCATGCTGTTCTTGTGATAGTGAGTGAGTCTCACAAGATCTGATGGTTTTATAAGCATCTGGCATTTCCCCTGCTTGCACTTCTCCTTCCTGCTGTCCTGTGAAGAAGGTACCTTTCTTCCCCTTCTGCCATGATTGTAAGTTTCCAGAGGCCTTCCCAGCCATGTGGAACTGTGAGTCAATTAAACCTCTTTCCTTTATAAATTACCCAGTCTCAGATATTTCCTTATAGCAATGTGAGAACAAATTAATACAGTAACTGCTCCTTTTCAGCCTCTTTTGCTGGTTTTTCTTTCTCTACCTAATTTCCAAATGTTGGCACATCTTGGAATTCAATCTTGAGCTCTTTTCCTTTTCCATCCACACTCCCCGCAAGGTTTTAGTATAACATCTCCTGATTAAGTCTAACTTGGACCTACCCCACTTAGCTTCTTACTCACCTATCCAGTCCCCTATCAGTTTTTCTCATTTGAATGTCCACATGACTTCTGAAACTTAATGTGTTACAAATGGAGGGGTTTCTTTCTCTCACAAACCTAGTCTTCTTGAGTATTAACCTTTCCAATAAATGGCATTACCAAACTCTCAGTTGCTCAAGCCAAAAGTCTAAACATAATACTTGACTTTCCCCATTCCTTCAACTCCCACATTCAATCGCTCAGAATTCTTGTTGGTTCTACCTCAAAAATAGATTTAAAATCTGTCCAGTTCTCCCCATCTTCACCACTGCCATGTAGGTCCAACTGGCATCATTGTGCTTAGTCTTGCCCCCTTTCAACCCATTCCCTAGTTAACAAAATTAGTTTTTTTTTCTTTTTCATTTGAGACAGTCTTGCTCTGTTGCTCAGGCTGAAGTGCAGTGGCAGGATAATGGCTCACTGCAGGCTCCACCTCCTAGGCTCAAGCAATCCTCCCACCTCAGCCTCTCAAGTTGTTGAGACTACAGACACGTGCCACCACACCCAGCGAATTTTTTATTTTTTGTAGAGATGGGGTCTTGCCATGTTGCCCAGGCTGGTCTCAAACTCCTGGGCTCAAGTGATCCTCTTCCCTCAGACTCCCAAAGTACTGGGATTACAGGTGATTTTTTCAAATAACATAAACTAGATATGTCACTCTCCTGCTTAAAATTCTTTAATAACTCCCTATTTCTCTTACAATAAATTTTGAACTCACCTTGACCTATAAGTTATGTCTAATTTGTCTGCTGCACTTCTCAGATGTATTTTATACCATGCTTCCCTCTCATTCACTGCTTCCTAACCACACTGGCCTTTCTGTTACTCAAATGCATGGAGCCATCTTTTGCCTTCAGGCATTCTCATTCACCGTGTCTGAATCCCATTCATTCATTTTCACACAGCCATCTTATATTCAGGGCTCAGCCCAAATATTACCTTTTTTAAGGACCTCTTCTGACCATTCCTTCTAAAGTGTTCCCCCGTTTTACCCTCTATTGCCCCACCTGGTTCTTTCTTCCTAATGCTCATTATAATATGTAAATATCTTATTTTTTTTAGCTAGTTGCTTGATTATTATTTGTCCTTCTCCTTTATTGGATTGCAAGCTTTATGAGCAGGGGTCTTATCTGTCTTGTTCAACTACGCTTGCCACATAGTTGGTGCTCTGCAAATATTTGTTGAATAGATGAATGAATGAGTAAATGATGAGTGAATGTCTCTGGAAATCATATTATTCTAGAGCCTCTTCAACATCACTTTGCTTTTACTTTGCTTGAGGATTCTTCTCCCATGTCTGTTACTGATTTCCCAAACAAGAAAAAGTAAAGTTCTAAGTGCCCAAGTATTCCACTCTGTATAAAGTTTGTAAGCACTATATTTAGAAGAGGTTGGCAAACATAAGCTCTCAAGTTCGATTAAATTCTGGCATGGTAAAAGTACTAATGGAGACAGTGAGCTCTAGTTGATATCTGGACAGGGAGTTTCTGACCATTTGTATCATATACGTCTATGAAACAGGCAGTTCTTGGAGCATAAGACATAGCAAATACAATTTAGTACTTTGAGGGAGACTGACTCTTTTAGCCAAGCTGGCTTAGTCTCTTTATTATGAAGAATATTGATCATAAGATCCAATTTGATTTGGCCAGTCATGTTATCAAGGAGTAGCCTTGCAAAAATCTCTAGACAGGTAATCTTACTTATGATAAATTAGATCTCTGCTAAGAAATTCTCTAAGGTATACAAGTACGGCACCAACTAAAGATTGTGATCTGCATCTTAGCCCTAGGCCTATAAATATAACTCAGTCAAGTTCATGTCCACATTTTCATGATGTATCCAAATCTGTGTTTTGATTCGGACACTCATAGCATGTCTTTTAAATACAATTCTCAGACCCAAAGAATTTGGTCAAAATGGTCCTACCAATTTAATGTTCTTCTGTTTTTTAAAAATTATTTTAAGTTAATATACCAAAAATTGACTTTGTTGTATGTATAGTTTTTTATAAATTTAGCACATGTAAAAATTTATGAAACTACCTCTGCAATTAGGGTACAGAACAGTTGCAGCACCAGAAGACACTGTTGTTCTACTCCCTTTTAGTGACACCCTACACCACCCCAGCCCCAACAACCACTGATCCATCGCTATAATTCTTTTCTTTTTGAGGATATTATATAAATGGAATGATACAGAACATAGCCTTTTGATACTGGCTTCTTTCACTTAGCGTAAATACCCTTAACATTCACCCAATTTGCTGCATGCATCAGTAGACTGTTCATTCTTATTGTGAAGTAGTATTTCATTGTATAGCTGCATCTGTTTATCCCTTTACCCAATGAGGGACAGTTAGATTGTTTCCAGTTTTAGGTCGTTAAGACTAGAGTTGATATTTACATTTGTATACAGGTTTTTGTGTGAATGTATGTTTCATTTCACTACAGTAAACATCTAGGAGTGGGATTGCTGGATCATATGGTAAGCGTATCTTTAACTTTATAAGAAACTGCCAAAATGCTTTTCATAAAAGCTGTGCTGTTTGGCATTCTCACAGCAATGTATGAGAGCTTTAGCTGACCCACATGCTTGCAGCACTTACTAAATCAGACTTTATCAACTTCTTAACTTTTGCTCTGTGACAGACACTTTTAAGAGACTGAAAAGACTAGCTGCAGACTTGGAAAAAAATATTTGTAAGTCACATATCTGACAAAAGACTCTTGAATACATAAAGAACTCTCAAAACTCAAAAAATTAAGAACACAGTTTAAAAATTGGCAAAAGACTTACACAGGTATTCACTAGCAATGATATATAGGCCAGGCACAGTGGATAATGCCTGTAATCCCAGCACTTTGGGAGGGATTATATTTATATTTACCTTTATAAATATGGTCACTATTTTCAATTTTATTCATTCTAATATGCATGTAGTGATATCTAATTGTGGTTTTAATTCGCATTTCTGTGATGGCTAATGATACTGAACAACTTTTCATTGATATCTATATATCATTGGGTTTTTTTTTTTTTTTTTTGAGTCTAGCTGTGTTGCCCAGGCTGGAGTGCCGATATGTGATCTCAGCTCACTGCAACCTTTGCCTCTGGGGTTCAAGCAGTTTTTATGCTTCAGCCTCCCGAGTAGCTGGGATTAAGGTGCATGCCACTACGCCTGGCTAATTTTTGTATTTTTAGTAGAGACAAGGTTTCACCATGTTGGCCAGGCTGGTCTTGAACTCCTGGACTCAAGAGATCTGCCCTACTCAGCCTCCCAAAGTGCTGGGATTACAGGCATTATCCACTGTGCCTGGCCTATATATCGTTAGTTGTATCTGTTTAAGTCTTTTGCCAGTTTTTAAATTGGATTCTTCACTTTTTGAGTTTTGAGAGTTCTTTATATATTCAGGAGTCTTTTGTCAGATATGTGACTTACAAATATTTTTTCCAAGTCTGCAGCTAGTCTTTTCAGTCTCTTAAATGTGTCTGTCACAGAGCAAAAGGTAATAATTTGATAAAGTCTGATTTATTAATTTTTCTGTGGATTATGTGTTTGGTTCACTTCTAGGAACTCGTTGCCTAACTCCAGATCACAAAGGTTTTCTCCTAAAAATTTTAGATTTCTATTTTCACCTTTTAACCTATGATACATTTTGAGTTAATTTTTGTGTAAGTTATGAGGCCTAGGTTGAGGTTTCGTATTTTTGCATAAGGATGTTCCAACACCACTTGTCAAAAAGACTATCCTTTCTCCATTGAGTTACTTTTACCTTTGTCAAAAATTGGCTATACTTGTATGGCTTATTTATGGATCCTCCATTTTGTTCCACTGATCTATATATCTATTTCTGACCAACATTATGTTTTTTTGATTACTGTAGGTTTTACTAATCTTAAATTTAGGGAGTGTTGTTCTTTATTCTTATTTTTAAAAATTGTTTTGGCTATTCTAGTTGCTTGTCTTTCTGTATAAATTTGAGAATTGGCTTTTATATGCAAAAATCCTGTTGAGATTTTGATAGAAATGGTATTAAATCTCTAGATTAATTTGGATAGCATTATCATTTTTTACTTTGTTGACTCTTCTAATTCACAAACATGGTATATTTGTCTGATTGGGCTGCTGTAATGAAATACCATTGACTGAGTTTAGTTTAACAGCAGGAATTTATTTTCTTACAGTTCCGGACACTAGGTGTCCACGATCAAGGTGCCAGTAGGGTTGGTGTCTGGTGAGGGGTCTCCCCTTAGGTTGTAGATGGCCACCTTCTCATTGGGTCCTTATATGATCTCTTTCTTGTGTATGTGTGGAGAGAGAGAGAGTGGGCTCACTGGTGTCTCTTCTTATAAGGACACTAATCCTATTGGATCAAGGCCCCACTCTTACGACCTTATTTAACTTTGTTTCCTTAGCGCCCCTCATCTCCACAAATATAACCCCTTAAGGGGTTAGGGCTTTAACATATAATTTGTGGTGGGGGTGTACAGAAACATTCAGTTCTTAACACACAGTATGTTTCTTCATTTATTTAGGTTTTCTTTAATTTCTTCCATTAGTGCTTTGCTTTCAGCATATCTTATATATATTTTGCTAGATTTATAGCTAAATATTTTCTCTTTGGAACTATTGTAAATGGCACTGTATTTTTTTTAATTTTAGGTTTTTTTTCATTTTTCTTTAACTTTTATTTTAGGCTTAGGGATACATATGCATGTTTGTTATATAGGTAAACTTGTGTCACAGGGGTTTGGTGTACAAATTATTTTGTCACCCATGTACTAAACATAGTACTCATGATATGGTTTGGCTGTGTCCCCACCCAAATCTCATCTTGAATTGTAGCTTCCACAATTCCCATGTGTTCTGGGAGGGGCCCAGTGGGAGGTAATTGAATCATGGGGGCAAGTCTTTCCTGTGCTGTTCTCATGACAGTGAATAAGTCTCACAAGATCTGATGGTTTTATAAAGGGGAGTTTCCCTGCGCAAGTTCTGTTATTTTCTCTTGTCTGCCACCACGTAAGATGTGCCTTTTGCCTTCTGCCATGATTGCAAGGCCTCCCCAGCCATGTGGAACTGTGAGTCCATTAAGCCTTGTTTTCTTTATAAATTACACAGTCTTGGGTATGTTTTTATCAGCAGTGTGAAAACGGCCTAATACAACTCACTAGTTATTTCTTATGCTCTTCTTCATCCTCCCACCGTCTACCTTCAAGTAGGCCCCAGTGTCTGTTGCTCCTTTCTTTGTGTCCATGTGTTCTCGTTATTTAGCTCCCACTTACAAGTGAGAATGCATGATATTTGGTTTTCTGTTCCTGCATTAGTTTGCTAAGGATAATGGCCTCCAGCTCCATTCATGTTCCTTTAAAGGATGTGATCTCATTCCTTTTCATGGCTGCATAGTATTCCATGCTGTATATGTACCACATTTCCTTTATCCAGTCTTGTCATTGATGAGCATTTATGCTGATTCCATGTCTTTGCTATTGTGAATAGTGCTGCAAATTTGAATGCAAACATTTTGAGTGCATGTGTCTTTGTGGCAGAATTTATATTCCTTTCAGTATATACTCAATAATGGGATTGCTGGACTAAACGGTAATTCTGTTTCAAGTTCTTTGAGGAATCATCATACTGCTTTGCACAATGATTGAACTAATTTACACTCCTGCCAACAGTGTATAAATGTTCCCTTTTCTCCACAACCTTTCTAACATCTGTAATTTTTTGACTTTTTAATGATAGCCATTCTGCTTGGAGAGAGATGACATCACATTGTGGTTTTGATTTGCATTTCTCTAATGATTACTGAAATTAAGCATTTTTTTCATATGCTTGTTGGCTGTGTGTTTGCTGTCTTTTGAAAAGTGTCTGTTAATGTTCTTTGTCCACTTTTTAATAGGGTTGTTAGTTTTTTGCTTGTAAATTTGATTAAGTTCCTTATAGATGCTGGATATTAGGGTTTTGTCAGATGTATAGTCAGATGTATAGATGTATAGGGAAATATTTTTTCCCATTCTGTAGATTGTCTGTTTACTCCATTGATAGTTTTTTTTTTTTTTTTTTTGCTATGCAGATGCTCTTTAGTTTGATTAGATCCCATTTATCAATTTTTGCTTTGTTGTAATTGGTTTTGGCATGTTTGTCCTAAAATCTTTGCCTATTCCTATGTCCAGAATGGTACTTCCTAGGTTATCTTCCAGGGTTTCTATAGTTTTACATTTAAGTTTTTAATTCAGGTTGAGTTGATTTTTGTGTATGGTATAAGGAAGGGTTCCAGCTTCAATTTTCTCTGTATAGCTAGCCAGTTATCTCAGAACCATTTATTGAATAGGGAGTCCTTTTCCTATTGCTTGTTTTTGTTAGCTTTGTTGAGGATCGGATGGTTGTAGGTGTGCAGCATTATTTCTGGGCTCCCTATTCGGTTCCATTGGTCTATGTGTCTGTTCTTCTACCAGTACCATATTGTTTTGGTTGGTTACTATAGCCCTGTAGTATAGTTTGAAGTTGGGTAGCAAGATGCCTCCAGCTTTGTTCTTTTGGCTGAGGATTGTCTTGGCTATTTGGGCTCTTTTTTGTTTCCATATAAATTTTAAAATAAATTTTTCTAGTCCTGTGAAGAATGTCATTGGTAGTTTGATAGGAATAGCATTGAATCTGTAAATTGCTCTGGGCAATATGGACATTTTAATGATATTGATTCTTCCTATCCATGAGCATGGAATGTTTTTCCATTTGTTTGTGTCATCTCTGATTTCTTTGAGCAGTGGTTTGTAATTATCATTGTAGAGATCTTTCACCCCCCTCCCCCTGGTAGCTGTATTCCTAGGCATTTTATTCTTTTTGTGGCAATTGTGAACAGGATTGTGGTCCTGATTCAGATCTTGGCTTGGATGTTGGTAGTGTATAGGAATGCTACTCATTTCCTACGTTGATGTTGCATCCTTAAACTTTGCTGAAGTTGTTTATCAGCTTAAATAGCTCTTGGGCAGAAACAATGGGATTTTTCTAGATATAGAATCATATCACCTACAAACAGGGATAGTGTGACTTCCTGTCTTCCCATTTGGATGACTTATATTTCTTTCTCTTGCCTTATTGCTTTGGCCAGGACTTCCAATACTATATTGAATAGGAGTGGTGAGACAGTGTATCCTTGTCTTGTGTCATTTTCCAAGGGGGAATGTTTCCAGCTTTTGCCCATTCAGTATGATGTTGGCTGTGGGTTTTTCATAGATGGCTCTTATTATTTCAAAGTATTGAAATATTCAATGCATAGTTTATTGAGGATTTTAAACTTTAAGGGATGTTGAACTTTACCAAAAGACTTTTCTGTATCTATTGAGATAATCGTGTGGTTTTAGTCTTTAGCTCCATTCATGTGATGAATCACATTTATTGATTTGCATATGTTGAAGCAACCTTGCATCCCAGGGCTAAAGCCTACTTGATTGTGGTGGATTAGCTTTTTGACGTGCTGCTGGATCCACATTGCTAGCATTTTGTTGAGGATTTTTGCATTTATGTTCATCAGAGATATTCACCTGAAGTTTTCTTTATTTTGTTGTTTCTCTGCCAGGTTTTGGTGTCAGGAAAATGCTGGCCTCACAGAATGAATTGAGGAGGAGCTCCTCCTCCTCATTTTTTGGAATAGTTTCAGTAGGAATGGTAACAGCTCTTCTTAATACATCTCCTAGAATTTAGCTGTGAATCCATCAGGTCTGGGCCTTTTTTTTTTGGTTGGCAGGCTCTTTATTACTGATTCAGTTTCAGAGCTCATTATTGGTATGGTCAAGGATTCAGTTTCTTCCTGGTTTAGTCTTGGGTTGATGTATGTGTCCAGAAATTTTTCCATTTCTTCTAGATTTTCTAGTTTTGTGCATAGAGGTGTTCATAGGGTCTTTGATGTTTTTTGTATTTCTGTGAGGTCAGTGGTAATGTCCCCTTTGTCGTTTGTAATTGTGTTTATTTGGATTTTCTCTCTTTTTTCTTTATTAGTCTAGCAATCTATCTATTTTATTAATTTTTTTCAAAGAACCAACTCCTGGATTCATTTATCTTTCATATGGTTTTTCATATCTCAATTTCCTTTAATTCAGCTCTGATTTTGGTTATTTCTTGCCTTCTGCTAGCTTTGGGATTGTTTTGCTCTTGCTTCTCTAGTTCTTCTAGCTGTGATTTTAGGTTGTTAATTTGAGATCTTGCTAACTGGGGAGGAGCCAAGATGGCCGAATAGCAACAGCTCTGGTCTACAGCTCCCAGCGTGAGCCACGCAGAAGACGGGTGATTTCTGCATTTCCATTGAGGTACCGGGTTCATCTCACTAGGGAGTGCCAGACAGTGGGCGCAGGTCAGTGGGCACAGCGCACCGTGCGCGAGCGGAAGCAGGGTGAGGCATTGCCTCACTCGGGAAGTGCAAGGGGTCAGGGAGTTCCCTTTCCTAGTCAAAGAAAGGGGTGACAGACGGCACCTGGAAAATCGGGTCATTTCTACCCGAATACTGCACTTTTCCAACAGGCTTAAAAAACGGCGCACCAGGAGATTATATCCCGCACCTGGCTTGGAGGGTCCTATGCCCACGGAGTCTCGCTGATTGCTAGCACAGCAGTCTGAGATCAAACTGCAAGGCGGCAGCGAGGCTGGGGGAGGGGCGCCCACCATTGCCCAGGCTTGCTTAGGTAAACAAAGCAGCCAGGAAGCTGGAACTGGGTGGAGCCCACCACAGCTCAAGGAGGCCTGCCTGCCTCTGTAGGCTCCACCTCTGGGGGCAGGGCACAGACAAACAAAAAGACAGCAGTAACCTCTGCACACTTAAATGTCCCTGTCTGACAGCTTTGAAGAGAGCAGTGGTTCTCCCAGCATGCAACTGGAGATCTGAGAACGGGCAGACTGCCTCCTCAAGTGGGTCCCTGACCCCTGACCCCTGAGCAGCCTAACTGGGAGGCACCCCCCAGTAGGGGCAGACTGACACCTCACACGGCTGGGTACTCCTCTGAGATAAAACTTTTAGAGGAACGATCAGACAGCAGCATTTGCGGTTCATGAAAAACCACTGTTCTGCAGACACCACTGCTGATACCCAGGCAAACAGGGTCTGGAGTGGACCTCTAGCAAACTCCAACAGACCTGCAGCTGAGGGTCCTGTCTGTTAGAAGGAAAACTAACAAACAGAAAGGACATCCACACCAAAAACCCATCTGTACATCACCATCATCAAAGACCAAAAGTAGATAAAACGCCAAAGATGGGGAAAAAACAGAGCAGAAAAACTGGAAACTCTAAAAAGCAGAGCACCTCTCCTCCTCCAAAGGAACGCAGTTCCTCACCAGCAATGGAACAAAGCTGGACGGAGAATGATTTTGACGAGTTGAGAGAAGAAGGCTTCAGATGATCAAACTATGAGCTACAGGAGGAAATTCAAACCAAAGGCAAAGAAGTTAAAAACTTTGAAAAAAATTTAGATGAATGTATAACTAGAATAACCAATACAGAGAAGTGCTTAAAGGAGCTGATGGAGCTGAAAGCCAAGGCTCGACAACTACGTGAAAAATGCAGAAGCCTCAGGAGCCGATGCAATCAACTGGAAGAAAGGGTATCAGTGATGGAAGGTGAAATGAATGAAATGAAGCGAGAAGGGAAGTTTAGAGAAAAAAGAATAAAAAGAAATGAGCAAAGCCTCCAAGAAATATGGGACTATGTGAAAAGACCAAATCTACGTCTGATTGGTGTACCTGAAAATGATGGGGAGAATGGAACCAAGTTGGAAAACACTCTGCAGGATATTATCCAGGAGAACTTCCCCAATCTCTAGCAAGGCAGGCCAACATTCAGATTCAGGAAATACAAAGAATGCCACAAAGATACTCCTCGAGAAGGGCAACTCCAAGGCACATAATTGTCAGATTCACCAAAGTTGAAATGAAGGAAAAAATGTTAAGGGCAGCCAGAGAGAAAGGTCGGGTTACCCTCAAAGGGAAGCCCATCAGACTAACAGCTGATCTCTCGGCAGAAACTCTACAAGCCAGAAGAGAGTGGGGGCCAATATTCAACATTCTTAAAGAAAAGAATTTTCAACCCAGAATTTCATATCCAGCCAAACTAAGCTTCATAAGTGAAGGAGAGATCTTGCTAACTTTTTGATGTGGGTGTTTAGTGCTATAACTTTTCCTCTTAACACTGCCTTAGCTGTGTCCCACAGATTCTGGTATATTGTATCTTTGATCTCACTAGTTTTGAAGGACTTCTTTATTCTTCTCTAATTTTATTATTCACCCAAAAGTCATTCAGGAGAAGGTTGTTTAATTTCCATGTAATTATATGGCTGTGAGCAATTTTCTTAGTTTTGATTTCTATTTTTATTGCATTCTGCTCTGAGAGTGTAATTGGCATGATTTTTAAAAAATTGCTGAGAACTGTTTTATGCCTGACTGTGTGGTCAATTTTAGAGTATATGCCATGTGGTAATGAGAAGAATGTATATTCTGTTGTTTTTAGGTGGAGAGTTCTGTAGATGTCTACTAGGTCCATTTAGTTAAGTATTGAGTTCAGGTTCTGAATATCTTTGTTAATTTTCTGCCTCGAGGATCTGTCCAATCCTGTAAGTGGGATGTTGAAGTCTCCCACCATTATTGTGTGGGAATCTAAGTCTCTTCATAGGTCTCTAAGAACTTGCTTTATGAATCTGTGTGCTCCTGTGTTGGATACATATATACTTAGGATAATTAGGTTTTCTTGTTGAATTAAGCCCTTTGCCATTATGTAATTTCCTTCTTTGTCTTTTTTGATCATTGTTGGTTTAAAGTCTATTTTGTCTGAAATTAGGATTGCAACCCTTGATATTTTCTGTTTTCCATTTGCTTGTGCCATTTTCCTGTCTTTATTCCCTGTCTCTTTCAGGGATGCCAATGAGTCATAGATTTGATCTGTTTACATAATCCCATATTTCTTGGAGGTTTTGTTTATTCCTTTTCATTATTTTTTCTTTATTTTTGTCTGATGGTCTTATTTTAGAAAGCCAGTCTTCAATCTCTGAGATTCTTTCCTCAGCTTGGTCTATTCTGCTGTTACTACTGCAATTGCATTATGAAATTCTTGTAGTGTATTTTTTAGCTCTATCAGATCAGTTAGGTTCTTTTTTACACTGTTTTGTCTGTCAGCTCTTGAATCGTTTTATTGTGATCCTTAGATTCCTTTGATTGGGTTTTGATGTTTCCCTTAATCTTGATCTTCATTCCTATTCATATTCTGAATTTTATTTCTGTTGTTTCAGCCATCTCAGCCCAGTTAAAAACCCTTGCTGGAAAACTAGAGAGGTTGTTTGGAGGAATGAAGACACTTTGGTCTTTTGAATTGCCTGGTTCTTTCTCATCTCTGCATGTGGGTGTTCCTTTAACTGTGGTGTAGATTGAGTACACTCAATAGACTTCTTTTCTGGATGTTTTCAGAGGGTGAGGCTTTGTGCAGGGTCTTTGTAGCGGAATTCTTGTTGGTTTCACAGTGGGTTATGTTTGCAAAGTATTTTTGGTGTTGAAGTTTGGGGTTTGATCCACTAGGTGGCACTTAAGTATAATGAGCCCCCAGGCTCTTTGTTTCTTCCCCAGACCAAGGACAGCATGGGCAGAACCGCTGCTGTGGCCGCGACAGAGGGGCTGTCGGTTGCCTCTGGGAGTCTCTCCCCAGGGACACCCAGAGCCACTGCCAGTGGGTGCGCTCAGCCAGGGCAGCTGTTCTGCGATCCCGAGCTGGCGGCCCTGCCTGGTGGAGAGGGCAGGGTAGGGGCTCCCCGGGAAGACGGGCTAGACTCCTTTCTGTATGGTGGCTGCTGTGTGCTGGAGGTCCCAGCCTAGAGACTAGGCCTTTTGTTCTTAGGTTGACTCCGGCATTTCTTCCTGGGAGAAATGCTGGGCTGCCTCTGATTGAAGTGTTTCCGCAGGCAGGGTGGCTGTCCTGGCGTCCCAGGTTAGGCGGCCCCCAGTCCGTGAGAAGTGAGGGTGGGACCTGCATAGGGAGGGGAACAGTCCTGCCGCTTTTCCGTGAGGCAGCTGCTCTGTGCTAGGGGTCCGTACCATCCCCTGTCCCAACAGACTTTCTAGGCCGGCCCTCCCTCTGGGAGCTCTTCCCCAGGGAGGCGAGGAGCTGCTACTGGCCCGATTGCCCTGGAGGGGGTGGGGGTGAGGGGACTGCCGGGGGTGGTGGGTGGAGTCCCAGGTTGAGAGGTCTTGCCCAGTGAGGAAAAATGGGGTGGAGGACCCATGTAAAAAACGATCTGAATGCTTTTTTATAGGGCAGCTGCACTGTGCCGGGGGGCCAGTCAGTCCCTCATCACCCTGGGCTCTCCAGTGCCTGAAGGCAGCAACAGCAAAGGCTGCAAAACAGCAAAGATGGTGGCCCACCCCTCCCTCCGGGAGCTCCCTCTCAGGGAGGCGTGGAGCTGCTACCATGGTCACATGTGGCTGGAGTTCCAGGTCAGTGGGTCTTACCCCACCAGGTGCCGTGGAAGTGAGGCCTGCAGACTGTCTCTGCTCAGCCCCTTGGATTCAGCCCCTTTCCCTTAAGGGAGCCTAACCTACCCCTTTGCCAGAGCTGTGGCTGCTAATCCTGGGATGCCCGGGGACCAAAGGCTCCTAGGACCCTGATCAGTGGCTCTGCCCAGACTCCACCTAGCTCTGTGTGTCAGAGTGAACCCTGGTAGTAGGTTCATGAGGGGGACCTCCTGACCTCAGCGTTGCAAAGGTCTGTGGAAGAAGCGTGGGTCCCTGGGATCTCTCACTCAGTCACTGTTCCCATGGAAGGGGAGCCTCCTCTGGCTCCTTGCCTCTCCCAGATGGGTGGTTGTCCTGCCTGGCTCCTCTCTATTCTCTGTGGATCGAGTTATTTCCTTGATGATTCCCAGTGTGCACACCTGGATGTTTCCGGCACATACTAGCTACTTCTAGTTGGCTGTCTTCGATCAGTCTTTAAAATTTTAATTTTCAGTGTTTGTTTTGGTATATAGAAGTAAGATTGAATTTTGTGTGGTAACCTTGTATCCTGAGGCCTTGTTAAACTCACATATTAATTTATTGTTTTTTTTCTATGTGAACAGTCATATTATTTATGAATAGGGACAGTTTTATTTCTTCCTTTCTATTCTGTATGTCTTTTTTCGTTTTCTTGTTAGTTACTCTGGCTAAGACTTCCTGATAGTGAATGGGAGAAGTAAAAGTGAATATTCTTGCTTTGTTCCCGGTTTTAGCTTGAAAACATTCAGCTGACCTTAAGTATGATGTTAGCTGTAGGTTAGATGCCTTTTAGGAGGTTGAGGATGATCTCTTCTATTCCTGGTTTGTAAGAATTTTTATCATAATGAATTTGGATTTTTTTTTCAAATGCTTTTTCTGCATCAGTCTATAATCATGTGACATTCCTTCTCTAGAACTTTAATATGGTGGGTTACATGATTGAGTTTCAGACATGAACCAGCCTTGCGTTCCAGGGCTATACCCTGCTTGATTGTGGTGTGTTATTCTTTTTATACACTGCTGGATTCAATTTACTGATACTTTGTTGAGGATTTTTTCATCTATGTTTATTAGAGAATTTGGTCTTTAATTTTCTTTTCCTTGTACTCTTATTGTGCAGTTTTGGTATCAGGGTAATGGCCTCTGACTTCGCAAAATGAGCTAGGAAGTATTCTCTGCCCTTCTATTTTCTGGAAAAGATTAACATAATTTGCATGTTGCTTTTTAAAATGTTTGGTAAAATTCACCAGTGAAGGTATCTGGGCCCCCAAATTTTTGTTCAGAAGGTGTTATTAATTCGATTTCGTTGATAGTCATAGAACTATTCTGGTTACCTATTTCATCTGGGTGATTTTTTTAGTTTGTGTTTTTTGAGCAGTTTGTTCATTTCACCTCAGTTGTCAAATTTATGTGCATAGAGTTGTTTGGAGTATTCCCTTATTGTTCTTTTGATACTGTGTGGTCTATAATGATAGTCCCTCCTTCATTCTTGATATTGGCAATTACTCTATTTTCTCTTTTTCTCTTTGTTAGTTTTGCTAGAGTTTTATCAATTTCATTGACCTTTTCAAAGAAGGAACTATTTGTTTTACTAATTTCCTCTTTTTTTGCTTTCAGTTTCATGGATTACTGCTGTTTATTTCCTTCTCTCTTCTTGCTTTGGTTTTATTTTACTATTCTTTTCCTAGTTAAAGAGGAAAAGACTATTTGAAGCATTTATTTTCTTTTACTATAAACATTTAATGTTGATTTCACCCAGCACTGCCTCAGAGGCATATCACAATTTTTGATGTGTTTTATTTTTATTTTCTGATAGCTAAAATTAAAAAAAATTTCCTTGAGACTTCCTCTTTGAAACATGGATTATTTTGAAGTAAAGTGTTTGGGGATTTTTCTGTTATCTTTGTTACCCATTTCTAATTTAATTCTATCATAGTTAGAGGTCATACTTTCCATGATTTCCATTCTTTTCATTTTGCTAAGGTTTATTTTATGACTCAGGAGATGGTGACTGTTCCATGTATACTTGAAAAGAATGTGTATTTCACTATTGTTGTGGAGAATGTTTACTATATGTTAACCAGAGCAAGTGGATTAGTGGTGTTGTTCAGTTCTTCTATGTCTTTGCTGATTTTTTTTCCATCTACTAGTTGTATCTATTACCTAGAGAGGAGTGTTGAAGTCTCCAAACGTAACTGTGGCTTTTTCTGTTTCTCGTTCAGTTCTGTCAGCTTTTCTTCAGGTATTTTGAGACTGTGTTGTTAATTGTATATGCATTAAGGAATGTATGTTTTCTTGGTGAATTGACCCTTTTATCATTATATAATGTCCCTCTTTATCTCTGAAAATTTTCTTTGTTATAAAGATACTTTATGTGATACTAATACAGCCATGCCACTTAATTTTTTTTTTTTGCCACTCAGGATGAAGTGTAGTGGTGCAATCTTGGCTCACTGCAGCCTCAATCTCCCAGGCTCAAGCGATCTTCCTGCCTGAGCCTCCAGAGTAGCTGGGACTATAGGTGCCTGCCACCATGCCTGACTGATTTTTTATTTTTTTGTAGAGATGGGGTTTCACCATGTTGCTCAGGGTGGTCTTGAACTCCTGGACTCAAGTGATCCACTCCCTTCAGCCTACCCAGGTGCTGGGATTACAGGTATGAGCCACTTCTACTTTTAACCTACGTATATCATGATGTTTGAGGTGAGTTTCCTATATATAGAATATACTTGAGTAGTTTTGTTTTTCCTTTCTAACAATCTCATTCTTTTAATTGGTTTGTTTAGACCATTCACAATTAATGTTAGTGTTGATATGTTTGAACTTAGGCTTACCATTTTATAATTTGTTTTAAATTTGTTCTCCAGGTCTTTTGTTCCTTTGTCTCACCTTTCCTTCTTCTTTTGGGTTATTCAAATATCTTTAGTAATCCATTTTAATTGTGACTTTTGTTTTTGAAGATAGTGGTGTTGGTTTTTTTGAAATCTTGTCATAGGAAATATTGTTTGTTGATGTTTAAAGAGTTTCCACTCCTTGTTATTGATTTAGTGATAATAATAACAATAGCAGCAGCTATGGTATAATGGGCACCTGATTTCATCTTATCATGTCATTGAATTTTTTGTTATTATCTTTAATGGTTGCAGAATATTCCATCATTTGGATATGATATTTTATCTAACCTCTTCTTTGATATTGGACATAAATTTCATTTTAGGGTTCCACTCTAATAAATCATGTTACAATGAACATCTTTGTGTTTTGGTTTTTCCTCAGAATATTCTTAGGCTTGGAATAAGTGCCCTTTCCATACCTAATCTATAATCTTTATAACAATGCTGCCAGGTTAAGATTTTTTAAAATTTTATAGCTAAATCAAACTGAGATTTAAAGGGCTTAAATATCTCGCTCAAGGTCACCTTAATGATAATGGGAGGAATCAGAGGCCAACACTCATCTGGCACCAAAGCCTGTGCTCTTTCCATAGTACCTTTCACAGATTTGGCACATATGACTTCAATGCACAGAACTTCACTAATGGTCATAGCTCAGTCTATGAAATTACCTGACTGTTAAAATGATCAGTGTAAAACACATTTTGTATCATGGCAGATAATCCATTTTTCCTGAGCCTCATGACTCATGTGAGAAAGGCCTTTTTTTCCCTGTGACCAGGAAACCCACAGGTCACAACATGTGAGCAAGATTCCCTGATGATCTGTCTCCAGCCTTAGGGAATACCACACTACTAGTTTGGATCTACTACCGATAGTTTAGTTATCTTTATTTGATAATGCTTCTTTTCTTTTGCTTCAGATGGTGTATCCCAGTGTTTCTTGGGCTTCATTGTTAAATTGGGATTGTATATTGATACAGTGGTCTATTGTTTCAGTTTTTATTGGATCATAAAGCTCCATAAAGAATAGATGGTGTATATTTGTTTCTGATGCTGTTAAGTCCTTGGACTCTGCCAGTGGATGTTTTTATAGTGTCTGCTGTATTTATTATGTGCGTTATTCTTGTGTTGCCACAAGAATCCTGTGTTACCATTTATTGTAAATCAGATTCTTGCTGTTTGTGCTGGGTGTTCAGGATCCAAGAGGGATCACTGAGATGCTCCAACTACACACCCTATAAATTCTGCATTCTCCAGGAACTTTGAGTTATGTCGTAGAGATGGTCTATTAAGCCACTTAGATACCAGGCATCAATTTTATTTTGCTAACGATAATCAAAAGATGGTTCATTTATCATGAGACGTATATTTGGATGCGATCATCTGAATGTGTTCTGCCCTATTAAAGCAATGTTTTAAATGTTTACAAGAAGAAAGGAAACTAGCGTTTGTTGAGTATGTACTGATAGAATTACTTTACATGTACTATCTTCCATAATCCTCTCCTTGAGTTTGAAAGGCAGGTACTTTTAACATATTATTTCACAGATTTTGAAATTCATACTCAAAGACATTAATTCATGCAAGCCCATATAGGTACTGATATGCAGTTTAAACTATATGACTCCAAATCCTGTAAGCACTTCAAGCAGAATGTTTGCCCCACCATTTTTTCCCCATGCCAGCTGTCATCGATCATCTATTTCCAGTGAACTTCTGCCTTTTCCAATTATTTTAGTGACTGACTATAGTTTTGATTCTATTCCATAATAATAATTAACAAAGATAAAATAGTGTAATGATGAATAGCACAGACTTTGGAACCAGACTATCTGTGTTCAAACTCCAGCTCTGTTATTTATTGGCTCTGCAACTTTGGGCAAATCATGTAACTTCTATGTGTTTCAGTTTCCTCATTTGATTTGTGGGGGATAATAACAGTACTTAGAGGGTTGCTATGAGGACTACATGAGTTATTATTTGTAAAGATCTTCGAATAGTGCTTGCTACATTGAGAGTCCTATACATAAATGTTTTTCAAATAAGTAACATTTATTTCTAATTTATTGTGTAGCAGATGCTTCACTAAACATTGTAAAGATGATGCAAATATAAAGGTGCTTCTATTATCACCTCCATTTTATGAAGGAGGACACAAAGGCTTAGGAAGGGTAACAACTAGTCCAAGATCATACTGGTGGAAAGCTCACTGTGTAAAACTTAGAAAACTAAAATAAATATGAGATAGCAGAATAAAGCTCACTCACAGTTCTACTACATAGAGATTATTATTGCTAACATTTGGATTATTTCCCTCATTTCATGCACATTAACATAGATTACTGAAATCATATTGAAGGTATCATTGTCTATCTTCACTTTCTTCCATAACATTATTTTTAAAATTTTTATCATGTCATTGAATTTTTTGTTATTAACTTTAATGGTTGCAGAATATTCCATCATTTGGATTTGATGTTTTGTCTAACCCCTTCTTTGATATTGGACATAAATTTCATTTCAGGGTTGTGCACTAATCATGTTACAATGGACATCTTTGTCTGCATTTTGGATTTTTCCTCAGAATATTTTTAGGCTTAGAATACTGTGCCAAATAATCAACATGTTTAAGTCTCTAATAAACAAATAGGCTAAAATTTTCAAAGGAGCCTAAAAAAAATTATAAGGAAAAAAATGTAAAAAGAAACGAATCAGGTTCCCAAGATGTAGGGTTTTTTAAAAATTAGATTTTTCCTTTTAAGATAATTGTAGATTTACAGGTATTGGTAAGAAATAATACAGAGATCCTGTATACCCTTTGTTCCATTTTGCTCCATGGTGACATCTTGTAAAACTGTAGTACATTATGACAATCAGCACAGCTCATTGATACAGTCAAGATACAGAGCATTTCTTCTTCTTCTTCTTTTTCTTATTCTTCTGCTTTTTTATTTTTTATTTTTTATTTTTTTATTCTCTCTCATCCAAGCTGGAGTGCAGTGGTGCCATCTCGGCTCACTGCAACCCCTGCCTCCCAGGTTCAAGCAATTCTTGTGCCCCAGCCACCTGAGTAGCTGGGATTACAGGCACCCACCACCACGCCCAGCTCACTTGTATTTTCAGTAGAGATGGGGTTTCGCCATGTTGGCCAGGCTGGTCTTGAACTCCTTGACCTCAGGTGATCTGCCCGCCTCGGCCTCCCAAAGTGCTGGAATTACAGGTGTGAGCTACTGCACCCGGCCAAGATACAGAGCATTACCGTCACCTCAAGGGTCCTTCGTGTTGCCCTTTTATAGCCACGTATACCTCCCTCTAACCCCCATCCCTGACCCTTGGCAATCACGAATCCATTCTCTATTTTTATAGTTTTGTCATTTCAAGAATGTGATATACATGAAATAATAAAATATGCAATTATTTAGAATTGGCTTTTTTCACTTAACATTGTTCCTGGAGATTTGTCCAAGTCTTGTGTGTATCAGTAGCCTGTCTTTGCTGAGTTGCCTTCCACGGTGTGGATGTACCACCATTTGTCTAACCATTCACCCATTGAAGGACATTTGGGTTGCTCCTGGTTTCTGGCTATTAAGAATAAAGGTGCTATAAACATTTTTGTACTGGTTTTGCGTCACTATGACCTTGGCTCTCCTTTTCGTGCAGACCTGTAAGCCTTGGGTTGGCAACTTCTCAGTTCAGTCCACAGTGCCCACTTCTCTGGAGCTCTATGGAATACACTAACTTTCAGCCCCTCCAAGCTCTGGATCCTGTAGACATTGCTCACCCCTTTCTCAGGGCCCACCCTGCATGCACTGCACACACTGTGTTGGAGGCAAACAGCAGCCAGCCAACCTGCCTGCAAGTGGCTCGCTCATGGCTCTCCACCTCTGCCTGCCACCCCATCTTCTCCACCTGCTCCCACATGGCAGGCTGTCGTCACAGGCAGCCTGTGCTTAGCTCTCAAGTTGCACGCCCCTAATGCCTGGCTGGTTTCTCAGGCAGGAGGAGAGCTGTTTCCTGCCACCAGCATCCACCACCTTGTTCTCTTTCAGCATCCTCTGTAGGTCTTTTCTCTCCTTCCAGACTCACTTCTTTTTGGCACCTCCTTCAACTCAGGGACTTGGGTTTTCTCTACACAGCGGGGAGCATTCTGCACGTATATGGGATTGCAGTGCTACACCCAGATCTTGTCAGGTTTGTCTCCTTCCCACTAGCCGGCAACTCGTTAAGGCTAAAATTCATTAATCTTCATACCCTACAAAGAACCAGTAAAGTGCCATTACATAGCATACCAATATTGAATTAAATGAATTAAATGAACGATTTAATAAATGACGAATTTCTTGAAAGCATCGAGGAAATGTCCTGATAACACAGATTCCGGCTACATCCCAGGGTTCCACCCTTCTGCTGGAAACTTGGCCCATAAGCCTTGCAGTCCTCCTTGGCTGCTCATTTTCCAACCGTGGCTTTACACCTGTTTCATTTTACAATATTTATTGGGAAAGCATTTTAGCTGCTTATTATAGTCAGATATCATCCGTGACAAGCCATTTTCCTTGAATTAGCCCAGTGAGAAATATTTCTAAAGGCGTTAAATGAAATCATCCAGACGCTTCCCATGGCCAGCTGGATGCAGCAGCCACGTTCAGCTCCCCCGGCTTGAATACAGAGTGGTTTATGTTTTCAGTCGGCTCCAAGCCGCAAAGCTGCTGCTAATTCTCCCACTAATAAATGGGGCTTTAACAAATTCTACCAAGTAAAAGTAACAGGAGCATTTACAACTATGTTTTCAGTAAATTAGATGAGATAATGTAGTGCCTGGTGCATAGTAAGCGCCCAGTAAATGGTAACTGTTGTGATGCTGGACACTACACCAATAATGGTTATGGAAAAATAACATCAAAGATGAAGCCTGTAGGGAAAAAATTTTTAAAGGTTGGTAGAAAATAAGGTCATATAAATAATTGCTTGAAGGGTTAGGAATAAGGAAAATAGGCCAGGCCTGGTGGCTCACACCTGTAATCCCAGCACTATGGGAGGCCGAGGTGGGTGGATGGCTTGAGCTCAGGAGTTTGAGACCAACCTGGGCAATATGAAACCCCATCTCTACAAAACAGAAAAATTAGCTGGCTGTGGTGGCATGTGCCTGAAATCCCAGCTACATGGGAGGCTGAGGCACGAGAATTGCTTGAACCTGGGAGGTGGAAGTTGCAGTGAGCCGAGATTGTGCTACTGCACTCCAGCCTGGGTTACAGAGGGAACTCTGTCTCAATAAAAAAAAAAAAAAAAAAAAGGAGTAAGGAAAATAATGCTGAAGAAAGAAAATCATTTTAATTAAAAATTAAAAGGATGAAAATAGAGGAGTTAGGAGAATCGATAGAAAGTGAAATAGGCAATGTGCACTTCATAACGTGTTTAAAAATGTAAGTTACGTGCTTCTGCATTTGTCCTGGAAGATCGCACGCACTTAATCAAATCACACTGTCTCACACCGGGTTTCCAAAAACTGACATACACCCAAGCAACATTTCCGACAACATGGTAAGTAGAAAATTGTGATTATTTCCTTACATAATTATTTCAGAGAATTTTGAGTAAATACAGACATTCCCACTGAAACTTGAAGTTATAAAACATGTACTACACAGCTCTGAGGTTCTATCTTGGCTCTGAAATACCACCTGTGATGTTACCAAGATGCCTAAACTGGTGGGATGTGTAGAGAAACTCTTATTAACTCCAGGATCAGGACCCTTTCCCCCAAATATCTTTTCTTAGCTTCTTGATGCCATATTTCTTTGCTTTTGTTATTAAATATGAAAACGTTTATCTTGGCCAGCCTTAAACTAAATGATCAATCTCGGTTTTAGTAATGCCTGTTCAAAGTACTGCTACATTAATATTAGTTTTGGATGTGCCAGTCTTTTGTCACTTGAGTTGATAAATCTGGAAATAGAATTTTAAAGCACAATGCCTCTTGACGATTATCTTTTGTTCCAGGGTGAATAGAACACTGATTCTTACATAGCCTGTGAGCAAGAACAGGGTGATTTTGGTGGAAATAAAATGCAACATGAGTTTTCCCAGCCAGCCACGCGAGGTCCTCAGCTGAGGGACAGCAAGATTGAAGGACGATCGAAATGAAAGAGAAGGTTAACTACGGCACAGAATTTCCAATGGGGACTGTGTTAGAGGTGGTAGCCATGAGACAGGGCCAGCTGACACCCGTGGGGACGCACTGCAGCAGCTGGATGAATGAGGGCTATGAGCGACAATGAGTTTGGAGCCGATTTTGCCATAGGTCAGAGAGAACAGCTGGCAGGATGTCATCTCCCCATCTCCAACCAGCAAATAGGTGGCAATCTTTTACTCTAGCAAAGAGCTAGAAACAAGTATTTCTGCATTAGTAACAAACCGCGGAGGTAGTTTAAGGGATTTTTTCAATACATAGATCTTGAGGGAGGCAGTTATAATAAAGCAGGATAATTAGCAAACTTTCCTAGGTAATATATTCATAGGACAAGGAAAATCCTAATTTCCCCCTTGAATTTATTGGCTGGCTAGAGCCAATTATATTTACATTTTAAACTCACAGAAAAATATCAGTAACTACTTTAAAAAAAAAAAAAAAAAACTAGGGATACAAATAATGACAGCAAAAATCCATTTTTTTAGAAGTTGGCAAAAAACAGTATTTTATGAAAATAAAAGACATAGTTTATCCCAGTGGTTTAAAATTAACACAAACATCTTTTAGACACTTATCCTATCATAGCAACATATAATTTAAAACAACTTCCTTCAGATTTAGAAGCAGTGCTTAAACAGAACTGCTAATTGACACTTAGTGAGAAACAATTTATGGTGTATTTCATTTTTCATTGCTATAAAACTGGTTTAAAATAATGAGGCTCATGAAGGATATGACCCAGACCATAAAATGTACTTATTAGAGTTGTTTGATAAATCACGAAGGGGAGATTCTCACCTCTTAATAAGTGTAAGGCACTGTGATGTGACAGCCAGACACAGAGAGGGTGTGGCAGGTGTCCTGGTAGCACGTGGGCCCTCTCTCTCTCTCCAGGTGTTGGAGAACGGTGCGTCTCTGAATGCCCAGCCACCCTCACTTCCCCTGATCTTTAATATGCAATCTAGTGTCCAGACACAGTGAAGCTGGATGCCAGGGTAGGAAAACAACCTAACCAGGGATCCCATCTGGGTTCTGTCAGACCCTGAAGATAGGACCAGCATCCCCAGGCTTACAGCTTCCTGTAATCTAGCTAGAAATGTTCCTCCCAGGGCCATCCCTGTACAGGAGCCTCATTCACACATTCATATGCTCATTCGTCTTTTTGCTTGTTCATTCCCCAAATGTGCCTTGAGTATCTACTTGAACACAGCAGACATGGTCTCCACCCCTCTGGAGCTTGCAAGGGAGAACGGGGAAGGTGTTAAATGCATTGAGGGGGACTACGGAGCACATGGGAACTCTATACAATGGGGACATGGCAGAGAGGAAGACTCCAATGATGAGGGATCCACGAAGGATGGGGAGGCAGGGAATGGGGCACCTGAATCCCCTAAGGGAGTTGTAAACCCAACTAGATTGTTTTACTGACCACAGGCGCTGCTATTCACAAGGTTATGAGCCAAGAAAGTACCAGCCATTGCAACCTCAAGGAGCTATGGATGTGCTGAGAGCTCAGTAAATGAGCAGGGACTCAGGGACAGGTCAAACAGGCTGCAGAGGTGGGACCTTTGAGATCAGAGTCAACTGACTAAGAATAAAGCAGGCCTGTCTCTTGGATGGGGTAACTGGGCAGCCACCCTAGGCTTGTAAAATTTCTGTCTTTAACAATATCCCAAGGGTGCAATAGAAGATGTCAATAGTATGGCCTCCTTTCAAGTGTGTTTCCCAGAGCAGCCCTAGCATTAGCTGAGTTGCCTGGGAGCCCCATGCCTTTCTGTCCGTGGCCCTGACTATAGTGCTATACAGTGGGTGCTATCATGGATGGGTTTTGCTCATTTCCTGAACAAAAACAAGATAACTAGTTGCACCTCAGCAGCCTTGGTTCAGGGAGCATTTAAGACCTGCCACAACACTGGAAGTTCCAGCAAATGTCCAGAGAAGCAGGCAAGGGAGATACATCTGAGGACCCCTTCCCTTGTCATTATCATATTACATAAGCCATGCCCTTTTCTGTCATAGACACCCCTTCCTAGAAAGAAACTATAGAAGACAGATGAATATGAGAGATTAGGCGTTTTGCCTGAAAAGGAATATCATCCTTAGAGGATGGTTCACATTAAGGGATTGTACTGAGATTATGGAATGGAGTAAATTTTTTTCCTCACTAGCTGGTGAATGAGTCCCCTCATAATCCACTAAAAAACCATGCTTCTTTGAATGTAGTTAAGTAATTTATGACCCCACAATTTGCATAATCGAATATTATATATCTATTTAAAATAATGATTCAGGTCTATATTTGATAACTTAGAAAGCTGTCCATGATACATTAGAGTGAAAAAGCAAGTCACAGAACTTTAAGTATACTTTAATTCTGTTTATGTAAAACTGTGTGAGTGTACTCAAGCATAAAACGAAGTCTGAAAAGGTGTTCACCAAAATATTAACATGGATTATCTCTGGATGATAATATCAGATGACTTCTTTTTCACTTTCTTCATACTTTTCTGGATTGCCTTAATATGCTTCTACAGTGAGAATGCTTTGTTTTTATAGGAGCTAGGTTAATTTTAAAAAAACTTATTAGTAACTTTTGAAAGTGGAATTCTTATTTACTTAATTCCTTGCAGATTATTCTTTTTCTTGGATAGGAAGCCAAAATACTCTTCAGAGATGCATTGCCTAGTTGAGCAACTTCACCATAGCAGTTTCTGTCTGTTGCTGAGAGGCTACCTGGTAACTTCCTACAGCCAACCATCCTATGTGAACTGTAACTTCCCCTTAAGAAAAAAATATCTATCTTTGACATTATTGTGGCAGATCCTCCAGAGAGTCTGAAGACACGGGCTCTTCCTATATCCTTGTAACTGAATTTCTAGGGAAAAAATAATTGATGAAAATTGTTAATATCACTTTACTTTTTTAAAGTACAAAATAAAGGCTAAGTCGTCAAAAGAAGAGGTGAGAATTTGAAGAACACTGCTCTTTGGGGAAGGAAGGACACTAGGTTGGGTTGAATTTGCTTCCTAGCCCATTCATGTTTATTATCAGGAATTTGGAAGTCAGCGTCAGAGCATAACCTTTCCAATATTGCATACCAAGCCGTCAGCACTGGCGTTTCAGAGAGCCTTCCAGGAGCTGGCGGTGAAGCACAGTGACCTAATCCAAATCAGAGTGGAATGAAGTCTTGAAAGCACCATCCTTCCCTCTCTCGGCTTGGGTAGCAGAAAGCACATTTACTCAGTGACAAGGAAACATTGTGTGCTGTGTCCACCGTGTCATGGATATCCTGGTCTAAAGTGACAGGATATTGGAAGGAAATTGTTTTTTAATCTAAAATGTGTTTAGAGTTTCTAAACTTAGTTTAGTATTTTATGATTGGATTTTCTAGAAGAGACACAGGTAGATTTGAGCCCTGACAATACGCTGGGCACTTGGAGAGCTATCTAAGAACAAATGCCTGCCCCGGCAGTTCAGACACAGGTCCTGGCTCACCCTCCAGCCCCAAACCCTTCCGCTCTCCTCTTTGCTGGCTTGTCTCCGGCTGCACCAGGCTCCAGCCACAACAGGATTTTTGCTGTTTCTCAAATACAACAAATATGATCTGATGAAAGGCATTTGCTGTTTCCTTTCCTCTGCCTGGATCTTCTCAGCTCAAACATCACCTAGCAGAGTCTCCTTCCCTATAAAGATAGCACCCTACTCTCTATGCAGTCACTCCTACACGAGCGTGCCCCTGCTTTATTTTATACATAGCACTTATTCCTCCCTAATCTATTGTGCATTTGCTTATTTGTCTACCCCCACCAGAATGCCAGCTTCATGAAAAGAACTATTGTATGTTTTGTTCACTACAGCGTCCCTAGCACCTAGAGCAGTGCCTGACACATGGTAGATATCCAGTAGGGTTTTGTTGAAATGAATGAATAAATGAATGATTGAATTCACTTTACCCAATGCACATGTTCCCAAGTAATTGTATATAAGTTAATTATGAGTGGAAACATTTTAAATGCACTAGGAAAAAGTTGTTCAAATGAATCCTATCTTTAACCAATTCTATAAAAGGAATTATAATTCCCAGCTTGCCTTTTGCTTTGATCTGAGTTTTGGAGTTAGATTTTCGTGACAGCCAGATCCACCTGTATGTGGCTCTGTGCATGATGGAGAACATTCCAAGAGTCATCTAGACTCATCTGGGCTTTCTGTATAAATGGTATTGTGATTAGAGTTCTCACTACTTCTGGATCTGTCTATTGGCCCCTCATGAAGACCAGTAGAACTGAAGGACATGATGGAAAGGAGGAATGATATTAAAATATTAACAGCCAGTATAACCCCCATCTCCTGCTATGGCAGGGCTTAACCCTTTAGTTGGTGGATCTTGGGTAGGTCTAGGGGCTTCAAGGCAGCTGGGGCAGCAGCATGACACGTGCTGCTGCCTTGAGGCTGACCATCAGCTCCAGGGAGTGGAGCTTGCAGATTGCTCAGGCCATATGCAGGTGGATTTCCCTGGTAAGTGCCAAAGTCATGGATCTACCACTCGGCTATGAGGCTCTCCTGGCCTGGGCTGGGAGCACCTGGCACAGTGCCTACACTTGGTGGGTGCTTAATTAACGTTTGATCATTGCATTCATTATCTGAGAGAACTTGGTGAGAAAATCTAACTTGAAAGTGCTTTTTCATCTGCAGAGGTGCTTTTATCACTGGCATAGTGAGGGTTTTCTCATAATAGCAGCATGCTAGGTCCAGTGCTTTATTTAAGTCACCAGGAGAGGGTAACAATAAAGTCTGCATGGGCCAGATCCAGGTTTTGTGGAGCCTGAACTGCTTACAATTTGGGTGGTCCTCTTTGAGAGAATGAATACAAAATTAGTCAGAGAGTCTAGAAAGAGGCCTGGGTACATAAGAAACCTGGAAGCCTGAGCTTCAGTGGTTTGACAGTGAATCTACTTCCAGGTCTGGGTGTGCTGACAGCCTTGGGATTTGCCTTTATCAGGCAACTTCTGGGGTGGGCTTGCTGAGGTCCTGTTTGCTGGAGGAGGCAGTACGCCCTGAGAACTATCTTGTCCTAAGGAATGGTTGAGGCTACTAATAACAATGCCTCAGTCATCATAGGATCAAGTCTGAGAAGAGCGCGAGGTCTTCTCAGAGCTGCTTTCTCTCAAGCTCTGTAAGATACAGCAGCCCAGAGACAAAAGCATAGAAGACATGAGCGGCATCTTCTTGCCTCTATTTTGAAGTGGGCTGCAATGCCGGAGCATGCTGGTGTCACACAAAGGTGGGGTGGGGACAGCTTGATGCTGGCTGCAGAGACCACCATCTGGGTATCTTCCTGCCCTCCCAGGCAGCAGTGAAGGTTAGGAGACTTTAGTATAAAAGCCAAAATTGACAAGTGAGATCTAATTAAACTAAAGAGCTTCTGCACAGCAAAATAAACTACCATCAAAGTGAACAGACAACCTACAGAGTGGGAGAAAATTTTTGCAATCTATCCATCTGACGAAGGTCTAATATCCAGAATCTATAAGGAACTTAAATATACAAAAATAAAACAATCCCATTAAAAACTGAGCAATTGACATAAACAGATACTTCTCAAAAGAAGACATTCATGCGGCCAACAAACATGAAAAAAAGCTCATTATCACTGGTCATTAGAGAAATGCAAATCAAAACCATGATGAGATACCATCTCATGCCAGCCATAATGGTGCTTATTAAAAAGCCGAGAAATAACAGATGCTGGTGAGGTTGCAGAGGAACAGGAAGGCTTTTACGCTGTTGGTAGGAATGTAAATTCATTCAACGTTGTGGAAGACAGTGTGGTGATTCCTCAAGGATCTAGAACCAGAAATATCATTTGACCTGGCAGTCCCATAACTGGGTATATACCCAAAGGAATATAACTCATTCTCTTATAAAAATACATGCACACGTATGTTCACTGAAGTACTATTCACAATAGCAAAGACATGGAGTCAACCCAAATGCCCATCAATGATAGATTGGATAAAGAAAATTTGGTACATATACACCATGGAATACTATGCAGCCACAAACAGGAATGGGATCATGTCCTTTGTAGAGACATGGATGGAGCTGGTAGCCATTATCCTCAGCAAACTAATGCAGGAACAGAAAATCAAACACCATATGTTCTCACTTATAAGTGGGAGCTGAACAATGAGAACACATGGACACGGGAGGGGAACAACACACACACTGGGGCCTGTGGGGTGGAGGCTGCAGGGAGGGAGAGCATCAGAAAAAATAGCTAATGCATGCAGGGCTTAATACCTAGGTGATGGGTTGATAGGTGCAGCAAACCACCATGGCACACATTTACCTATGTAACAACCTGCACATCCTACACATGAAACTCAGAACTTTAAAGAATGATAGTTGTCCTTTGAGGGGCACATACGTGCTGGGGAACTTTATGTGCATTCTCTCTAATTCTTACAGGAACCCTGCGAGGTAAATATCATTAACCGTGTTTCCAGGTGTAATAGAATGTCAAATTTGCTCACAGAACGTGCAGACGTGCAAAGACAACGTAGACTCTATTTTCTCTAGCTGACTTGAACCTTCTTATGAGTCCACACCCTGCTGGGTAGCACAAAACTGACTCTTGCCAATTAACAGTGTCTCAATGTCTTCTGGGTTATAGCCTCTTTCCTATTTAAATAGTCAAGGTTTCCTAAGTTAAATTCCCTATCAGGGCTGTTTTCATTTGTCTTTTAATTAGTCTCTTTTGGATGACTCATTCTCCCTTGATGATCCCATTCTCTTGCAGCATTCCTTACTCCCTGCTTCTTGCCCACAGATGGTCCTGAGTGTTTGTAGGACTCACTGGAATTCCACAGGGTCAGGGATGGGATTTCTGGACTCTCACTGCTCTCTACCAGGGGAGGCTGGTCTGGTGTACACCAGGTCTGAGTGGCCAGGGGAGGAAAATGGACCCACTGGTCTTCGAGGGTGACAGGTGCCTGGAACTGCCAGGCTCTGGTCGGCTGTCCTGTAGTGAAGTCTGCACGAGGCAATGACTCAGCACCTTCCTGTCCTGTCTCTGTGCTGGGGCACATGGAAACTTGTGGATCCCCATATGTCATGTACCAGCCACGGGGATCCTCATGCCTTGGGCAGCGGGGGATCACACTGGCTTGCCACTCTCCCAGTCCCTCTCTTACCATGATCCCTGGGGCTGGAAGGGGTCACGCTTCCACTACCTCCATGTCCCCTGCAGATTCTCTCCAACTTGGCATGCATGACAACTCTGTGATACAGCTCAGTGGCCTTGTAACTTTTTTTCTGTCTGTGTCCTCAAAACCTTCTAAAAAGCTACAATCTTCTTTAAAGATGCTTTTTATCTAAATTATACTAGATGCCTTTTATCTAAATTAAATAGTTGCAAAGGATGTAATTATTGGTATCTTGCAAATATTGATATTTTAGGGTACAACTCTTATATCACTCTTTTAAACTTATCCAATAGAATCTAAATACCATAGTGATTTAATACCCATGGTTCAAAAAACACATGAACAAGCTCTTTTTTATCAGTTGGAAGTTACATAATGTTTCTCTCTTTCCTTGAAATTGTATTTCCATTTCATTTCTGCAGAACTTTATCCTAACATGATATATTTTTATGCTTGAAAGTCTTTTATGAATTACCCTATCATTCTTCTCAAAAAAATTTGTATATAAGTTGAACATTTTCAATTGTTTTTTTTTGTCACCACAGCACTGTCTTAGAAAATTTATTATGGATTAAGTTCTAATTAAAATTATTTTTGATACATAGTTGATCAAAGTTATACATATATAGGTACACACACATACATACTATGCATTTTATGGTTAATTATTTAAGCATAGGTTTTGCACCCTGGGACAATGCTTCTTGGTGAAATTGGAGGTGAGTGCCTTTCTCTGTAGAGTCAGGGAAGGGCACTAGTGTAGGGGGAGATAGGAAAGGGTCACAGACACACACTGCAGGTGGAAGAGGACATTGATTTCCTTATAATGATCTGGACCCAGAGGTGCCTCGGTAAGCAGGAAGTTTCTGGAAGTCTGAAGACCACTCTGCCCCAACCCTGGCTCCCCAGGTATTCATAAGGGAGTGGCCACACTAGTTCCACCCTTTCCTTCTCTGGGACAATAAACCTCACGTAAATGCACAGGCTTAGACAACAGCAAGTAAATACAAATAAGGATCAGTGCTTTATAAACGTCAATATATTACCTGTACCACAGAGGTAAGGAAATTAGGATGTGGAGATGTTAAAAGAGCTTGTCTACATATTAAGCCAGTTGGTGGCAAAGCAGAGATTTGAAATCAGATTGGAATCCTTCCTCTCTACAGCACTGTGATTTCAAAGTGAGCCCATGGATAGCTGCATCAGCATCAAGTCTCTTTTCAAAATGATTTAAAATTCCTGGGCGCCACCTTTAAAATTCCACACGCCTCCAGTGTGTCTGCAGGTGGGGCCTGAACATTTATTTCTTTAAGAGCTCCCCTAAATGATTCTGAAGCTGGGCCAGGGTTGAGGCACGAGAGCCTACATTTGTTCACGAGCACAGAGGACACCCTGCTCCCAGATGCAGCATTCAAGACCCAGGTGGGAGGAACTTGGCAGGAGATAGAAGCTGGAGGTCTCCAGAGGGGCACCTTCTTGGTTTTTTTTTTTTTTTTTTTTTTTGAGATGGAGTCTCGCTCTTTCACCCAGGCTGGAGGGCAGTGAGGCAATCTCGATTCATTGCAATCTCTGCCTCCCGGGTTCAAGCGATTCTTGTGCCTCAGCCTCTTGAGTAGCTGGGATTACAGGTGCACACCACCAAGCCCAGTTAATTTTCTGTATTTTTAGTAGAGATGGGGTTTCGCCATGTTGGCCAGGCAGGTCTCGAACTCCTGACCTCATGCGATCTGCCTGCCTTGGCCTCCCAAAGTGCTGGGACTACAGGCGTGAGCTACCGTGTCTGGGCTGTTGGTTGGTTTTGTTGTGACCATTTAGATGGCCTTGCTTTGAAGCCCAGGCTCCAAGACCTGGGAATCTTAGGTGCCAGGGGTATCAGGAGGGAGGAGGAAGCACACCTTCCTCTGGCAGCTTCTGCTCAGGGCTGCTTTTAAGGCGCCTGTTGTGGATTCCGGTGCTTTGCTTCTGATCTCTGGTGAAGATCTCTATGCTCCTGGAAAATCAGCCTGGAGCAAACTCAGGGTCTTGGGATACTGGTTGCCATCTATCTCCAATATCGTGGGGAACAGCCCATCGTGAACTGATCTCTTTGATAAACTCAGCTCAAGGACATCCTTAGTGCTTTGTCGGCAAGGCAGCCCTTTCCCCTGGGCCCTCTCTGAGCCCCTTCCATGTTGGATTTCCTCCACAGCTGTTATGACTTTGACAGTCTTGGGACTAATTCCCTATCTTGCAAGGCAGCTAAAAGGGAGGGAACACTCATTGCAGTCTGACAATCTGAGCTTTCTTCTGGGGCAGAATGACCTTAAGGAAAGTCGGGTGTCATCAACAATCACCAAATCCCAAACCCAGCTCTCCGCCTATACTCCGCTTAGAGCTGGGCTTGGGAGAACCGGGTTAATGCACACCTCTTTCTAGCAAGGAAAGATGAAAACATTTTTCCTATGCAGGAGGGCCAGAGGGTGAGTATTACAGTGGAGGGAAAGATGGTAGATCTATTTATCACTGTGTTGTCACTTGAAGGGAAAACAAGCTTTAGTCCCACTTGCCATGGGGCCCAGGTGGATGCCAATTGAGTTACTAAATTTCTATCTGAAAAATGGTGTCCAATACTAGAGCCTTCAGGGGACATCCTTAATGGGAAGCATTGGCAGAGCAATAAATATCGGGCCGCAGTTCTTGCCTGGGCATGCTGACTCCAACGCTGATGCTGCACACTTGTTTACTCATCTTTTTCTGGAGACAGTCCCCAGACTCGGGAATCTGAGGGATTGTCCCAACAATACTTTAAGCCTTCCATTAGGCCTCTGTGCCAAGCACTAATGAGGCCCAAGTCCTGCAGCAAAACTCCAGCCCCTCCTTCCTCATCAACTCAGTTTTACTCTTTCTGCCAACTCTGGCAATTGACTCATGAGAAATCCTGTTAGAGGATTTTTTTTTTCCCTCTTTAAAACCCACTCACTCCACACCTCATAAAGGTTACAGAAAGGTGCAGTAATGGTCTGGCAGACATGTACCTAGTGAGATAAATTTTCCATTGTGAAAGCATCTACTCCTCAATTTGGTTCTGATGTAGAAGGCACAAAATCCCTTACCTCACTTCCTGAAAGTTGCCAAGATGTGACATAGAAAGCGTATGAGGACCCCAGGGGATTTGGTACTGGTATCTCATTAGAGGCACTGACATTTATGATATATCAAAATTTTAGTGGGAGGTTTAAGGAAGATTCAAGATTTGGACAGTTAATGCTATGATTTCCTTAAAAGCATGAGGCACTGAGTAGCAATGGATATTTTTGATCATCCAAAAAAAATCCCCTTCTCTATGGAAACTTAAAATCTTAAGAAATAGTTTAATTTCAGCTCTTCTGTCTACAGGCAAGAGAGTAACCTCTGGCCGCAGAGAATAATCCCTGTCACTAACATCACGGAGAATTAAAGACACAGCTACTAACACCTTCTACCTCTCCAGGAGAATGGCTTTACCAAAGTCTTCCCGAATGCCCAATCAAAAGAATTTTCCCAATTTCTTTGTACCATTAGGCAGTTCTACATTTATTCAATCATTCAATCATTCAACAAACTACTGCTGTGTTGAATGAACAAAACAGGCAGGTTCTCTGGATTACAGCTGAGCAAGGGGGAATTAAGGATGAGTGGGGAGGTGAAGATCACGTAGTCCAGGGGCTTGAACCAGGACCCAGATGCTGCCAGTAGTGTAAGGAGAGGCACACAGAGTTGTGATCTGTTTTGAAAATGTAATGATAGAACTCACTGAAGAATAGGATACGAAAGGATGGACAACTGGTTTCCAACAGAAACAACCTGGGGGATCCAGGTGCATAAGATGAAGAAGAGCAGAACAGGCATACTTTTTTTCCTCCTGCAGTTCTGACCATTCTTTCCCTTTTCTTTGTGAGTTTCTTTCACTTTGTAAGTCCTTTAAACGTCGATGTTTTCAGGCAATTTATCCTTAGCCTTCTTCTCTCCCATGTGAGTTATTTCTTCCACATCCGTGGCTTCACTTACAAAGCAGATGACTCTCAAAGCCATGCAGACAGCTCAGCTCAGGCCTGTCCACTGAGTTCCACATCCATGTTGCCCACCAAACACTGGGTCTTTTCATGGGGATGTTTCTTAGGCATTTGAATTTGAACGTGTTAAAAATGGAACTCCCCTTCTCCCCCAGCCATCTTCCACTACTCACTATCTGTCTCTGCTAACTTGTCCTGCTCCTATGTTTCCTGGCTTTGGTCATTGGACCACCAGCCTGCAGGTCACCCAAATCAGCATCCTGGAAGGCATTTGAGATCCTCCTTGCCCTCTCACAGCATTCCTCTTCTCACTCTATGTTATTGACTCTCTAGCTTGTATATTTCTTGGCTCTGCCTTCTGCTCTTCATCTCCCCCTCCAGCTTCACAATTTCTGTCCTTGTCATTTCTCATCTAGGGACCACAATGTCTTCCAACTGTTCCCTCTGTCTCAGTCTTGATTCCTTTCAATCCATCCTCCATGCTGCTCCCAGAATGATCTTATTCTCCCCTCCAAAGCTGGTAGGTGGCTCACCACCTCCTTAGGAATAAAGCCCTTTGCACATTAGTTTAAAACTTCCAAAGCCCAACTCCTGCTAACAACCACAGTGTCATCTCATTTCACGCTTGATAGAAGTCATCCTTGCACCTTCCTTAATACCTATCTCATGACCTTTCTTGTGCAATGTGCCCTGGGGTTGAAAGGCCTTCTCCTCCTCTCCCTTATTCACTTGATTTGTACCCACCTTCAAATTCATTGAAATCCTTCCTTCTCTTGGAAACCTTCCCTGAGTCCTCCGGCTGACGTGGGCACCCTCTCTCTGTGTGTTCTTACCCCTTCATTAGGCATTCTGTACCCCAGGCTGTCACTGTTAATTGACTCCAGTAGGTGGCAAGTTCTGGAGAACAGGGTTTCTTTCTTATGTTCGTCTGTATACTTAGCACCAAGCACTGGATACACTGGTAACCATCAATACATTTAGCTCAATGAGTGAACAAACTGGTTTTTATGCATTTTGCAGAGAAGCTCTATGAGAAATATAGATCCTGCCAGGCACGGTGGCTGACACCTGTAATCCCAGCACTTTGGGAGGCTGAGATGGGTGGATCACCTGAGGTTGGGAGTTCGAGACCAGCCTGACCAACATGGAGAAACCCCATCTCTACTAAAAATACAAAATTAGCCAGGCATGGTGGTGCATGCCTGTAATCCCAGCTATTCAGGAGGCTGAGGCAGGAAAATTGCTTGAACATGAGAGGTAGAGGTTGCGTTGAGCTGAGATTGTGCCATTGCACTCTAGCCTGGGCAACGAGAGCAAAACTCTGTCTCAAAAAAAAAAAAAAAAAAAAAAAAATATATATATATATATATATATATATAGAGAGAGAGAGAGAGAGAGAGAGAGAGAGAGAGAGAGGGAGAGAGAGATCCATATATACAAACTATGTTTTCATCTTTTTTGTCTTGAAAAATATTATTTATTAATATCCCTTAGGCTGATTACAATAAACATACAGAAAGCCTTGACTGAGTCTCAGCTATGAAGAATAAGACGATAAAATTCACACACACTCGTTAACTAGTATCCTCTCTTAATCTTGAAATTGCATCCTATTAGACAAATGATTTATGTTTACCGTAGGAGTGTAAACAGCTCTCTAATTCATGAATATTAAGCAGCATCTGTATGTCATTTAAATAAGGGAATTACTATCCTGGGAAAGTTAGAAATGGGAAAAGTAAAAACAAAAATGAAAACAAGAAAAAAATTTGGAAGAGCTCAAAAGGTTTGTCTTACCATTGGCATAAATTATAACTCTCATGGAGCAGGAACACTGTCTGGTTCACTTGGCATTCCCAATGCCAAATGCATTGCTTAGCCCAGAATATATGAAGAAGGAAGGAAAGAGAAAAAATAGGAATAAAAGATGATGAAGACTGGATGACATGGGAGCAACAATGGGCACGTTTTAAAAATACACGTGCAGTTTGTTCTTACATGAGACATGCACAGAATTTTCAATGGAAGAGTGGTCACTCAACTTCATACTTAGCCTTTTTTTACCCACCTTTCTACTTCTGGGACAGGAAAAGCCTGAAACTATGCCTCTCAGACTTCTTAGCCAGCTGGCTTACTAGATTCTGCCAATGGGAGGTAGTGATGGGAGACTATCAGCTCCAGGCAGCAGTAGCAGCAATGGAAGCAGCATCAGTGGGCAGCAAGCGCCTCTCCTGGGTTCCTCCTCAGCAGCCAGGTGATTCCTACTGTGGCAGCCAGGAGAGTGCAGTGGACATGAGCCAGGACATCATGTCCCCCTTGCTCTTCTAAGCCCTTTCCACAGTTACTTATCTTTGAGCAATTTTGCAGTTTGGATTTTTGTGCTCCCCAATCCCTCCAACACCCCATGAACCATTTACCTGTATGAAATGCCCTCTGAAATATCTGGAATATTTTCCATTTTCTTGATTAGACACTGGCTGCTCCACAGACATCAACCACCAGACATTGACAAATGCGTAAATTAACATATCCATGTTTGGTTAAAGGTATACAAAGCCTCTTTCAACGGTAAAATGCATTTGAAACCAAATAATACATGAAATAAAGAAGCCAGTTGCTAGCAATGGGTATATTAAGTGTAATCTCTCTTTAATAGTGGGAGATTATTTGATTTTAAATCAGAAAAGGTAAAGAGATGTTAGTAGCCTCAGAGGCCTCTAGACCAGGTCATCTATCAGCCAGTTGTCTGCCTTTGGCAACCACCTCAACTCTTTCTGCCTTAGTTTCACTCTCTGTAAAATGAAAAGGGCCCAATTACAGCTCTCAGTAAGATTCTAAGACTGAAGTGTTGGGGATTTATACCTTTGAATAAAGTCTTCCTTGGACAGCTGGGAGGAAAATCCCGCAGATATAAGGAGACTCTGGGCTTGGCTAGAGCTCCCAGGTAGCCTGAACCTGATATGCATGTCTGTGGGCATCCTGTTAGCACATCAGAACGCCATTCCTTGCCAGAGGTTTGTCTTTGCTGTGCGCCCAGGAATCATTTCAAAAGCTGTGGATGCCAAGTCATTGCCGTGGCAGTGACCTCTCATGACCTTTCCCATTATACTCACAAATGCAATAAAGCAAGTTCATGCAAGGTGCGTATGATGAAATTAATAGCCCTATAACAAATACGAGGATTGTGCCAGGAATCTGTCACATTATTAAATACAAAAGAACATTTGTAGACATTGCAAGCCTGCTTTCTGCTGGTAAGTTTGCTCTGCTATATTATCATTGATTTATGTCTCTTAATGTGTTCCCCAGTCACCATATATATTTTGTTAATATTAATGTATTTATGCATCTTGAAATTGCCTAATTAATCCCTTGCTTTCCCAATGAGTTATGTAAGTTGGTGGATTTATATGATAAATATTATAATGAAGAAAACATAACAATGGAGCATAAAATACTAACTTAATTTACCATACCCATGGCAAAGAAGTTTAGACTATGATCTCCCCTCTGAAATTAACTAATATTTCTTATTGCTTTTCCTAATTAAAACTTATCTCTTTCCTATATCCTAAGGGTACCATTTTTATTCCTGAAAATATGTAGGAGCTACTATGTATCAAGTCACTGTGTTGGGGGTTTTGGAGAATATTAAACTAAGCAATAAACACACTCCCCTCCCTAGGTACTTAATTTTATTTATTTTTTAAATCTAGGACAATGTCTCTCCATTCAGCAACTATTGACATTTGGCATTTGCAGCCAGATAATTTTTTCTTTTCTTTCTTTCTTTTTTTTTTTTTTTTTTGAGATGGGGTCTTGCTCTGTCACCCAGGCTGGAGTACAGTAGCACCATCATGACTCACTGAAGCCTCGACCTCCTGGGCTCAAGCAATCCCCTCACCTCAGCCTCCTGAGTAGCTGGGACTACAGGGGTGCACCACCATGTCTGGCTAATTAAAAAAATTTTAGTAGAGATGGGGTGTTACTATGTTGTCCAGGTTGGCCAGATAATTCTTTGTTATGGGTGCAGGTTCTATGAATTGAAGGATGCTTAGTAACACCCCTGGCCTCTACTCACTATATAGCAATGCACCCCTTTCCAGTTGTGACAACCAAAAATGTCTCCAGACATTGCCAGATGTCCCACAGGGGGACAAAACGGCCACCACCACCTGCCGTTAAGAACCACTGCCCTGGTAGGAGATTTAGGCCTCCATTCAGGCCTCTAGATGGTTAGAGCTCTGCGAGGAGCTCCAGACTGAGCTCCTCACTGCTTTGGTCACCTCTGTCTACTCAGCACTTAGCACAGTGCCCGGCACATCATGGAGCCTAAATAATACTTGTCGAATGTTAGATGAATAAATACACATATCACAATGCAGAATAGGCCAATAGCGAGGTATAAATAGAACACTAGAAGAGTCCAGAAAAGGAATACACTGATACTGGAGGGATAGGGGCCCAGGAAGAAGAATTCCTGGAGGAGAGATTGTGGAAAAATGAGGTTGAGGAAGGCATCTTAAGCAGAAATGCTCTGAGAGTGGATGAGGATGAGCTGGGAGATCAGTCGACCTGGAGTGTAGGGTGGGCAGAAGATCGGTTGAAGATAGGGCAAAAAGAACTTGAACTCAGTTCATGGAAGGTCTGGACATGCAAGTTAAAACCACAGTGAAACGTCACCTCACTCCAGTAAGAATAGCTATCATCAAAAAGACAAAAGATAACAAGCATTGTCAAGGATGTGGAGTAAAGGGTACCCTTACACACTGTTGGTAGGAATATAAATTAGGACAACCATTATGGAAAATAATATAGGGTTCCTCAAAAAGAAAAAAAATGGAACTACCATATCATCCAGCAGTACAACTACTGGGTGTATATTCAAAGGAAATGAAGCCAGTATGTCAAAGTGATATCTGCACCCCTGTATTTATTGCAGCACTATTCACAATAGCCAAGATACGGAATCAACCTAAATGTCTATGTGTGAACACACATGTGAGATGATTAATGGGTATATTATTAATTGTGCTATAGTTTATAAGAGAAGAAGGTTGGAACCAACATAAATGTCCACCCTACGGAATTGGTTAGATACACAACCATAGCAAAGAATAAAGCGGCTGTTCATGTAAATATGGAATGACCACCAAGAGCTATTGTTGAATGAAAGAAGCAAAGTGCCAAACAGTGGCAAAACATGTTACCATTTTCATATCATTATGATAAAAAAATGAAGGATGAAATTTCAGAAAGTGTATTTATAGATGCCTAAAATATTTCTGGAGTGTACACAACTTGATGAAATTGGTTGCTATTGGGAAAGGAATTCAGTTGCTGGAGGTCTGGGGCAAAAGGAGAATTCTTATTATGTATATGCTTTTGAATTCTTTGAATTTAGAACTTGAAAATGTACTACCTATGCAAAGAAATTAAATTTAAAATATTAAAAGTGATTGTCCACAAATGATTTCAGTTCAATTCCTGATATGTTTCTAGGTATAACAACAACAAGAACCAACAACCTCAAGCAAACGTGTTATTTATAACCCAAGCTGCCTTCTAAGGGAAGTCATTGCCCATGGAGAGTGAGTCTCCTTGTTCTGCTGAGCATAGCAATTGTTTCTACACGTGAATTTGGGGGTAGGTGCAGAATTTCTCTGCATAAGAAAGAGATTCTTCCCAGGAGGCGGCGGTTGCTGTAAGCTGAGATCCCGCCATTGCACTCCAGCCTGGGAGACAAGAGCAAAACTCCGTCTAAAAAAAAAAAAAAAGAGGTTCTTAGGTTAATTTAAGGGAGAATAAGTGAGGAGGAAATTTGGGATGGGAGAGAGTAGAAGGAGATGTGATGAGAGTGAAAGGCTGGGTTTGCTACATGGGACAGAGATAGACTATAAAAAACTGAAGACCAGAGCAACCAGAATGAACTAGACAGAATTGTATATTGTTTTTCTTGGGTGCATAATGCGATGTTGCTTCGCTGTGATCCTCAAATCTTAATTATGGTACATGCAACAGTTCTGAACATCTTTCAAAGGGTTGTTGGGCAGACCAAATGCATCATTATACATAGGTGCTTTGAATAGTGCTTGATATATAGTAAGTACTCAATGTCTTAGTTATTAATAATAATTATTACTATTTGAACTTGTTTTGAAGGTGAGGATTTAGGAGAGTGGATACTTAGTTTGGGTCAATTCCAGAGTAGAGATCAATGGACAAGATGCAGAGTGAAAAACAAAATTACAGCAGAAGCTGGGAATTGGAGGTCAAAGATGATATAAGCATAAATATTTGAGGATCTGAGGAATTTTGAGGAGGGAGCTTAGGGCTTTGGGCTTTGATAAGAGGGCATGAATTCATCTTACCTAGATCTTAAGTGTCTGTGAAATCCCAGCTAACATCTGAGTTACAGAGCTAACAAGCACCCCAAGTTCCTATGGCTCTGATTACAAACGGACAGCAAAAATGTTCCCATATGCCCTGACTGAAACTCAGCACCTGCGTGATCCCGAAGTGGACACTGAGGAGGCTGTCAGGGAAGAATCTGATATTGAAATGAAGGTCATTGCTGCCCATCTAACATTTTATAGCTAGTTTTGTAATATGGTCTATCATAATGAAAACCAATAGCACACTTACAGACTGTCATTATCCAAATTGTATAGAGATTGTTACTATGGTTTTGTAGGTTACAACAGTGAATGTAGCTCCTGGAGGAGCCCACCCAGACATATCCTGCACTTCTGGGTGTCTGTTGGATATAGAAAGTAGAGGTCCGATTAGCCTCAAGGTCATTGCTGAGACCAGAGTTTGCTGGGATTTGATGCGGTTATTTACAATGTTGTCTTCTAGGAGGTAGTGCCTTTAGGGAATTACGTAACACCACCAGCAGCTGTTGTGTAGATTTAAACTGAAATTGGGTTATAAGAAAATGGTTTTGGGAGTCAAAACACTTGGTGTTTCTTCCTGTCTCAATTATCTGATTGTTGTCATTAGAGCCCCCAAATTATTTAACTTAACTTTGTTCCTACAGCAGGTTTTGTGTCGTGGGAGGAATTTTTTAAAGCAAGAGTAACTGATTATTCATATTTATTTCCCTAGGATATAATGTTACGTATGAGGGCAGCCTGAAATGATGATTTGGAATCAGAAAGCCTATGTTTGAGGGCTGGCTGTACCACTTAGCTGGCAAATTTGGGCTGTCCCATGAATCCCCACACACAGGATTTTCCTTTTTAAAGGTTTGCATTCTCTTTGTAAATGCTCATACCTCTGGGAAAGTGCCGTGCCTGAACCCTCCCACCTTCTCTATCTATCCATCTATGTTTATGTATCTATGTATCTACCTACCTACCTACCTACCTACCTATCATCTATCTCTAGCTAAGCAATCTATCCTTTACTGTTCATTAAATTCTTTTGTAAAAGCAATATCTGAGTAAGGAGGGCAACCAGAAGTGGTTGAGGCTGAACAGAACATTTCAGAGTCTTTCTGCCCTTGCCCTGGCTGGTGCTGATCTCCTGGTTTTCATACACAGGCTCTGGCCCTCCTTTCTAAACAAGGCATATCCTGGCAGCGGGAGAGCGTGGTAAGGAGATCTCAGTGGCATTGGCTGCTTACTTTAGAACTGAGCCTGTGCATTACAGACTGGGCAAGCTCATCTTGGATGGATCCCTGATCCATCCTGGAACACATCCACTATGGCAACCTCATTCCATTTCACGTTCCAGGCATTTGTCAGAATGAACTCATAGGCTCCAAGATGGATCAGTGCCTCTGCTGGAGCCGCGAAATCTGACAGTTGGCAGCCTCCTTGCAAAGAGGGTCTCAGCAAGTCTGCTTAAACTGGGTGATTAAGCTCTCGGTTGTTCCCTGCTTTGGGCTAGTTCGTGTGCACTGGGTGGCCTGCCTAGCAGATTCATGCATTTGTTAATTCCACATGTATTAAGCACCCTCTGTGAGCTAGGTATTCTGAGCCACTGAATATAGAAAGGTGCCCAAGACCTCCTTGATCATCCTCATTCAGATGCAGTAGCTCTGCACTCATCTAGAGGTGGGTCTGAAACCTTCGTAACTTTTCAGGGCTACCCAGCTTAATACCAACATTAGTTAATTTAAAGTCCATGGAGAATTTCTTAAAATCCACTGTCTTTATATCATACTGTGTGTTAAATTTAGCTAAGGCTGACAAAGCAGCACCAGCCACGAAGTGAGGATGGGGCAGAGACAGTCATTGTGCACTGCCTTTTGCCGTGCGGGGGCCAAATCCTTTACATTGATTGTCTCACTGGAACCTTTATAGAACTCCACCAAGCAGACAAAGTAACCCCCATGTAGATGAGGACATTGAGTCTCAACAGTTATTTGCCTAAGCTCCTGTGGCTCTGTGTAGTGAGGATGAGGCTATGATGTGTGGAATCTGGGATGGTCTGATTTTCAAAGCCTAAATTTGCTCCTCAAGCTGCTTTCAAGAGCTGCTTGGAAGCAAACCTTTGTCCTCTGTGTGCCCCTGGCACTGGGCTTAATGAATGAATGAGTGAATGGTGAACCACTGATGGATGGGTTGCATCTTTGTTCACAATTTTTTTTTTTGAGACGGAGTCTCATTCTGTTGCCCAGGATGGAGTGCAGTGGCACAATCTCGGCTCACTGCAACCTCCACCTCCCAGGTTCAAGTGATTACTCCCACCTCAGCCTCCTGAGTAGCTGGGATTACAGGCATGCACAACCATGCCTGGCTAAGTTTTGTATTTTTAGTAGAGATGGGGTTTCACCATGTTGGCCAGGATGGTCTCGATCTCTTGATCTCAAGTGATCCTTCTGCCTCGGCCTACGAGAGTGCTGGGATTATAGGCGTGAGCCACTGTGCCTGGCCCACAAATGTGTGTTTGATGAGTTCTTGACGCTGGCATCTGCACAAACGGGATGGATGGAGACTCAGTTTTTGGGGTCATATCAATGAAAAGCAGGGATCACATTTTCTGTTTCTTTGATATTCTATATTCTGTTGATGCTATCTCAATACCTGTTAATACTCTTGCTGCCTGAACTCCTACCACTATTAGAAAGAGCTCAGGTCTCCGAAAGATCACACCACATCGGGTGAGACCCAGTGGAGGTTTTGAGCATTTGCTCAACTAGTGGAGGAATACTTCAGACTTTCTTCCTTTATCTGCGTCATCTTTACTGTCTGACAGAATTGAGAGATTACAAGGTCATTTCTAACTGTTTCTGGGACTTACTGCTGCTTCCTTCTCCACAGCAATTTAAAATCTGTCTATTCACACACACACACACACACACACACACACACCCCCACACCTTGTCTACAAACAAAAGTTTGTTTGCTCTATGTAGAAAAATGCCACCAGAGGGCTAATTTGGCAGCTTTGTTGATTACCCATTGTAATGAGCCTTATTACATAATTAAAAGAATTTTTTTCTTAAGTGCATTTCGCTACTAATTAACATTTTACACATTCTGCAGTGGACACTTTAAGTTGAATCAGAGACATAATTATGTCATTTCTATGCAAAGAGCAGCTTATGAATTTTTAATTAATATTAAATCTGTTGATTAAAGGCTAATTCATAAGTAAACATATTACAGCTCACCACGGATTGCTCTCTAGAAGCTTGCCTTTGTAATTTCTGTGGTCCCTTGTCCCTTGCTAAGTGTCGAGGACTAAAGAAAAGCTGCCCACACAGATTCCAGGAACAAAAGTAATCCATGTCGAACTCTGTCTGAATTTTTAACTACCAGTGAGCTTTCTGTGTTCCAGTTGCTTTTAAAGTTGGAAGCACTTGGAGGGAGGGTTCAAGTAGGCAATGGAAAGCAAGTTGGCCTCACTTGCGCTTTATTTTCTTAAGCACCAAACTGGAGAATTGTACCCTTATGATGCACAAGCAGCTTTGCTTCCTGTGGCCACATCAGCCTGGGTGCACTGAGGAATTGGAGGTTCGTATTGTGTCTGGGGCAGCCTCTCCTAGGAAAATCACTGGAACCTCAGCCAGCCCTCGGAGGGGGAGGAGTAAGCTCCTAGGTGCTCCTGAAGGAAAGCTGTCTTCTCAGCTACGGATATGGTTTGGCTCTGTGTCCTCACCTGAACCTCATCTTGAATTGTAGCTCCCATAATTCCCACGTGTTGTGGGAGGGACCCAGTGGGAGATAATTGAATCACGGGGCCAGTTTCCCCCATATTGTTCTCATGGTAGTGAATGAGTCTCACAAGATCTGCGTTTTCTGAGGGGTTTCCCCTTCCACTTGGCTCTCATTCTCTCTCCTGCCACCCTGTGAAGAGGTGGCTTCTGCCATGATTGTGAGGCCTCCCCACCTACGTGGAACTGTGAGTCCATTAAACCTCTTTTTCTTTATAACTTACCCAGTCTTGGGTGTGTGTTTATCAGCAGTGTGAAAACGGACTAATACAGCTACTTTGGGGAGCATTTCCACTGCCCCTTCCTTTTGGGTCCACCTCATGCCGGGGGTTCTGGCTGCCAATGCCCTGGCCCTGGTCCTGGCTGCACTCACACAGGCTATGAATGTTGCACGTCTTACACGCTAGATGGCACAGAAATGGCCATCCTTCTCCTCAACAGTCAGCTGGCAAAACTTTTGAGGCCCTCCTTCCTTAGTCGCACCTTATTTGAGGCCACAAAACTGTTTTGCTTCATAATCCTGGTTTCTATTACACTTCTACCAGGCTGTCTGCCTTGGAGTTGGCATCCTTGTTTTAAGGCACTTGCTATTACTTGTAGATTGCTTCTCATTTCTCCTTCCTAAAGTTTACTTTAAGTAGCAAGTTTTTATTAGTTATTTCTGTGGAAGGCATAACAAAATCTTCAATGTAAATTCTATAAATTTCTACCTGACCATTTTACTCATTTACCATGGATTAGCTTTGATCTGTGCCTTGGCCTGGCAGTTCTTTCTGTAACCTGAGCTCCCTGTCCTATATCCACAGACTCACAGACTGTGTAAGAGCGTGTGTATGTGTGTGTGTGTGTGTGTTTTGCTTTCCTTGGTGGTAGGAGTCACTTCTGCTACTAGGAGGGTCCATGCTGAGAATGATTGTGTGGGACTGTGTTGCTTTCTACATCTCTGTTTAACAAATCCACCCTCCTCACACAATCTCATTGTTGACAACATTAGCACACAATATTATGTCATGTATTTGTATGTATTTAGTAAAGTTGTCCACATCTATCACCTCATTTGATCCTCATAATTCCCATGTAAGGGTAGAAAGTATTGTTATTCTGATTTTATCCAAAGGTAACTATGTCACAGAAAGGATAGTTGACTTGCCCATTGTCCTACAGCCGCTTACTTGTGAAGGCAGGAACAGACTCTTGTCCTTAACTGTTACTTCATTGTTGCTCTCAATCATATTATCCCAGAAACCCCTACCCTCAACCCCTCCATACCCGTATTCCCATCTGGTGCGAAGGAAATATGGAAAAGCTTAACCATAAGTCTTATGCTCTTGATCTCCCAATACTTCTCCAACTTAGTTGATCAATTTTTGGGATAAAGGCTTCTTATGACTGAAGTGCAAACATATCAGAACTAATACTGTACCATACCATACCATACCATACCATACCATACCATACCATACCATACCATACCATACCATATTCATATCATCAAAGTCATTTACCCAGAGTGATTGAGTTTAGTGGTTTCTTTCCCAAAAGCATATTTTTCTAGATGTGAAAAAATCACATTGGCCTGAGTCCTACAGATTTGAGGATCCAAGATAGCTCTTCATGGTGGAGACAGCTTGTAACTGATCACTGGGGGCCATGAGGTTCTAGCCTGGCATAAGCTGGTTACGGAGCTGACGACTTGATCTTGAAGGGACGTTGCTGGCAACGAAGGCTCTGCTTGAGACCCAGTGACAGATGTGGGGGGCCAGACATTCTTTTATGCTGCCCTAGTCATGTACTATGATTCTTCTTCATTCCTTTCCTTAACTTTCAGACAAAATGTATCTCTAGATCCTGAGTCTAAGGGCCAAAGCTTTGTCATTAAAACTAGAATCCCAGCTTCGGCCTGAGGAAATCAGGCCACTCTGGCCTTATGTCTAGGAAATGATGCTGTCCCTCAGCCCTGTCTGGATTTTGTGATGCTGATCAAGTTACTGCAGTAAGAGGTCTCTTCATTCAAAAACAATTCTTAGCCCTCTGATCTGCTGTCCTGCCAGCTGCCACATTAGAGGCTCCTATGCTGATCCTCACACCTGGACTTCTTGGTTTGAGGATGTCACTTCCCCATAGATCATGACTATTTACCCGTGCTACTTCCTTCTCTCCCCTCATTTCCTTTCAAGCCATGGACTGCCCAAGATGAGGACCTCAGAGTGGCTCAATCCAAACATTTCTATAAAATTCTAACAATTTCAACAGGGAAAGACATTGTTGAAAGTTTTTTCTTTCAACATATACAGAGATCAGATGTGGCCATATACTGTGCTATTAGTTTCCATTTGACTTTACAAAAAAATCTGGGTACACTGCTTTTTTAGACTCTTTCATAGCATCAAAGTTCTACAGGCATAGGGCCTGAAAATCACTATATGGTATACAATTGCTTATGCAGTGAATGAATGAATGAACCTGAAGTCTACAAATTTCAGCTCCTCAGGGCCCTAGTGACCCGCCCTCCCCTCCCTTACTCTTTCCTCTGTACTGGCACACTCAATGCTTCTCCAATGCACCCAACCTCTATCAGCCCAAGATCTTCCTATACACACTTAACCCCCTGGAAAAGAGCCTAATCCAGAGGTCCAGGATGGAGTTTCTTCAGCCATCTGCAACTTACCCTGACCAGAGCTGCCCTTGGCAATGGGGACGGAGTTTAGGCCTTGGCAAAAAGCCCAGCTATCAACACTCCAGCCCCAGCTTAGGCCCAGAAAGAACAGAGGAGAGTTGTTGTAGGGCCTCAGAAGACTCTTCAACCCAACCCTGTACTTTCTCTGAAAGACAGCATGGATAAGGAAGTAACCCAGAAATCTACAGAGGGAAGAGTCTTAAAGGTTTACCAGGTAAGATTGGAAGAAAACTCTAAGCTCTTCTAGAATAGAGCCCAGTGTTCCTCATAGACTTAGCATAGAACCAAACCTAGTGAGAATGATCTGGTGTTATTTTAATCCACTCTCTTACCTTTTGTCTCACTAGTCACTAGCCTCCAGCACTGACTTCACATTAATTCTTCTAAAACATTTTCCTCCTTGTCCACGATTCAACCTGCATTTATATTCAGGATCAATTGCAAAGCTCAGCAGAGCCCACCTTTCTTCTCACCTTTCATTGGATTACCTGGTCTTACCGGAGGCAATTCTGCAGCTCTGATTCACATCCCGGTGTGGGTCTGACCACTCAGACATCTGCAGCTAATCAGGTCACTGGTGATCTAGTAGAGAAGCGAATTAGTTAGGGAGGGCTGAGCTGCTGTAACAAGATCCAGCAAAAATGTGTGGGTTCAGGAACATAGAAATTTATTTATCTTTCACATCCAGGGAAATATTCCAAGTCAGTGGTTGACTCTCCTCATTATAGTCATGTGTTGCTCAGCACTGGGGAAATGCCTCCTTAGGTGACTTCTTTGTTGGAGAACATCATAGAGTGTACTTATAAAAACCTAGATGGTATAGCGTACTACATACCTAGGTTATCTGGTCTAGCACATTGCTTCTAGGCTACAAACCTGTATAGCATGTTACTATCCTGAATATTGTAGGCAACTGTAACACAATGGTAAGTATATATCTAAGCACATCTAAATATAGGAAAGGTACAGTGAAAACACTGTATTAAAAGATAAAAAATGGCACACCTGTAGAGGGCACTTACCGTGAATGGAGTTTGCAGGACTGGAAGTTGCTCTGAGTGAACCAGCGAGTGCATGATGAGTGACTCTGCAGGCCTAGGACATTACCCTATACTACTGTGGACTATAAACACTGTACACTTGGGCTACACTAAATTTATAAAGGTATATTTTTTCTCTAATAAGTTTATTTTAACTTTTTAACTTTATAATATTTTTAATTTTCAATACCTTTTTGGCCCTTTATAATACTTAGCTTAAAACAGACACATTGTACAACTGTATAACAATATTTTCACTCTTTGTATCTTTATCCTATAAGTTCTTTTCTATTTTAAAAATTTTGTTTCTGCTTTTTACTTTGTAAAATTTTGAAATTAAAAAACGAAGACACAAACACACACATTAACCTAGGCCTGTACAAGGCTAGGATCATCAATATCACTGTCTTCCACCTCTGCGTCTTGTCCAGTGGAGGGTCTTCAGGGCAATAATACATAGAACTGTCATTCCCTATGACAACAATGCCTTCTTCTGGAACACTTCCTGAAGGGCCTGCCTGAGACTGTTTTATAGTTAACTTATTTTTTTTTAATAAGTAGGAGTACACTCTAATGATAAAATGTATAGTAAACACATAAGCCAGCAACATAGTCATTTATTATCATTATCAAGTATTAGGTACTGTATGCAACCTACCAGGCAGTAGGTTTGTGTACACCAGCATCACCATAAACAAGTGAGTAAGGCATTGCACTATGACTTTACAATGGCTACATCACTAGGCAACAGGAATTTTTTTAGCTCCATTATATTCTTATGTGACTACTGTTGTATATGTGGTCTGTGTTGATCAACATGTTATTATGCAGTGTATGACTGCATTTAGGGTCCCAGGCTGATGACAGCTCTGCCATCATCAACACCTGACTTCCGAGGTCACTTTGCTCTTTGCCTTTCCCACCACAAAAAAGAAAGCATAGGAGAGGTATAGCCTGATATTGAGCCTCCACAGCTTAGAAGTTACCCACATCACTTCCACTCGCATTTTGTAGTCCATTAGTCACACCTCTAAAACTGCAAAGCAGGTTGGGAAATGCAGTCCAGTTACTCGCCCAGTCACATACAATGAGAGGAATTGGGTTTTGTAAACAGCTAGCAATCTCTGCCACAAGGAAGGAGAACACACACACATTGGAGACTGCAGATCACATGTTTGCAACATGAACCAAGGGAAGAGCAATTCTCAGTAGTGGCAAGCTGTGAAGGAGATCAATTTCCAAAGACTCTAGGTACATATTTCTCTCTTATTGTGGTATTGAGGGATAGAGTTAACAGAGGAGATTTGAGGTTTGGGCACAGGCATGCATGCATGTATGCATCCATCCGTCCATCCACGTATCCATTCTTACATTCAGTTAATTCTTTTGGAATGACATTAATGGAAACAGGCCAACAGTGTGTTGGGGCAGAAGTGCAAATGAGCTTGGCTGGAATGCAGGGCCCACGTTAGAGGTGTAAGTTGGAAAAGACACTTTCGAGGCTGATGGCATAGGGAGAAGAGACAGAAGATCAGGACCACGATAGAAATTAGTTTCCATGACAGAGAAGAGGAAACTTCTGTGTCATTGAGCTAGCCACTTAGTGTAGAATAATAGCAGGGAGAGATCAGAGAAATAGTAGAAAGAGATCAGAGGACAGGATGGAAGGCAATTGCCAAAAAAATTAGAGATAAGGTAATGAGTCCTGGATTAAGAATAGAACTATAAACATAAAAAGGAAAGAAAATGAGCTGGACATGGTAATCGATCTGACATGAGACATGAGAAAAACGAATTTCTGTGCCTGTCATATCTGATGCCATTGCCAGATGAAGAAACTGGGAGAAGAGGGTGGTGAAAAAGTGCTAAGTTTTCATATCCAAGTAAAGATATCCCATGGACAACTGGAATATAAAACTCAACAAAGAATGAGAAATTATGGCTAATAGTTAGAGGCTTGGGAGACATCTTCATATGAGCAATGTTGACATTTGTAGTGGGTAAATTAGGAATTGGTATAAAGATAGAAAAGAATAATTTGTCTTAGGATAGAATCTGCTGTGATATACAAAATCAGGGATATTTTTGTTTCTGTGGAGATATTACTACAATGGTTTTGCTCGGGGAATCCTGACCCCTGGAAAGCAGCAAGAAGCACATGCAGTGACATATTCCATTTTTATTGTCTCTTTTACACGTGGACACAAATGTCTTCTTAATTGAATGTCCTCATTTGTCTAAATTCTGGGAGAAAGGTTGGAGGGAGATAAAACCCAGGGAGGTGAAGTCATTTGCTTTTAGTTGCACGAGTTAATGGCTGTAGTAGTAATATAACTCGAGACCATATCCATTAGGACAGTATTCCCTGAGTCTGAGAATCGATAATCTATGGTTTCATTAAAGCAAAAGCATGCTGCTTCAAGAGAAAAGCGTGTCACTGTATTTCCTGGCATCATAAAAGTTATCTTAATATTGAAATTTTATCCCTATTGTTCAGAGAGTCATGCTTTGTATGTACTGTTGAGTGTTTGAATCCTGAAAGCTAGCCCCAAGGAACCCTTGATGCGGCTGGATTTGGCTATTTTAGTCTCCAGTCAGGCTTCCATTCATTTCATCTCTGAAATCTAATGATCTCATCTAATAAAATTATAAAAGAGTCTAAACTGCTCAGGACTTAATCAGCTTAGTCCAAGAGAATTAAATCAAAGCCCTAGGTGTGTACACTTCATCCCTCAGATGAAATCTCACCCTGGGAGACAATCTTATTATTTGGTTACTTATTATTTGGGAGGCTGAAAGATTGGGAGGAGAATGCATGAATTTAAAAAGATATGCCATTAACCTAACAGGATGGAGGCAGCTTTGTGGCTTTTGTAGTGAAGCATAGTGTAGAGGGTAGGGGTTTGGGCTGTAGACAGATCTCTCAGATTCATTTCACATGCTGCCACTTATTAGTGATGTGACATTGGGAATTACTGAGCCTTGGATTCACCGTCAATTGAAATGAATTGAGTTGAATTGAATTGAGATAATAGAACTAACCTTGTAAAGTTATTGTAAGGATTGATGGAGATTATACATATAAACACATGTATATATATTCCAGCAGTATGTTTTTAAAAATACATAAATACACATATGTGTGTGTGTGTGTATATATATATCTATATTTATCCTACAGTGTGTATGTGTATTCTAGCTGTGCCTGTCCTAGAAATACAGGTTGTCATTGTTATTATAATCACTAATTATTATACATATTAAATATTGTATAATCACTTGTGATTACATATATTAGAATATTGGATGTATTATAATCACTAATTATTACATATATTAATGTATTGTTTTTGATTAGTACACCATTAAGTATGTAATTATTACTTTAAAAAAACAGCAGTAGGCCCAAAGAATGGGGAAAAGGCTACAGAACACAGTGAGGAGATACATTTGTTCAGCCTGCATCATGACAGACTTCAGGAAGCGAGAGAGAGAAATGTAGGGTTCACACATTGCCTTCTTTGAAGAGGCTTAGTATGAAGAACACAGCTATGGTGATGGTTTCTAAAGAGTAAACTTCACTGAGTGTGGCCCTGAGAAAGCTTCTGGGGACAGTCCATTTCATGCCTTATTCCAAGTGTGGAATAGAACACATCTCTTTGAACTGAAGTAGGATGAACCCAACATCATGAAATCCCAGAGATTCTTTTGCTCACTGTGGTGTGGGGAAAGCTTGGTAGCATCAGCCTTAGGATGGGCAAGTTACTCTGATTCCTTTTTAACAAAAGCAAAGTTCTCAATGGAATTTTCTATGACTGTCAGATCTGTGAGCCATCAGAGAGACCTCCTCAAGAAGATATAAGTTCATTCATTCATTTGAGCACTGATGCTCCGCTCTGGGCCAGGCACTGGAAAGACAGAGATAAGAGGCATAGTCCTTCCAGGCTTTCAGGGGCCTGACAGTGTGGGGAGCTGCAGGACACACAAGGAATACTAGAAGAGAGGGAGCCTCAGCCATAACGAAGGCTCACAAGTGCACAGCTCACCGATCCTGGAAGGCTGGGGATAATGATGACTGGCATGCTGTTGTTTCCTAGAAGAATTCCCCTAAAATTCTAGATTCACCAGTCACAGCATAGCTTTTATGCCTCAGAATCCTACTGCAGGCTTTTGGCCCAGAAGCTATTTGAAACTTTTAACAGTGGATCCTGTTGTGACTAAGCGCTGCCAAAGTAACAACTGGTATTATGGGGATATTTATAAAAGTGCTTTGTCCTTTCCAAAGGGAGAACTGTTTAGCATTGAAAAAAGAAGTGGTAGCGCTACTAAGGACGATTTTCTGTGTATCTGCAAATCAAAGAAAGTTTTGATGATGTCTACTTGTACTCCTAAAATATACAGCTTCTGCGATTTAACTCTTCATTCCCAGTGCTATCTTAGTTCCAGTGGATAATAATGGCTCTGCAGGTCTGGACTGCTGTCTACATGAATGAAACCCTGAAGAGTTGTGCAGGGCACAACTAATCATGGCAGCTTTTCTTTGGGCAGCTTCAGATGACAAAGGAGAGACTTCTCTTTCCTCCCCTGTTATGGATTAGAATTGCTTATAAATATTGCAGAAACGAGAAGGCATTTGTATCTCTTTCCAGTTACGTGGACCTTCTTACTTTCTCTCGTCTCTTCATCTATGATCTGTATATGAAGAGCCAGGCCTCTTGGATTTGCATCTATGTTCTATATCTGGGACCTTGGACAAATTTTTCCACTTTTTCTGAGCTTTATCTGCAACATAAGATAATAATGGCTAGCACTTATTGAACTCTTACCATATGTCAGGCAATGTTCCAAATGGTTAATACGTAGTATCTAATTTAATGCAAACCCCTCAATAAGGTGGTATTCTTATCAATTTTTCTTCAGGAGAAATAAGCAAGGCTTAAACCTTGGGGTCAAGGTGTAGCCAAGGTCACCCAGTAATAAATTGCAAAGGCTGGGATTTGAACCCAGGTCTGTTTGGCTCAGATGCCTGTGAATTTAACTAGGCCACCTGGACTGATATATTATAGTCCCCATACAAAACTGATTTCTCTTCTAAATTAACAAATTGTTATTCTAGTTTATCATTGTTTTAAAGTAGTCATGTTGATGCTCAGATGTGCCTTGAGGCATCTGATTCAGTGAACAGGTAGCAACACCTCCTCCTAGTACTGCCTTTGACTTAACACTCTACAGAATTAAATAATTCTAATAGAAATTTTACTTTATTTAGTATATTAGGCCATTCTTGCATTGCTATAAAGAAATACCTGAGAAGGGGTGACTTATAAAGGAAAGACGTTTAATTGACTCCTGGTTCTGCAGGCTGTACAGGAAGCATGGTGCTTGCATCTGATCAGCTTGTAGGGAGGCCTCAGGAAGCTGACAATCATGGCAGAAGGCAAAGGGTGAGCAGGCACGTCACATGGCAAAAGCAGGAGCAAGCAAGAGAGAGAGACAGAGAAAGAAAGAAAGAGAGAGAGTTGGTGGGGGAAGTGCCACACACTTTTAAAAGACTAGATCTATTAACCGGGCATGGTGGCGCCTGCCTGTAATCCCAGCTACTCTGGAGGCTGAAGGAGGAGAATCGCTTGAACCCGGGAGGTAGAGGTTGCAGTGAGCTGAGATCATGCCACTGCACTCCAGCCTGGGCAACAGAGGGAGACTCCATCTCAAAAAATAAAATAAATACATAAAAATAAATTAAAAGAGCAGATCTCCTGAGAACTCACTATCACAAAGATAACACCAAGCCATGAGGGATCTGCCCGCGTGATCCAAACACCTCCCCCAAGGCCCCTCCTCCAAGGCCCCTCCTCCAGCACTGAGGATTACAATTCAGCCTGAGATTTGGGTGGGGACAAATATGCAAACTATATCCATTAGACATTACACTTTTATATTGTAATAAATATCCTCCATTTTTCAAATGAGGTTTCAATCGACTGGATATTTTTTCTCTACTGCTCAGCATAGTCAGCAATGAATTTCATGCACTTAAAATGTTGTACCTCTGCCTGAGTTATTAATATATTCTAGCAACAGCAATTACAGAATCTTTTTGCTACCCACTTTGAATCGTTCCCTCAGTTGGACAGAGCACCAGTTGTATTAATAGCAATTTGGGTTTTTTAAAATGAGAGATTAAAAATAATCTAATCAATTGTCTGGGCTGCTTTCCCGTGAAGAACAGGTGTTTTAAAGTAATTCAGCCCCTATCTTTCTCCCTGGAATAAAAGAGATGCAAGTGAGCTTGGGCCCCATACACGTATGCAAAGAGCTCCTTGTGGGGTGCTGGATGCCCCAAGACTGAACTCAGGGTCCACAGCTCCAAGTTCAAGGCCTTTTCCTGGGTCGATCCCAGCACAGTGTGCTGACTGAGTCATGTTAGGTTTTGTTTCTTACCTTTGCTTTTTTACTTAATTTTTCAAGTAACTTTTTCTGATTACAAAAGTAATACATATTTGTTATTCAAACTTTTGAAAAATAAAAGCACAAAGAAGAAAAATAAAGATGCTTAGAAAGCCAACACTTAAAGATGACTGCTATTAACATTTTGGTGCATTTTCTAGTACATATATATGTGTATACTAGAAATACGTACTGATATGTACTAACATGTATCTATTTTTAAAATAGTATAATGGGTACATAACTTGTATGCTGTTTCATAACTCTATTACTTTCTTATTGCTGCTGCCATAATAAATTACCACAAACTTAGTGGTGTACAACCACACACATTTTTAAAAATCCCTGTAAGTTAAGAGGTATAAGTCTTGAAGGGCTAAAATCAAGGTGTTCGCAAGGCATTGCATTTTGGAAGCTCCAGGGGAGAATTCATTTTCTTGCTCACTTGGGTTGTCAGCAGAATCTAGTTTTCCCAGCAGTTGTAGAACTAAGGATCTCATTTCCTGCTAGAAGAACACGGAGGTCCATCCCCAGCTTCTAGGGCTGCCCACATCCTTTGGCTCATGGCCACTTTTCCTGTCTTTCAAAGCCGGCAACAGTGGATATCGTCCCTCTCATGTTGTATCTCTCTCACTGCAGCTAAGAACGTTTCTCAATTTTAAGGATTTAAATTAAATCGAATTAGGTCGGGCCCATCTGGGTAATCCAGGCTATGCTCCCCATTTAACGATAATCTTAATCACATCTGCAAAGTCCATTTTGTCATGCAAGAAAACATAGTTACAGGTTCCAGAATAAGGACATGGGTGTTAGTTGGGGGGTGGGGGGCGGGCATTATTCTAGCTACCAAAAATAACCTTGTGGGCATCCATCTATGGAAGTGGTTCTCAAACTTCAGCGTGTATAAGATTTGTCTGAGGAACTGTAGATTTGGGGTAGGACCCAGGAATCTTCATTTCAGCAAGCTCCTCCTGTGATCCTGGGGCAGGTGCTCCATGAATCACACTTAAGAAAGATTGGTTATGACATCCACTGTCCTAGAATGTGCGTTTTAATCAATGCATAGTGTGCATACTATATTTGTCTTTTATAAGTCTTTCATAATTTTCTTGCTAATTCTATATTTGTACCATCTGTGACTATCTCCTTACCATATTGTCCTTTTAGTGCAAAAACCTTGCACATTCATGAGCAATTCTATGCTTTGGTGTTTAGTGTTTTGTTTTTGTTTTTGTTCATTTACTGGAATGTTGAGGAGCTCGGGGCCTCTATCCTTTAACCCTTAAGAAGAGGCTGACAGCATTACTGATCATCTGCCTATTGCAGGGACTGGCCATGTTCCTCTCCAGCAGCATGTTTGACCATTGTATTTCTATTGCTGGAAGCTAGACTGATCACTGGGGATGGCAGAGGATGCATTTTGCCAAGTTCGTAACTCACCCAAAACCCCTGGGTTCAGCATTTCCACCTGAACAGGAAACTTTCAATGTTTAATTTACTCTTAAAATAAAAATATTCTGTGCCTGAGAAAAGGGCTTAGAAAAGCCTTACAAATGGCTTCCAAACATATCCAAGGCTTTATGGTGCACAACATTGAATGACTTAAGTAGAAAGGAATAGTGGCACAAACATCTTCCTTCAATTACTCAGTTTTAAAATTGAAAAAGCATTTGGCAAAAAAGTTTGCATTTTCTTATAGCTGGGGTTTGGAAAAGAATGGTAAGCTATTCAAAGAATATCATCTGACCATCCAAACATGTTTGGGAACCTCAAAGTCTGCCAGACTCTCTTAATCGCCTTTCTTAAGAAATCATTTACATAACTTTAAGAAAGATCTTGGCATTTCCATCATTTCCATCATAAAGATTTGTTTGGTTTTATTTTTTTTAGTCCCAGAAAAAAGCTGGTTATGTTAGAATCTTGGAAAATTAAAGTACATGAATTTTTTTAAGTCAAAATCTTTATAATTTTATAATGAAATACCTTGTGTGCTTTCTTCGTTCTGCTGCAGATTGAGATTTTAGTTTCTAAGATAGTAATTGATATCATGAAAGGAAACATAGCTGAGACATTTTACTTTTTATGAAACAATGAATCTGTTTACAGGTGCAATCAGTAGCCAGCTACTGTGAAATTAGTGACTGGCATAAGCTACAGAGGCCAAAGTGGGCTACCGAGAGACTGGAGGCAAGTCCAGAGTGACAGACACCAGAGAAGATTTCACTCTCTGAGCAGATGTTGAAGAGAATGGCCTAGAAATGGACTGTTTAGTAGCTAAAGGAAATTGAGCCTTTTTTCCCCTTTGTTTGCTACAAATAAACTATTCCAGGGCCCAGTTTGCCCAAAGAGAAAGAGATCATACATGTGTATCTTTGCATGTGTGGGTTGTGGTGAAGTAAACAAGAGAAAATCTGGGTGGAAGATCTCTCTCTGACAGATGAGCCCTGACAGTCCTTTCAGCACTTTCAAAATGTATTTAAAACAAGTTCTGCAATGTAATAATAAACACCGTCACCTTACTTCTGCCCTTTGGAGACACTAAATGGAAGACAGAAGTTCTGGAAAACAGAAGCAGAGGGAGAGAAGAAGAAATTCTAGAAAGGTCCAAGTAAAACAGAGCAATGACGACTCATTAAAAAGCAGTCACAACTATGCCAAGTGCTAGAGAATAGATGGAGCTACAAGAACTCTAATTGTGAGTGAGAATGTAAAATGGCACAGCCACTTCGGAAAATAGCCTGGCAGCATCTTATAAAGTTGAAGATACACTTATATGACCCAGCGATACCACCACTTTTGGGTATTTACCCAAGAAAAATGAAAATGTGTCAAAAGACTTGTACATGAATATTCACAGTGGCTTTATTCATAATAGTTAAAAATTGGAAACAACCCAAAGAGTTAATCAATAGGTGAACAGATTTTTTTAAAATGTAATATATTCATACAATGGAATACTGCTTAGCGATAAGAAGGAAATATACTATTGATAATACATGCAGCTAAATGAATGAATTTCAAACACGTTCTGTTGAGCAAAAGAGTCCAGACATAAAAGACTAAATATGGCATGTTTCCATTTAAATAAAACTCTAGAAAAGACTCATCCCATCTACAACAGATGTGCTAGTGGTTATCTGGGGCTGGAGGTGGAGGTGGGGATTGACTGGGAAAGGGCACAAAGGAGCCCATTTGCGTGGTGGAAAGTTTTTACATCGTGATTTAGGTAGTAGTTACCTGAGTGTAGACATTTATCAAAACTCACCAAACCGTACACCAGAGTGCGTCTATTTTATTATATGTAAATTGTGCCTCAATAAAGTTGATGTAAAAATGTAGTTACAGAAAAGATGATAATTAGTATGCTTCAGAGCCACTTTACTACGTTGTACATAATTATGGCAAAAAGTGAAAATACTTCAGAGTGGTTTTAAGAAGTGCTAATACAAGGCTAATTGCTCTGTCATAGGTGAGTGAGTTGTTAGACACTTAAATCCCTGTAAGGGAATTCTCTCCATTTGTCAGGGGACACACACACACACACACACAAACACACACACAATCTCAGATGTTCAGAGGAGATTATGAAAGTGAGAATCACTTTGTCCTTATTTCTACATCTATTGGCTCTTCCAGGTACAGGGTATTCTAGGATGAAAATGTGGTCCTCTCCTGTCAAGGGCATGCAGTCTAGCAGAAGCTTCAGTGATCTTAACAAGGACGCACAGCAACATGGGATTATTTAACCGTAATGGTGACAATAACAGCAACCACTTATTGGGAGCTTACCCTGTGTCAGGCACTGAGCTGTGATTGACATTCTACCTCATTTAATCTTCACAACAGTTTTACAACCTGGGAATTCTTAGATCCCTATTTTATAGAAGGAAACTGAGGCTCAGAGGTTTTAAGTAACCTACCCAAGACTACACAGTGAATGATTAGTGAATGGCAGAGTTGCAGTTTGCTCATCACCATCACGCAGCCCGCAATAGCCCCGTATTTAGTCTTTTATGTAGTGTTGATGATGGGGTGGTTGACTTGAGGGTTAAAGAAAATGTTACCATTTGTCCAACCTGCTCAGAACCCCCCTCAAATTCCAGAGAAGTGCAGGTTTCTTCCCAAACAAGTAGAAGTGCTATTGTTACCTTTGTCCAGATTCTCCTATGTTTCTGGACAATAGGCTAAGCTCTTTGCAATTCCTTACCCTGACATTCTTTCACCCAGGGAGGCTGCAGAGCTGAATAATATTCTTGGATTTGTGTCTCTCATCTTGTCACTGATTAGTCCTAACTCTTCCTGGCAAGGCTCCTGCCAGGCTATTTCAGGAAACAAAAATTCATTACACACATCCTTATTGATTTTCCCTCTCCTTTGCTTATTATTGAAATGCTTTTCCTTCCATCTCTTGAAGAAACTGTGTTGCAATTACTGGAAGCTTTGCTCACCCCAGCAGCCCACCCCTGGGCCGGAGGGCCTTTGCTGAGGCTCCTGGGAGATGGGGCAGAGGCAGCATCTCTCTGCTTGGTCCTGGCAGAGGGAGGCGGTTTATTGTCTCTTTCTAAAGTGGCTCCTGGGGGTGTGACTTAGTAGTATCCCATTAGATAAACACTGGAACTGTTTCTAGTGATCAGCAGTGCCTCCTGGTTTCCTCAGTCTCCTTTCTCAGGAGTTTGGGGTATAAATGCTGCAATGAATATCCAACCACCCAGCTTTGATGGCTAGGTCAGGAATATTTGACTTCTCTGCAGAGCCAAGAGAGGAAGAGAAACTAATTTTTATTGGGTGGATATACATTTTACAGAAAATAGTGTTCTTGAGTACCTATTATGTGCTAGCTTCTGGAATGCATGTGAGCAAGGCAGCTATGGTCTGTGCTCTCATGGATTTTATAGTCTGGTGAGGGATATAAACAGCAACAACAATAACAGTAAATGCAAGTAAATTGCAAACTAATAAAATTACAATTGCAATAGGTTCAGTGTCAACAGTAGGTTTCCGAGATAGAGAAAAATAGTCGGGTTTTATGCAATATCACGTGTCACATGCAATATCATGAATCTGCCAAAACACTCATGAAGTGGATACTCGCCCTGAACTTAGAGACATTCAGTAGCTTGTTCCAGGTGACAGAGAGCCGGGTGCAAGACTGGGTCTGTCTGACTCCAAGGCTAGTGCTCTTTCTGCTGTGTTCTAAGGCACATGGAGACCTCCCCAAGGTAATTGGAGAGTGTGGTTGAATTTCCAGGCTGTGGTCAGGTCTCAGTGTGGTGTAGTTCCCCCATCCTGTCTGCAAGCTCTCTGTCTGCCAGAAGAAAAAAGAAATCTCAGTTTTCACAATAAATCAATGATGGACTTGGTATAATGTGCTCCCTAGGGAAGGCCTCATACTATTTGTTAGTTACACAAGGCTGGGTCTTGGTTTCGCGTGGGTGAGTTCTACGTGGCGGTACATTTTGGCAGGAGATGGTCCCTCTGCTCTGGGGGATGCTGTTCTTCTGGACCACAGGCATGTGCCCTGTAGGCTTCAATGCAGCCCATCCCTCCCTCTGCTAGGCCTGCCTTTTACATGTTCATGGTTACTCACATTTCTGCTCAGGCCTCTGTCTGACGTTGGTGCCTGCAGCCCCTTCCCTTGGATGGCAGGGCGAGCAGAAGCCACCCCTGCTGGGTAGACAGCAGTCAGGGTTGTAGGCTCACCCAGGGGGTATCTCAGAGGGCATGGTGGGGAGGGGGCTGCCGGGAGGCAATATTCCAGGAGCCTGGTTCTCAGAGCCGCATCCTGGAGAGGAAGAAGAAAAGTTGGCAGCAGGCTGGGAAATGTACCCGAGAGCAGGTGAAGCCCCTCTTGTGAGTGTGCACAGTCCTGGAGGGCAGGGGAAAATCTCAGTCCAGGCCAGAGCGAGGACCGAGTGGGGTGAGAGTAGGAGCCCGGACATGGGCATGGGGAGTGTCACCACCAGTCTGCCAAGATAGTGATGCAGCTGTGCCTGCCTCCCTACCTGTGCCCCATAACAACAAACAAGTGACTCATTCCACTGTGCTCTTTTTGCACAGGGCACACATCACATACCTACACAGAAATGCTTCACAGGTTACAATACAGGTGTGTAGAGCAGACAAAACAAAACCCTTGATCTCCTGTGGCAAAAACAACTCCCATCTGAAGCCCGTGACAGAAACTGCACCTAGCTGTAACTTTAGGCTTGATCGCTGCAGTGTTTTTCAATATTTTCAGGTTTAATCTCAGTCAATTCAGGATAACTGCCCCCACCCCTTTTTTACCTTCAGGGGGACCTAAGCTCCCTGGCGTCACATGCTATCTGGGCATTAGGGGTATAGTGGAGGTGGAAGGTAGATGGTTTGGTTCTTGGCTGGCATCTACCTGAGTGCAAATCCTCTTGTCTGGTCATTAGTGACTGGCTTATATCCTATCAGCATTTCCAGAGATGCTCACAGCTCTCATTTGGTCTTAGTCAGCAGGTTCTCCCAGACCACTTGACTATTATAATTATTATGATGTTGGAGCTATGCAAGAGAAATTCGCAGATCCATTCCCTGTCTACTCCCTGCTGTTGGAACTGTCTTTCCCCATTTTTGCCTGGCTATGTCCCATACATTCCTTGTCTTCTACCCCTCAATCTAAATTAAATGACTACCTATCTGAGAACTAGGTACTTTCCTTTCATAGTATTTATCAAAGTTTGTAAACATCTATGAATATGTGACATCTGTATTTAAGGTCTTTTCCCACATCCCCACGTCCCTCCATCATAAACCCTGTAATGGCAAGGATTTTTGATTTATTTGTTTACTCTTGAATTCTCAGCACCTTGGAAAATGCTTAGTACATAGAAGTCACAAAAATAAAGATGACTGGATACAACTCGAGGCTCCATAAGTCCAAGTGACTTGCCCAAGATCTCACGGCCAATCAACAGAACAGCAGCACTGTAACCTGACCCTCGGGTGGCCAATAACAGGGCTGTTTCCAAAACACTGTGCTGAGTGAGGTTGTCTTTGACAAGGTGTTAAAAATCTGACTACTAATTCTCAGATTCTAAAGACCTGTTTTTCATTAAGAAATGCCAAGAGTGTTAGTTTGTAATGTGAAAAAGGAGGCACCCAATCAAAAGTGGCTTTATCCTGGACTACTGGGAATTATGCTCCTGCCGTCACAGCACTCCCGAGAAATCCTGAAGAATTCCTTGATGTGGGACAGGCTGTGCTCATGTCAGGGAGCCAAAAGAAACACAAGGGAAAGGCAAAGCCTCTTTCCACTGACCTTGTGGGGAAACCGTGTCCTGTCTGCATTCCTAGACAATGGCTCTCAGAGGCAAGTGGGCAGGGCTGACTCCAGGAGTCTCCTGAGTCTCTGATTGTGGAAGTTGCTGTCCGGATCCCTGCTTGACCCTATGGGATATTAAGAGGCAGTGGTGAAGGGGGAGGAAGTACCACTGGCAAAATTTGATCTCTGGCCTCCTGTCAGTCTGTCCTCCTGGTGATAGGGATAGTTCTTGTGCTGGGGTTTTGTGGAGATGGGCATGGCCATCTAGATGGGTTGGGAAGGGCAGAAAGTAACTTGTTTTTCTCACTAAATGAGACTTCTTCCCTCTTTCACAGTTGATCTCAGCTGTGAATGGATTTGTCACCAGCTTCCAAGTAAGATTAGTTATGGTGAGGATGGTTTGCTCCATGCTAACTTGGGTCATGTAGCTCACAGTCTGACCCAGTCCAATGCAGGCTGAGGAGTCAGTGTCCTAGTGCTGAAATTGGCTAAAAGAGAAGTCATTCAACAACAAAACCAAGAAGAGCATTAGCTACCAGGGCCTTTGAACTTGATCAGGCCATGCAGTGCCCCTCAACCCAATATTCATTCCTTGTCCCACTGATGCCACTGCCTCACATCCAATAGGGTCACGATGACCTTGAATATGGAAAGGACTGATTTGCCACCCTCACAAAGTGGCTGTTAGTCTCTCTCAAGCTTAAGCTTTTGATATTACAATTAATTCCTCATTATTTGTCAGTAAGGATTAGGTTTTGTTGTAACAGAGATCTGAATATAGTAACTCAAATACACAGTGGCTTAAATCCTTTCACTTAAGGAAATCCAGAAGAAAGCAGCCCAGAGCTTGTATGGCAGCTCTGTGAAGTCATTAGAGACCCAGGCTCCTCTATCTTCAGCATAGTTCTCAATCCCCCAAGTCTTCTTAGAAGAAGAAGAAGGCTGCTGAAGCTCTAGCAATCATGTCTGTATCCCAGGCAGCAGGAAGGAGGAAGGAGGACAACAGCCTCTTTTCCCAGCATGTCAGGCATCCTTAAATCTCTTCAAACAGTCTTCTTGGAAGTCCCATATGATACATCTCACTGACCAGAGCTCAGTCACATGGCTACTGCTAACCACAAAGCAGGCTGACAAACACCTTTCAGCTGTGTGCACTGCTGGACCAAATAAAATCAAGGTCCTGTTGTTAAGAAAAAAGAGAGAGGAGTAGGAGGCTGCTCAGAGTTTCTGCCACATTCCATTTAAATATCTTGGGGCTTTTTTTCTGTCTTCCTGATATTGGGATTCTTCAAAAAGAAAAGCAAGTAGGAAAAAAAAATGAAAGTCAAACTAATCCAAACTAATCTATTTTGTTACTATCAGATCTGATTTTTAAAAAAATTCTAGAAAAGAGATTAGAATCTCCATCTCTATCTTCATTAGAGTGTCAGCTTTTAAAAATACCTTCCTGATATGTACTTTCTTTCCCACCCACAGGTCTGGAGAAGCTAGATGCCAAGTGTGGCTGTGGACATCCAGAGGATGTCCAGGTAGACAGAGAGCTCTGTATCTATCGAAGAAGCAAGGGCTGAACCCACAGACCTAGGGGTCCGCAGGGTCGATGGGGGTGGAAGCCTTAGGAGGTAATGAGCAAATGTGAAAAACAAGGGGAAGGGGCCCCCAGAAGAACTCAGGGGGAACCTAGCTTATGTTCTTCTCTATTGTTTACCTCCCACTTGGACAATGTCTCTGGCTATGCATCCCCATTGGAGAGTTTCTATGACAACCATGGAGGAACTGTCCACAATGTGCTTTGAACTCCTCAGAAATCAGGCACTTAGCCAGCACAAAGGGTTGGTATGAACTTGTGGCCAAACTTCAAGAGGTTCTCAGAGAGAACATGTTGTTTTCCTTGAAGTACTTGTTTCTTCCGTAATTTCATATCTAATCTCCCAGCTTCACACATAACAGATTTGCTTGACAATGTCCTAAAGGATGGGGACAGTCTTGGCTTTCACATGAGAAGAGCTAATTAGAACAACTGATTTTACTTTGGGAGAAACCAAGTTTCCAGCATGCATCTAGTGATAAATTATGAAAGCTTTCCTCAGTACTCCTGCCCTATGATCCTTCCCTCACTTCATTAAGCCTGCTGCATCTTGCATGGATGGAGGTCACCGATGGCAGAGCAGCTTCTTGGATGAATTGCAGGGTCTCCCAACTCTTCAAGCAGCATCCTCTGTGCTCCCACTCCTGTGCTCATCTCTACTCCTGAACTACAGTGCCATCTTGTCATTTGTCTGTTTCAATGTCTGTTTCTCCAACTGGACAGTAAACCCTTGGAAAAGAAGAACCAATCTTATTTAAATTTGGTATCCTCAGCAACCAGGACAGTGCCTGGTACTTTCCAGGTCCTCATTAAATGTTTTTTGGATGGATGGATGAATCAATAAAAGAAAAACTCCAAATGAAACAGTTGTGGAAACTAAACAGACTTTCTTTTTTTTGACTTTTACTTTAGGTTCAGGAGTACATGTGCAAGTTTGCTATATAGGTAAACTTGTGTCACAGAGTTTGTTGTACAGATTATTTCATCACTCAGGTATTAAGCCTAGTAACCATTCATTATTTTTTCTGTTCCCCTCCCTCCTCCCACCCTTCTCCCTCAAGTAAGCCACAGTGTTTGTTGTTCCCTTCTTTGCATCTGTGAGTTCTCATCATTTAGCTCCCACTTTATAAGTGAGAACATACGGTATTTGGTTTTCTGTTCCTGCGTTAGTTTGCTAAAGATAATGGCCTCTAGCTCCATTCATGTTCCTGTAAAAGACATGATCTTTTTCTTTTTTATGGCTGCATAGTACTCCATGATGTATATGTATCACATTTTCTTTGTCGATCTGTCATTGATGGGCATTTAGGTTGATTCCATGTCTTTGCTGTTGTGAATAGTGCTGCAATGCACATTCGCATGTGTGTCTTTATGGTAGAATGCTTTATACTCCTCTGGTTATATACCCAGTAATGGGATTGCTGGGTCGAATGGTAGTTCTGTTTTTAGCTCTTTGAGGAATTGCCACACTGCTTTCCACAATGGTTGAACTAATTTACACTCCCACCAACAATGTATAAGATTTCTCTTTCCTCCACAACATCGCCAGCATCTGTTATTTTTTGGCTTTTTAATATTAGCCACTAGAAACTGAACGCACTTCTATCATCAGGCTGGGACTGGCTGGCAAGTCCATTTTCATAAATAGACTGAGTTGACATGGCATAGTATTTTATTGCTTTGACTTCTGACACTGGTATTGTGTCAAATGCCAGGTATGGGTCATGAAACATGGACACACACACATCAGAGAAGGAGGTGGGGTAGAAAGGAGGAGGAGAAGGAGGCTGAGGGAAGAGGAGGAGAAGGAAAAGCATAGAGCTTCTGAAATTCTGTGTGTGTGCAAACATAGTGATGCACTCATCTGTTGTTATATCTTACAGGGGCATAGTGTTACCAAAAAGGAAAAACTGAAAGGAATGAAATGAACAATAAAGTGGTTTAGGGAGGAAAGGCTATATAAAATAATTTCTTGGAAGAAAAATGAGAATCCATGTGTCAGTGGTTCACCAGTGTGATCTTTAAGGTGGTAAGAAGAGGCAGTGAGTTGCTGAACCTGACCCCAGCTCCACAGCTCCTGGCAAACCTTCATCCCCTTCTCATGGGTTCACCTCTTGTGAAGCTCTCCTTTTCAGATCTTTGTGAAAGGATCCTTGCCAAGCTGACCGGCCTTGTCAGCACCACACTTCATTGTCTTCAGATATCATCTAGGCCATCTGGGCTCTCTCTGAAATGATACTCAGGCCATCTCTCTGGAATTCTTCCATAACTTTCCCTTCAGAGGCATCTTTCTTCAGGTCATTAATACAGGTCCCTGCTTCAGACATCAGTGGCATTTGCTTTACCTCATCTTATGTCTTCCTCCTTAATATGATTTAAAACTGTATCTTTAAAAGACTGAGGATGGAGAATGTGAGAAAGGTCTTCACCATTAGCCTCTGACTCCCTGATCTTCCCACACCAGTGAGCTCACTGGCCTGAGAGAATACACAACTTGGAAAGCAGTACCTTAGCCTTCTCTCCATTTTTGATTTGACCATTTGATTGCAGGAGACTGGTGAGCCCTTAGCCCTGTTTCAAAAGAAAGATGCAGATCCTTGTGATCAGAAAAGGGGTATACCTGGGTTAGCCAGTGTCCTAAACCAGGGGTCCGCAACCACTGGGGGCTGTGGAACAGTACTGGTCTGTAGCCTGTTAGAAAGCAAGCTGTACAGCAGGAGGTGAGTGGCAGGTAAGCGAGCTCATTACCGCCTGAGCTCCACCTCCTCTCAGATCGGTGGTGGCATTAGATTCTCATAGGAACGTGAACGCTATTGTGAACTCTGCATGCGAGGAATCTAGGTTGCATGTTCCTTATGAGAATCTAATGCCTGATTATCTGAGTTTAATCCTGAAATCATCCCCCCTCCTCAACCCTGGTCCATGGAAAAATTGTCTCCCACAAAACCAGTCCCCGGTGCCCAAAAGGTTGGGGACCACTGCCCTAAACCCTAAGATAATATTTCTCAAGGTGTAGTTTGAAGAACACTAGCATCAGCTTAACCAGGCATAATTATTAAAGATGCAGTCCCATTTAATAAATGGTGTTGGGAAAACTGGCTAGTCATATGCAAAAAACTGAAACTGGACCCCTTCCTTACACCTTATACAAAAATTAACTCAAGATGGATTAAAGACTTAAACATAAAACCTAAAACCATAAAAACCCTAGAAGAAAACTTAGGCAGTACCATTCAGGACATAGGCATGGGCAAAGACTTCATGACTAAAACACCAAAAGCAATGGCAACAAAAGCCAAAATTGACAAGTAGGATCTAAGTAAACTAAAGAGCTTCTGCATAGCAAAAGTATCATCAGAGTGAACAGGCAACCTACAGAATGGGGAAAAACTTTGCAATCTGTCCATCTGACAAAGGGCTAACATCCAGAATCTACAAGGAACTTAAACAAATTTACAAGAAAAAAACAACCCCATCAAAAAGTGGGTGAAGGAGATAAACAGACACTTCTCAAAAGAAGACATTTATGTGGCCAACAAACATGAAAAAAAGCTCATCATCACTGGTCATTAGAGAAATGCAAATCAAAACCACAATGAGATACTAGCTCATGCCAGTTAGACTGGCGATCATTAAAAAGTCAGGAAACAACAGATGCTGGAGAGGATGTGGAGAAATAGGAATGCTTTTACACTGTTGGTGGGAGTGTAGATTAGTTCAACCATTGTGGAAGGCAGTGTGGCGATTCCTCAAGGATCTAGAACCAGAAATACCATTTGACCCAGCAATCCCATTACTGGGTATATACCCAAAGGATTATAAATCATTCTACTATAAAGACACATACACACATATGTTTATTGCAGCACTGTTCACAATAGCAAAGACTCAGAACCAACCCAAATGCCCATCAATGATAGACTGGATAAAGAAAATGGAATTTCTTTCTTTTTTTTTTTTTTTTTTAGCTGTAAGTACTCTTTTTTTTAATTTAATTTTTTTTGTTTTTTATTTTTTTTAAATTTTTTTAGTATTTATTGATCATTCTTGGGTGTTTCTCGGAGAGGGGGATTTGGCAGCGTCATAGGACAATAGTGGAGAGAAGGTCAGCAGATAAACATGTGAACAAAGGTCTCTGGTTTTCCTAGGCAGAGGACCCTGCGGCCTTCCGCAGTGTTTGTGTCCCTGGGTACTTGAGATTAGGGAGTGGTGATGACTCTTAACCAGCATTCTGCCTTCAAGCATCTGTTTAACAAAGCACATCTTGCACCGCCCTTAATCCATTTAACCCTGAGTTGACACAGCACATGTTTCAGAGAGCACGGGGTTGGGGGTAAGGTTATAGATTAACAGCATCCCAAGGCAGAAGAATTTTTCTTAGTACAGAACAAAATGGAGTCTCCTATGTCTACTTCTTTCTACACAGACACAGTAACAATCTGATCTCTCTTTCTTATCCCCACATTTCCCCCTTTTCTATTCGACAAAACCGCCATCGTCATCATGGCCTGTTCTCAATGAGCTGTTGGGTACACCTCCGAGACGGGGTGGCGGCCGGGCAGAGGAGTTCCTCACTTCCCAGATGTGGCAGCCGGGCAGAGGGGCCCCCCCACCCCCTAGACATGGCGGCCGTCGGGCGGACTAATTTTTGTATTTTTTGTCGAGATGTGGTTTGCCATTATTTCTCAGGCTGGTCTTGAACTCCTGGGCTCAAGCAATCCACCTGCCTTGGCTTCTCAAAGTGTTGGGATTACAGGCTTGAGAAACTGTGCCTGGCCCATTCTCTGATTTAACATTGTTTTCTGCATATAGACTTTCAGGGAGACTTTGTCCTGTTAGAGAATATAGTGTCTCTGAGTGGAATGGGGGTATTCACGGGATCTTTCCTTCACTCCTTCCATGAATGTTTACCAAGTACCTACTATGCATAAGATCCTGGTGATACAAAGGTGAACACACTCGGCTATGCTCCCAGAAAGTTCACTGTCTTGTGGGACACACAGACCCAGGAGTGAACAATTAACTGATACATGCCTATAGGAAAAAGGAGTCTGGAGGTGACAAAGAACACAGGGAGGAGTCAGCAAAGGCTCCCTGGAGCAAATGAGTGAATTGATGAGTAGGGATAGCAAGGTGACCAGAGCAGCGTTCCAGGCCAGAGGCCCACATGAGCAAAACCAGCAGAAGCATGGAGAGTGGGCTATTGGTACTTCTGGGTGGCAGAAACAACACATGATGCAAAGAATGGAAGCTGAGGCCAGAGGAAGAAGATGGAAGACCTTGAAAGCAAGTCAAGGAAATTGGACTTTGCCCTGTAGGAGACACTAAATCATCACTGAAATGTCTTAAACAGGAGAGAGATGTGATCAAGAACCAAGATTTAAGGTGGTGATGGAGGAGGAGAAATCCAAGGAGAAAATGGAAGACAGATAAGGCAGAAAATATGCTTTACAACTTTCTGTTCTGTATTCTGTTGGAATCTAAATATCCCAATGAGTGTGGCAGATTGAACAGGGCTCTTAGCCTGACCAGCTTATTGAAGAGACAAATAAAGATTGACTTGTTAGTAGCTGGTAATGACAAGCACTATTCCTTCTTGGCCAAGCAATCTTCTTATAATTGGAGAAAGAAATGCTTGTCAGCCTAGCGAAAGGTTTTCATACATGGCTCCAGGGATCTGTGAACCCTCTGAAATCGTGTGTAAAATTCTGCACATTTTTCTGGGAGAGGGTCTATAGCTTTCATCATATTTTCAAAGGCAATCAGGACACACAAAGTGGGAAGCTGAAGATTAAAATTCAAATATTCTAAAGATGGCCTATTCTTTGGGCTGACCTGATCCTAAATAGGAGAAAGACCCGAACGAATGTTCATACGTATTTTAATGGAGAAATTTTAGGTACTAGACTCCTCACAGTGAAGTACACACAGAAATTTGCCATCCTCATCTCTAGTGTAAATGCGTTTATGGGACATTTTTCTAGGTCAGGTGCATAAGCCTGACTCTCAACCCTACAGCTTTAGAAATGGAAAAGACAAGGTGACCTGAACAAAGAGATGAACACTGCTCAGAGGGAATTGCTGCAGTTGGAACAGCAGACTGGTTTTGTATATGTAGGGACCGAGGGCTGAGATCTCTGAGGCCCAGGTGGTCTGTTGAGAAGAGGCCAAGGTACCCACCTCCTCTAGGCTTTTGTTGTTGTGACTGCATCTACATACCAGCAAACATGTGCTTCCTCCCTGGCCTTGATTTATGGTGACAGTTACTTGGTACAGCAGGTGGGTAGGAATGGTTCTCTCAGCAGGAGAAAGTCTGCCTCTGCTGCTTCATGACCTGCTATTCTGTAATAATGAGCCTCACCCTGTACCATTGCTAAGGCAGCTGTCCCCTTCAGAGTAGCCACATTAGAAAGGTTAATGCATTCATAGTGAGCTTAGAAGGGGCAGGGAGTAGTGTCCCAAATATGTATATGTGTTTGTGTGTGTGTGTTTACATTCAGAGTCTGGCAGATAACCATGAAAAGGTGATGGTACCTACTCATTAATCTAATTAATATTGGCCTCTCCAATGCTCACACATTTTTTGCCGATGGTTTGGAATTCATCTGGGCTCCAGTTTCTTCCTTTGCAAAAGAAAGATATTGCACTAACATGATAATGTCACTCCTGCTTAATACCTTCATTAAACACCCACTGCCCCCATTCCTTAGAGCCACAGAATCCTGGGGTTTACAAGAAAGGTTTTAGGTACTCCTTTCCTTCTGTATTAGTCAGGGTTCTCTAGAGAAACAGAACCAAGAAGATATATGTAGAGATAAGAAAGAGATTTATTGTGAGGTTGATTATGGAGTCTGAGAAGTCCCAGGATCTACCATCTGCAAGCTGGAGGCCCAGGAAAGATAGGTATAGTTCCAGTCTAAACCCCAAAGCCTGAGAATCAAGAGTGCCAATGGTGTCAGTCCCAGTTAGTATCTGAAGGCCTGAGAATTGAGGGACCAATTATCCAAGTCCTGGTTGGAGTCTGAAGGCTTAAGAACCAGGAGTGCTGACGTCTGCGGGCAGGAGTAAATGAATGTCCCAGCTCAAGCAAAGAGGAAATTTGCTCTTCCTCCACCTTTGTTTTTTTCTAATCACATCCTCAACAGATTAGATAATGCCCACCTGCACGCATGAGGACAAAATCTTCTTTCCTCAGTCTACTGATTCAAATATTCATCTCTTCGGGAAACACCTGCACAAACACATCCAGAAATAATGTTTCACCAGCTATCTGGGCATCCCTTAGCCTGATCAAATTGACACATAAAATTAACGATCATACTTCCAGTCAGGAAGCTCAGCCTTTATCTGTTTTCTACAAGATTTCATTGAGTAGAAGAACCCATTAAAAACATTAAAGATTCCAAAAAGTAAAGTATAAAATCTTTGGTCAAGAAACAAAATATAATAAAGAGTGGGTTAATCCAACAGCTAACTGGGAAGTCCATTTTTGATTTACTAAAATGGTGCCAGAAAACTCAGGTTTCTGTACTCAAGTCCTCACACGGCTGGAAAATAGAAAGCTGATTCAATTCCCATCGCAATGGGTGGTAGCTCACATTGGAAAACTAAAAACAATTCTCCCTGGCTGCATTTCTCTGATAAGTATTGTTGCTCTGTGCATGCGAGGTTTCAATCAGTGGAAAGTTGGCAGTCAGCTGAAATTTAGAAAGCAAATATGCATGTCAAGGTACTGTTTACCAGGTAAGAGTGATTTATTTTATCATTAAAAATTTAAAACCTTAATGTGATTCCCAAGATGTCTGATTTAGAGAAGGCCAGAAGAAAACTGAAGAGAAAAAGAACTATAGAAAAGTGAGAACCATGTAACTGAGCTCTTTCCAGAATGTAAACTCTGCTTCGGCTGGTAGAAATGGATTAGTATAAGTAGCTATTTTGCTTGTTGGCTAGTTTGCTTGTTTTATACAGTTTTTATTAGTAGATTTTCGGTTCCACCCCAATCTCACTAAATAACTGGCATGCTGGAAAAATGTTCAAAGACTGCTGGTTTAAAGGGACAATTTTTAGTCTGTCCAAGGAGCCCATATGTCTAGGCCTGGGTCTGCCTAGGAAATAAGGACTTAATAATCATTAGTCTCCTTTATCAGGTCTTTCACAATTGGGCTTCAAATCCCACTTTAGGCAATTTCCACCATTATTTCTCCCACGAATAGCTATGGATTACAACCTGTTCCCTCGACCCATTATATTCACTTGACCCTACCCTTCCCATATTCCATTCACTTTACCAGGAATACACTTTTTTCCTTCTTATCTATCTGGAAAACTCCAAATCACTCTTCAAAACCCAGCTCAACTATCACCTCTCCCATGAAGCCTTCCATAGCACTCTGTCATTCACCATTTCTTAAGTCTTCATCGAACTGCAACGTGAATCTAAGTGATTTTTTTTGTTTTCTAAACCACGAACTCCTTTAGGTTAGAGGTTGTGTTTTATTTATTCTTATTTCTTCAGTGTGCATCACCTGGCTAAACATAGAGAAGGTGCTTAATAAACATTTTTTGATGACTTTTAAGGCCTCCGAAAGCTCTAAAGTTCTGTTTTCTATGACTTAGCAATGGAGTCAAAAATTTCAGAGTTCCAAAAGACCATCCAACAGCCTATTCTGAAGACTATTATTTGGGAACCAAAATAAAAGTATCATGATTGGTCACTAGTTGCCTGGAGCTAGTTTATTGGCATTTAACATTGGCCCAAGCAACTCTCATCAATTTCCCTTTTTAGAACCTATCTACATCCTGTGAGATCAGAAACTTTCAGACCTGTCACCATTGAACATAGAATGGGAAAAAACAGTCTGTGATCATCAGCTACCTTTAATTTTTGGAAGCACATTGAAGTTTACTGGCATTCAACAAATAAATCCCAATATAGTGATTTCAGCTTGCAACAAATTGGTTAAAAAGGAAAGGGAGTAAATGGATATTTTTGTGCTATTGTTACCATGCAATCCAGCTGATATTTTCATTTTCTTCTCCTTTTCTCCTTTCTTTCCTCAACCTTTCTTTTCTTGGTGCTTTTATATTTGGACTTTAAAATAATGTGTTTATTCATAAATATTTTTATGAATGGGAAAACAACAGTTGGTTTTGCTAAGAGTTCTTCTGGATTATAGAAGCTAATTGGAGGTGCTATTGTAACGGAGAACAGCAGACATTTACATTCAGTTCCCAAGATGTTAGATTCTAGCAAATCCTTTAGGAATACAAACTGCCAGGGTTTCATTCTCATAAGTGTGTTTTTTCAAAGCAGAAAAACTGATAATGAAGGTTCTGCAGGTTCTAATTATCTCGGTAGCCTTCTAGTGGATTATAGCAGCTATAACACAGACCCAAAACTATGGTGGCTTAGAGGAGACAGGAACTTGTCGCTCATCTGACAGTTCAGGTGAAAGCAGTCTGGGGCTAGCTTGGTAGTTCCTCTGTATCAGCGACCCAGGTTTCTTCAATCTTGCTGCTCTGTCGTTCCTAGGGCATCCTGCTTCCACATCATCCAATCTGTCTCACACCCATGTTTGCATTTCAGCCCATGGAAACCAGAAAAGGCAAATAGAGTGCCTGTCCCTTCCCTCTATCGGCAATGCCTGGCTGTTGCACACATCACTCCTGATCATTTCATGTTGGCTAGAACTTAACCACGTGGCTCTGTGCTGGTTAACAACCAGGTGTTTTATTCCTACAGAAGAAGGGAGCATGGGTCTTAGGAGACAATTGCCAGTTTCTGCCATGTTGTCAATTCACGAAGTTTCCTCATTTTTGGTGGTAATGACAGTTACATCTGTTTTATACAAACCTCTGTTGTTGTTGTTGTTGTTGTTGTTTTTTGATTAAGGGGAAGCTTGTATGTTGGCCTCTGTGGACGTATATGGACTCCTCAGTTGCTGAAAGTTGCCTTGATTGATTTTCATCCTGAGTATCTCAAAAACAAAATCATTAGAACATTCAAATCCAAGAGCCTAACAGTCCACTGGAATTTTATGAACAAACCTAAAAAGAGCAAAAGACCCTAAGCAACATTGCCATCACATACAAAATTTTACTTTGAAAGCAGGGTGGGGAAATTTTCCCCTCAGGTGCTAAGGGTCCCTGGAAGAATGTTCACTGATCATGGACCACTGTATTGTTTTCATTTTTAAATGGGGTTGCAAGCTGCAATTCTCACAGCAGGCTCACCACAACTCCCTCCCGTACCCTTTCCTTACATTTTAAAATTTCTTTACACTTTTAGAAGTTCCTTCATATCATTTCATGTTTATTTCCCCACCTCCACCCCTTTATTCTTTCTGGTTGTGGGATCAAGCTTTCTTTGACTCTTTCTTGGAAAAAATATACTGTCCAATGAACAACAAAGTACCAGGCTGGCTCCACTCTGCCTGTCTGTAAACTCTCCCTCACTGGCTCACAACGGTGCCTGTTATTTCCACCCCTGGAGGGGCTCCTTTGGATAGGATCATTTTTTTCCGCTGTTTCCCCCTAAGGAGAATAACATCTGAGCAGCCATTAATGCCCCAGGGTGGACTGCATTTCAGATTAGCCACACAGAGCAGAATTAAAGCAGAGGGCAGAGGCATATTTCCATGAGGGACTGGGAGTTGCAGTTCCTAGAAAACAAAGGCTGTGAGCAGGGAGTGAGTCCCTGGCGCAGAGGTGACCTTGAGCATACACCACATGACCTCTGTCTCTGCTCCTGCCCACAGCGCCCCGTTCTTCAATATGGTCAACTGTCATTTTTCCGAGAGCACTGTGTAAATACAGCTTCAAACCTGAGCCCATTTCCTGGAGCGTGTAAGCCCCTCCTATATGGAAATTCAGGAGCTGGCACTGGTCAGCAGCACCCACCGGTGAAAGGTGGGTATGAAAAGGAAGAGTAAACAGAAAGCCAGAGCACCTGTGGGTAAATTTGTCTCCCTGCATGATCTACCTACCACAGGCTCTGATGGTATATAAACTATGAAGCAAAGAACGTGGTGCTTCTGTGGTTTACAAGTACTCTTTTCTGATGGCAGAAACGTACTGTCTGAGTCAGGATAGTAATAATAATAGTAATAATATCCAACCTATTCTGAGCGCTTCCTTCATGCCAGGTGCTGTGCTTCTATATACCCCGTCTGGATTAATCCTCACAGCAAATCTTCGACGCATATATTATTAATTCTGTGTTACAGATGGGAAAGCTGAGGCCCTTCAAGGTGAAGTTAATGTTTCCAAGGTCAGAAAGCTACTGACTAACAGCAGGAATTCAAAGTCATACCTGTCTAACTCTGAAGCCCATATGCTTAGCAGAAGGGGTTGTAAACTCTAGGTGATGAACTCTTTGAGCATGCGATGGAAGCTATAGGTCTTCTCTGGCAGCATTCCAGCTTTAGGGAGTTTAAAATGTGTATGCACAGACAGTGGGATCATCTTGTCTCTCTACCTCCTACCATCCCCACAAGGTTAAAGAGCGCCTGCTTTGTTCTAGGAGCATTCCACACTGTAGGGCTACTGCTCCCTACCTTTCTGGACAGTGAGGCCCAATTTTCCTTTGCCCTTCTTCATAAGAAATGAGAAAAGCCCTGATTCCAAAGTACTTGTCTATTTGAAGAAAAAGCCCAAGGTGGGAGAGAAAGGCTGTCCAGTACTCACATCATTCACAGCCTGTCTGAATTCTGCCCCAAGAGGATGCAAATGAGAATAAGATCAGTTCACAGCCCGGGGCGTGAAGGGACTGGGCATGTCCCCTGGACCAAAGGCAGCCTTTCATTGGGAAGTCTGGCCTCTGACCTGGAAATGCAAAACAGACCAGAGGGCAAAGGACACTCTGGAGCCAGCAGCTGCTTTCCTGGAAAGACTGAAAATCTCCTACCATGGGTCCCAATTAACCCTGCCTGGGCTAACCAGGGGCCATTTCAAGAGGCCCAGTGGTGCCTTTTGTGAGTAAATAGGGCCCTTTGGGAGTATGTATCCCTCTTCATTGCCCCTACCATTTATTTAATACTAATTTACGTATTTTATAAACATACTGTGGTTTTTTCAACCTTTGTGGTGAATTCCCCCTGATCCTCTCCACCTTTTTTTTTTTTTTTGGCAAAATCTTAAAATTTTTGGTATTTCAAGGAGTCTGCAAAGTCCAAGATGTCTTACCTTAATAATAGGAGTCCATGCACAGCTGTAATAATTGGTCCTCTAGGTATAAGTGCTCCCTGACATGAGTCACAGACTTATTCTCAGTGACAGCATTGGAGTGAAGAGTCCTGTGTGGAAGTCACTGAAGCTCATCAAGAGGGGCTGCCAGCCCGCTGCCCCTGGAATATGGGTCACCTTTGAGAGGAAAGGAGGGGCTCAGACGGGAGGGAGATGGGAGCAGGTGGCAGTGAAGCCCCAGCTTGGCTACCTGGAGAGGTTTGCATTGCCACCCAGAGTATGCCAGCGTCTCAGAAGATGGAACACGGAGCAAGGCCAGCAGAAATGATTTTGAGCACAGGTTTTGCTATGGTAGGAATTGGTGATTTACACATGAAGTTTTGTAGATCATTACTTCTGGATCCTTAGATGAAGAAACCTCTGGTTCCTTATGAATACTGTATTGTTGGGAATAGAAAAATAAAAGTGTAGAGCTTTTAAAGAAATGAAATTTGACCTTTAAAATAAAGGCTATGCCTCAGAATGCCTTGTGAGGGGTGATCCCCTACGTGAAAAAACTGAAAGCCTTTTAAAGGAACCAGATTCAGGAAGGGGATAAAAAAGTGTAACATGGAAGCAGCTCAGGGGAGCTAATATAGGCAGTTTAATTAACATCTCCTGAGCAGGTGAGGATGGGCAGAGACAAGGTTGAGCATAAATCATTAGCTTTTGTGACTTTTTACTCTTTCTAGGTAAAGATTAATGGAAGAAGGTGATCTTTGTTATAACTATAGAACAACTGGTTGCAAAAGTTGCACTCAAGCAATTAATTACTCATGGTATTTATCCTGCAATTAGAGTATGCTGCCACTAATTCTCCCCTGCTCTCCTTTGCCTGCTCCAAACGACAAGGCTTATCAAAGAACCACTTCCTAACAATATTTTTTCCAGTTTAATTTTATGTAACAAGCACTTACTCAATCTGTTAAACATTAAACAATAGATAAGCCATAATGGTTATAGGCTTTTAAAGATATAAATGTCTACGAAAAATCTGGTGGTTTTCTTTCTAACCATTTTTTGAAGTACCCTTTTTATTATGAAATATGTTATATATACAATAGAGAATATATAATATATATGCAATTTAAGAGCCGATAATAAAGACTGACAACCAGTGTAATCACTGAGAATACAACATTGCCAGTGCATCTGAAGCCCTCTATGCATCCCTCCCCAATTGAATCTCTCCTGTCTCCCGTGAAGATGTATCCACTCTGTCGAATACTGAATTTATCATTCCTTGCTTTTCTTTATAGTTTTTTCTTATCACACTTGTATGCATCCTTTAAAATATAGTATTTAGGTTTTCTTTTATATAGCTAGAATCATATTTATCTATTGCTTTGTGGCCTGTTTGCTTTATTCTACACTATGTTGACAAGTATAGCTGTTGTTCATTCATTTTTACAATGGAATAGTTTTCCATTGTATAGATTTTCCAAATCTATTTATTCCTTCCCCTGTTGATGGACATTTGGGGTGTTACCAGTTTTGCTGTATCACAAATTGTCCTGCTATGAACATTCTTGTTTTTATCTCTTTGCACACATGTACCATCCCGACTGTATTCCAGCCAGGAGGAAGGAGAAAAGGGAAGGGGAAGAGCGTGCCCCTTCCCTTCCATGCAGAGATCACTTCACATGTATCCAATTGGCGAAAATGTAGTTGGGTGGCCACACTTAGCTTCAAAGGAGGCTGGGAAATGTAGTTCGTACCCAGGTGAAAACTCAGAAGAGGGATTGAGAGTCAACTGCCTGTTTCTACCACAGGGTTTCATACCTGCTAGAAAAAAAAAATGTGTGGACAAAATGTAATTATTGCTTACCATGTTCTGTTTTGTCCATTAGATCAAGGTTTTAATGATTTAGTTTAAATCTTCAAGGTCTTGGTCTATACATCATTGAGAAAGAGCTGATAACATTTTTCACTATGATAGTAAATTGCATATTTCTCTTTATAGTTCTATGAATTTTTGATTTACATATTTTGAGGTTATCTGATTAGGAATACACAAGTTTAGAACTGTTATCTTTTCCTGATAAATTAAACATTTATTTATATATATTGACTCTCTGTCTCTAATAATGATTTTTGCCTTAAAGTCTATTTTTGCCTGCTATAAAATAGCTATACTACATGTTGTTACTACTTGCTTAAGTATATAATTTTTAAGTTTTAAACTTTATTGTGTTTTAATTTTGTGTGTTTTTACGTAGCTCAATTTTATGCCCCCCACCCCCTGCCCCCCCGTCTGACCGTCTTTTTAATTTAAACTTAGGGAAGTTGGTCCATTTAGGTTGATTGATTTACTGATGTATTTGAATTCATTTCTACCATCTTATTTTATGCATTTTTTTCTTTTCTTCCCTTATTGCCTTACAGTAGTCCCCCCTTATCCATGGGGAATATGTTCCAACATCTCCAGTGGATGCCTGAAACCACGGATAGTACCAAACCCCATATATACTATGTTTTTTTGATTTGATAACCAAGATGGCTACTAAGTGAATAAGGGACAGGTAGTGTATACAGCATGGATACACTGGACCAAGGGATGATTCACATCCTTGATGAGATGGAGCAGGACAGCTCAAGATTTCATCATGCTACTCAGAAGAGTACACAATTTAAAACTTATGAGTTGTTTATTTCTGGAATTTTTTATTTAATATCTATGAACAATGGTGAACCATGGTTGACCATGGACAACTGAAACTATGGAAAGAGAAATCATGAATAAGGGGGGGAACTACTGTATTTTAGATTATTTAAGGCTATCATCCATATTAAAACTTTTTCATCTTAGTTATAGTCTCTATTTCTATGTTTTTCAATGTTCACCCTAGACTTATTATTATTATTTGAAACAGAGTCTCGCTCTGTTACCCAGGCTGGAATGCAATGACGCAATCTCAGCTCACTGCACTCTCTGCCTCCCAGGCTCAAGCCATCCTCCCACCTCAGCCTCCCAGTAGCTGGGACTACAGGCACACACCACCATGCCTGGCTAACTCTCATATTTTTTGTAGAGATGGGTTCTCGCCATGTTGCCTTGGCTGGTCTTGAACTCCTGGGCTCAAGCAATCCACCTGCCTCCGCCTCCCAAAGTGCTGGGATTACAGTTGTGAGCTACTGCATCCAGTCACAAATTTTAATATTCATATTAATTCAGTGAAATCTAAAGTTAATCAATATTTTTCTCTTCCCCCAGAAAAATGTGGGAAATTTAACTCCTATCACACTCTGAGACATGTACTATTTTCCAGTATGTTTTCCATAAGTTCCCAAAGTTAGACATTATTATTGTTTTAAATAATAGAAATCTGACAGTTATTTGTTCTCAACCCTTTCAATATGTTATTCTATCCTCTTCTGTTATTATTGGTTCTGCCGAGAAGTCAGGTGTTAAGTCAGTCTAATGTTCTTTTATAAGTAATTTTCCTTTTCTCTTTAGCAGATTAAAATATTTCACAGTATAAGATCTTCTGTTTGACTTTGGTGTTCTAAAATTTAACAATAATTCTAGGGTTTTTTTTGTTTGTCCTCTTTTAATTTACCCTGCTTGGGATTCACTTCTTGGGCTTCTTGAATATGAAGACTTGTATCTTTTATCAGTTCTGGAAAATTCTCATCTGTCATCTTGATATAGGAGTTAAAAAGAAGGTATTTAGGCTGATAGTGAGGGTAAAGAAGTCCTTGATAAAGTTTTCCTTTTAATGAAACTGGAAGCCATTAATTATCCTTAGCAAACTAACACAGGAACAGAAAACCAAACACTGCATGTCCTCACTCATGAGTGGGAGTTGAACATTGAGAACAGATGGACATAGAGAGGGGAACAACACACACCAGGGCCTGTTGGGGGTGGGGAGTGAGGGGAGGGAATTTAGAGGACAGGTCAATAGGTGCGGCAAACCACCATGGCACACGTATACCTATGTAACAAACCTGCACATTCTGCATATGTATCCCCCTTTTTTTTTAAAGAAGAAATGAAGAAAAAAATTATTATAAGAAAGTAAAAAAAGTTCTCCTTTTAATGAAAAGAAGCCCCCAGATAATTTTCTTTTCTTACAAAGAGCAACCTGTAAAATCAAGCTGCAGACATAGACAAGCAAGCTGGAAGCTTGCACAGGTGAATGACGGCAGCTGTGCCAATAGGAATAGGCTACCTGGGACTGGGCATGATCAAAAGGGCAGCTCCATCTTCCCTTCTCTTTGCCAGCCGTGTGTACAGTAAGGTGCAGACAAGATGGCATTGGCCAAGTGGAAAGTCCATTTGCATAATAAGATTAAGATGGGTCAACCAGCCTTCCCCGCACTATGTAAACATCAGACCTGGTCAAAACCAATCTGTGGGCCATAAATAAATCAGACACTGCCTCCTCGAGCCTGCCTGTAAAATCTGCTGTGGTCTGCTGCAGGCTGCCTTTTCCCTTTTGGATGCCCGTCTCTCGCGAGAGGGAGAGAGCTGCTCTCCTTTCTCTTCCTTTTGCCTATTACACCTTTGCTCCTAAACTCACTCCTCGAGTGTGTCAGTGTCCTTAATCTTCTTGGTGCAAGACGACCAACCCCAGACACAATGCCCCTTTAATCTCTGAATATCGCCTCTTCCCCATTCTCTCTGTTATCTCCTGGAACTCTGGTTAAACCTTCTGTGTCCTTCATTTCTCTTAATCTCTCTTCCAGGTTTTTCATTTTTTTGTTTCACTGGGCTAATTTCTGTGTAATTTTTTTCAGATCTATTTTTCAATTCTTGAATTCTCACTTTAGCTATGTCCAATCTACTATTTAAATTACTCACCAAATTTCTAATATCAGTTATGGTCTTTGTGTTTCTAGCAGTTGTAGTTTCAAAAATTTTGCCCATTCAAATATAATAATCTTTTGTTCCTTAGTATCTTTAATTCTTCTTTTTCATTGTTAAACATCTTAAATATATTTGTTTCATATTTCATATCTTATAATTTCTGTATCTTTCACCTTTGCATGTCTACTTTTTTAGTGATTAGATTTGTTTTTCAGTTTGTTTCTTCAGACGATAGCTCACAATGGCTCGTTTCCTTATGTGTTTTGTGATTTTGTTGCTGTGATTGTGGTTGTTGTAAGTTCATTAATTCTGTGGGAATTAATTGAAGCCTGGATTTAAAATGCATCTCTTCTAAGAGGATTTGATCTGTTTCTACCAAAGGCCTTAGGAAGCTATACTCCAAGAAAATTTTAATCTAAATTTTCAATGTGAGATTTTTATGGAAGTGCTAGTGCAAATCCTTATCCCAAAATCTTCATGACAGATACTTACGGTTGTTAGGGATTCTTAGAGGAGATTTTTTGTCTTTATTTTCTTCTCTACTAATAGTCAAGGCAAAAACAATTTATATCATTTTCCAATGAAAGATGAAGATTTTTCCCCTAGTTTACCTCTGAGGGTCTGTCCTTTTGGATGTTCTGGCTTTTTTTTTTGGGTGGAGGGCAGTGGGCTTCATTCCAACCTCACATAATGCTGGAGACCCAGGCTTTTCTCCTACCGTGCCCCACCCCACCACATCTTCAGTCCTTTAAACCTAAGTTTCAGGACATTGGAGATTAACAGTTGCCCCAGACAAGTGCTTCAGTGCTCTCTTGCCTCTTAGATTTGTGTATTCTCATTGATTTAGATTTCTGAGGATTTCTCTTACTTTTTTTTTTTTTTTTTACAGACTTAACCATGCCCTTACAAGGTGTTTTCTTGTATTTTCATCCTATACTTTTAGATGTTCCATACTAGACAACTTGTCGGCCATATTTCTGAATATGGGAGTCTTTCCTAATATTTTTTAGTGTACATCCTTAGAATTTGATTAGAATGATTCTTTGTAACAAAACAAAAATCCTTAGCATCATATTCTTCCATGACTGACTTAACATGGCCTTCAAATGCTTTTAAGCTGTCTCATTCAGCTGTTGAAAGCTTTCTATCACAGGCACTCTGCCTATCTAAGCCAAGAAAGGCAAAAATGTGTCATTTTCCCTGGTAACTCTGAATTACTGGTGTGGCTAACCGAGTCTAAGGTAACGTTCATCATCCCCGCTTCCTGGGATTCACACCCTTGTGTAATCTCCTTCCTTTGAGTGTGGGCAGGATATGTGACTTGCTTCTAACCAACAGAGTACAGCAAAGGTAATGGGATGCTCCTGATTACACAACATTGTAATGTCTGTCTTGCTAGAATACTGTTTTCCTTGCTGGCTTTGAAAAAATAAGCTGCCTTTTGTAAGCTGCGTATGGGGAGGGCCACTTGAGGAGCTGAAGGGAGCTTCCAGCCCACAACCAGCTAGAAACCGAGACCCTCAGTGTGGCAGCCTGTGAGGAAATGGATTCTGCCAACAACCACCTCAGCTGGGAAGTGAGTCCTTCCCCAGTTGGGCCTCAAATGAGACCTCAGCCCTATAAGATGTCTGGATTGCAGCTTTGTGAGAGATCTTAGAGCACAGACTGCTGACCCACAGAAATTGTGTGATATGGTTTGGCTGTGTCCCCATCCAAAATCTCTACTTGTAATCCCCATAATCCCCACATGTCAAGGGTGAGACCAGGTGGAGGTAATTGAATTATGAGGGTGGTTTCCCCATGCTGTTCTCATGATAGTGAGTGAGTTCTCATGAGATCTGATGGTTTTATAGGTGTCCAGTAGTTCCTCCTGTGTTCATTCTCCTTCCTGCCACTCTGTGAAGAAGGTACCTTGCTTCCCCTTTGCCTTCCGCCATGATTATAAGCTTCCTGAGGCCTCCCAAGCCATGTGGAACTGTGTCAATTAAACCTTTATAAATTATCCAGTCTCAGGCAGTTCTTTATAGCAGTATGTAAAGGGACTAACACACTGTGAGACAGTACATGTGTGTTGTTTTAAGCCACCAAGTCTATGGTGTCAATAGATAACTAATTGGATATTAATTAGTTGATACAATTGATGATGGCCATTTTGAAAAATGTTATGGGCCAGGCGAGGTAGCTCATGCCTGTAATCCCAGCACTTTGGGAGGCTAAGGTGGGCGGATCACTAGGTCAGGAGTTTGAGACCAGTCTGGCCAACATAGTGAAACCCCATCTCTACTAAAAATACACAAAAAATTAGGCAGGCATGGTGGTGTTCACCTGTAGGCTGAGGCAGGAGAATCGTGTGAACCCAGGAGGCAGAGACTGCAGTGAGCCAAAATTGTGCCACTGCACTCTGGGGTGCAGTGGGTGACAGAACGAGACTCTGTCTCAAAAAAAAAAAAATGTTATGAAGTTGAGTTTAGGCTCAGCAGTAGAGAGTTGATGATCAACTGGTCATGCATGCTGGGGTAAAGAATCAAGCAGGCGACACCAGTGCCCATTACTTGTCAACCCAGGCCTAACCTATCAGAGGTGTTTACAGGATTGTCTTAGTTTCCCTTTGAGCTGTCCAGATCCTCAGTAATCTGGGAGTCCAATACGTGGCTCACAGGCCATGATTCATTAGCCAGAATTTCTTAAACTTCTTTAGCTAATACAAAAGAACCAGTGGGGACTTCACTTGACTGCCACCATTTATAACTGATTACCACCAGATATCATGTTAACAGATTTGGATTAATTAGGAACGGTAATTTAAGAAGAATGTAATTAATTATGTACTTCTGAACCATTTGATTTTAATTCAGCTACATTGGGGCATCATAAAGAATGATAGACAAAAAATAAGGTAATTTGAAATAAAGACTCACCATGGGCTTAATTAATATTTGAACTACATTCAATACTCATACCAAGTGAAGAACCTCTTGACTCACCATTATCAGTAAAAAAAAAAGTCATGAAAATGGATTTCTAAGCATGATGCACATTAATTTTAAAAAGGTTGGTGCACCTGACCTAAAGATATGGGCACTCTCTCTAACATTTTTACAACTTTCCTTTCTTGCAACATGTGCAAAATGAAAGAGAAATTATACAAGTATCCCTTTGTTAAGAAGATAAATTTTTCAAGATCATGTCCTCTTGACTCAGAAGGCAGTGGTTCCCCAGTTACTTTAGTCAGTTAGAGTGAATTCTTGCTCATTAATAGTGATCAAGCTGAGAGATTTTTGCATGCTGACTTCTTCTGGTGACTTCTTATCAATGATTATAGCTAATAAAGATGGGGGAAAAAAGTGTTTTTCCTATTCACACACATTAGTCACCTGACACAACACCTCTGCCACCAGATGTGTGGGGTTTTTCTTCTTCCTCTTCTTCTTCTTTTCCTATGCACTAAGCAATTCTCCAGCAGATACCAGCTGACTATCTTATAAATCAATTCAATTTTGAAACTATCTACCTGGAGATCAAGTCAGATCCCACAGGTTAAGGGCTGAATCCCACATGACTGCTCCCATTTCAGATGCCAATATAAAGTCCCAGGTTGTGATTTATCCTTCTGACATACTACCCAGGGTTCCCTTCATCCCTTTCTCAGGTTGGATTAACTTGCCAGAGTGGCTCAAAGAACTCAGGGAAACACTTTACTTACATTTACGCATTTATTGTAAAGGATATTACAAAGGAGACAGATGAACAGCCAGATGGAAGAGACGCCTAGGTGAGGCATGTGGGAAGGGGCATGGCACTTCTGTGCTCTCAAGATGAGCCATCCTCTAGCCATCTCCATTTGTTCTGCTATCTGGAGGCTTTCTGGACCCAGTCCTTTAATTTTCTTTCTTTCTTTTTTTTTTTTTTTTTTGAGATGGAGTCTCACTCTCTCACCCAGCCTGGAGTGCAGTGGTGCGATCTCAGCTCATTGCAAGCTCTCCCTCTCAGGTTCACGCCATTCTCCTGCCTCAGCCTCCTGAGTAGCTGGGATTACAGGCACGTGCCACCATGCCTGGCTAATTTTTTTTTTTTTATTTTTAGTAGGGATAGGGTTTCACCGTGTTAGCCAGGATGGTCTCGATCTCCTGACCTCGTGATCTGCCCGCCTCGGCCTCCCAAAGTGCTGGGATTGCAGGCGTGAGCCACTGCGCCCAGCCAAGTTCTTTAATTTTCTTATGGAACTTTTTTATGTAGGTATGACTGATTACATCATTGGCCATTGGTAATCAACTCAACCATCAACCCTTCTTCCCTCCCCAGAGGTTGGAGGGTGCGGCCAAAAGTTCCAGCCTTCTAATCCTGCCTTGGTCTTTCCAGTGACCAGTCCCCAGTTAGCTAGGGGCCCCCAGCCAGCAGTGATTTCATTATCATGCAAAATACATTCTTATCACTCCAGAGATTCCAAGGGTTTTAGGAGCCATGTGCCAGGAAACCGGAGGAACACTAAATGTGTATTTCACAATATCATAATACCTTACCTGCAACTTGTATAAAACGCCTCTGCTACTTCCAGAAACTTTTTCAAAGTGAATGTTTCTCATTTTAGAACATTTTAAGATAAACAGAATTTCCTCTGCTTAGCATATAACAACTGTCTAAACACTATTATCAAGTGAATACATAAAAGAATTTAGTTTTATACTAGCAATGTAGTACTTGCAGTGTTTTGCGTACTGTGAGAAGATTAAAAACACACGTACACACACACACACATTTTTTTTTTCCTTTCCTGTTCACATTATTCCTGCAAGCGATTTACGTTCCTTCTTTTTACAAATGAGTAAACAAGGTCAAGTAACTTGTTGTAAGTCGCACAGCTAGAACATGGTGGAGCAGAGATAGGAATACTTGTTGATTTGACTGCAAAGCCTGAGATATTTCCATTCTGTCACATTGTCTCCAGAAATTAACCCAAAAACCTACTGTCATAAGTCAAATGCTTTCACTTATCTGTGTCCTTGCTGACCCATTAGCACAGCTAGTGGGCAATCTCCTAGCACTGCCCAGCTTTGATGTTGAATCACATCAGGACGGAAACATATCCTCTCTTCCATCTTGCACCTGCTCCTTTAGTAATGTTCCCACATTGGCTGACCTGGGAGGTCTGATTTGGAATGTCAATTTCAGGGAGCCCAGTGCTCAACAGCAGGCCTGCTCTGTGCTCTCTGCTCCCTACTTTTGCATAACGGCACCAAATTGCCTAAAATATCCACAATGGAGATTTGTCCTAAGAAGTGAGGACTGGTCAGCTGTATGACTATCTGGCTAGGTTGGTGTTTAAACTGTGATAATCATGGAAAGACACTTTGTCCCAAGTCTACAGCACTAAGAGGATGAAGCATATTCACTTGCTTATTGATTGGTTTTTATTATTTAATGACTGCCTATTGAGTACTTAATGCAAAGAACTTTGTTAGATGCTCAGGAGCATAGAGATGTGCAAAAGCTGAGTGAGTGAGAATGGTGGCCTGGGGGAGAGGAGAAACTGTTATGGAAGTCAGTTGTCTTAAGTGAAGAACCAGTGGAGCTGTGTGAAGATTAGGCAAGAAAGCTCTCAGAGGCCTTTTGTGACTGAGCCATACTTATGCAGGCAGGCCCTGCCACTCGGGAAAAGGGTAAGAGAAGACGCTGAACAGCCAAGAGACAAGACAGTGAAGGGAAAGGAGCTGTATCCTGGTTTGCCACCATCTTGACATGCAACATTGGATACGTCCCCTCACCCATCTGATTTTCAGTTTTTCATTCCCAGTGATAATCTCCAGCCCTCTTCCCTTCTGTCTGGCAGAGAGCACATATCTGGGGCCCACTTCTAGACCTGCTGGCGACTGGCCCAGCCTTTGTGCCTACTTCCCCAGGCAGGCCTGTGCTGAACACATGGGCATGGCTGAATATTTACTGTCATGCAAAGCAGCTGATGGTGAGTAATATACCACGGCTCGCTCATTCCCTTCCAAGTCATGTTCAGTGAAAAAGCATGTGTGCAGAAAAGTTCAGAGTAGTTTCATGGCATACCCAGGAGTGCTTGGGAATGGCTGAAAGAGCTAGGGACTGCTTACCATGTCTGGCTGCCAGCTGCCAGCTGCGAGCTGCCAAGCCTAGGGTTTCACATCTGAGCTGGGTTTCCTAAGCTCGGCCGTAAGCCCGTGGGCAGAAGACTGTCTTCGTGCCTAAGAGGAGCTGTATACAAACAATGAATCAGTGTCACGACGGTTGGCTGGAGAAAATGTGGCCTGTGTCCAAGATGAGTGCCAACAAGCTGGCACAAGTGGGCCTGACCCATCAGCAAGAAAAGCTTTGAAAATCTGAGGATTCAGGGATTAGGGAAGAGAATCTTGAATTCTGTCCCAGTTGCAACTTCCATTCATTTGACAAATAATTTTTGAGCCCCTGCTACATGTCAGACCTCTTACAGGCACATGGGGTACATCAGTAAAGAAAACAGACCAAGATTCTTGCCCTTTTGAAGTTTACAGTCTATAGGAAGGATAAATGATAAGAAATAAACATAATGAATCAAGGCATTTTACCGTATATCAGAAGACAAGTGCTTTGGAAACCAAGAAAGAACTAGGTAAGAGGGCACCAGAGTGGGGAGAAGGCAGTAGGTTGCAGTACTAGCCTTTAATTACTTTTATTTACTTTATTTAATTTTCTCCTGCAACCAGTGGATACCCTCAAATAGAACCATTTTAGAAGTTTGAGCATTTAGGTAAGAGAAGGAATTTGGGATGGGATTGGGTATAATGGACAGTTATGCAGGGAAATGAGAAATATCAATGGACCAGACCACAGAAGAGGGTTATCTCCAGAAATCTTGCAAAAACCCTTTTCTCAGGCTTGGTCCACCACTGCCTCCAAAGTGTGGCCCTTATCCACTGTACCATACTCACCTCCCAGAACCTGGGACAGATGAAGTGTGTCTGTCTGTCTGTGTCGGGGGAGGAGGGCAGGTAAGCACAATTACCATGTCAATCAGGGCTGTTTTGGAGACATACTTTCAAATTTCACTTTCCTAGATTTTCTGAGTTAGAGTAACCATCTGCAAAGAGTTGTCTATCTTGTGGACTGCAAGGACCCAAACATGGGGCCATCTATTTGATTCTCTTCACATAAGAGAGATGAAGGTTTTTTCAATGGACAATTGCTGAGGCTGGAATTAAGTACTGAATGTTTGTTTGCCACCAACATTCTTACATTGAAGTCTTAACCCCCAATGTGATAGTGTTTGGAGGTGAGGCCTTTGAGAGGTGATTAGGTTTAAATGAGGTTGTGATGGTGAGGCCCCACGATGGGATTGGTGTTCTTGTAAGAAGAGGAAGAGAGTGGAGCTCACTCTCTCCTCCACGTGAGGACACAGCAAGAAGGTGGTCCCTGCAAGCCAGAAGAAGGCCTTCACCAGAAGCCAAAACTGTTGGTCTTGATCTTGAACTTCCCAGCCTCCAGAATCACAAGAAACAAATGTCTGTTGTTTAAGCCACTCAGTCTGTGGTATTTTGTTATAGTAGCCCAAGCTGACTACAACAGCTAGTATTGCAAACATTTGTTTGAAGAGGTAGACATAAACTCCAAATTCCAAAAGGGGCCCTAAATTCTAAGAGAAAATATACACTCCAAATTTTAGACGTGTTCTCTCGGGACTTCCCACAGAATCTTACTGAAGGTTAGAAGACAAAGATTTTAAATAAATGGTTATGGGTTTTACGAGAGTAGGATGGTGAGGGGAGGTGTTGGGCAGGTTTTTACTGAACAGGAGGCCAGTGTTCTGAGGGCCCCAGCCCAGCCTGTCCCCACATGCTGAGTGCCCTGAGGTGATTCTGCCTCCTGCATTGCTGAATGCAGGTGGATGCAGGTGGCATGCTACCACTGCCTTGTGGATTGTGAGCAAGATCAGGCTCTCCCGGAAGAAAAGTGATGGAGATAATTAGGGATGGAGAAATAGGAGGGTACAAGTCCCACAATAGCGGGTACAGTTAAGAATCAGATAAATAAAAGTTGTCACTGATGGTATCTGAGGAAAACATTGGTGATCAGAAGTGTGAAGTGTGAAAAGAGGGAGGTCAAGAACAGATATTTTTCAAACAGAAAGAGTAAAGCAGCACTCTAAGGTAGGAAAGTCTCCTTGTATTGACCAGCGACAGGCGCAAGAGGATGTTCTGGCCTGGAGCAGTGGGGCTCATGTGTGGACACCTGACCAGCACTAGTAAAAGAGTCTGCTTTGAGAGGGTGAAAAAGCAGATCAGGAAACCCAGGGGCCTTTTCTGCCATGGCTGTGCTCCCTTTGAAAGGGAAGTTTGGCAGGAAACAGTTGGAGGGCAAGAGTCTCAGAAATCCATGTCCCAGGTGCTCAGGAGAAGCTGAGATGGTTTCTAGGCTTCTAACCTGAACCAGACCCAGTGTCACCCTTGGAGGGTGTCCACATCCTCCTGAAAAGAAGCCAGACCCCCTCCTTAACCTAACTACAGCCATGAGACAAGGGATTTAAATGCTAGGAAGGGTAGCATAGTCAACCAGGCCTTGGAGCTTGTCTGATCAAGAGGTTTCTTCTGAACACCTACTCTGCTCTGATGTTTGCTTCACATGTGCTTATGCTGAGCTTGCTAATAGGGGACTTTGTTTTTGATTAATAAAACGAAGACGAATTCCTGGTCATGAGTGGCCAGGGCCTCAAATAGCTTGTCCTGTTCTCTATCTCAGGGACTCTTAAATGGCAAGTCACCGTTCTGAGAGGGATAAAGCGGTGAACAAAGTTTTGGCCGCAGACTGTGGCAGCAGGAGTGGAACCTGCTGAAAAGAACCCTAGATAGAGTGGTAGGCAATTCATATTATAGGTGGTGGTATGTTTTTGCTTGTGGCACAGAGCAGAGAATATGGACGGTGGAGTCAGTCCAACCTGGCCGCAAATCTTGAACACTGTCATTTCCTTGTGTTTTCCATACCTGTATTATTGTTTTCTTGTTGAAAAACTTCAAATAACACTGAACAGTATAAAGTTAAAATGAAGATTCCTTGAGTTATTCCTGCACTCTTGTTCCCAAGGGGGAAAACAGTGTTAAAATTATTGGGTGTTTATCTATCTTTTTCTATGGCATTGCCTAACCATGACTCCAGCCATCAATATGGATTATATAAATGCATATAGTCTTGAGCTTTTTATACACAAGTGGAATTATACAATACATACTGCCTGAAACTCTCTTTTGCTTACTATAGTGATAATTAATTCCACATCCATATATATGGATATGTCCCATTTTAAAAGCTGTGTTGGATTCCATCCTGAGTATTGCTCATAATGTATTTGACAAGCTCTCTACTAATGGTCGTTTTAATACTTCCACTTTTTCTTTTTGCTATTAAAAACCATGCTGCAAAAAATCTCATGTATCTATATATGTGTATACTTGTTGAGTATTTCTGCAAGATATGTTCCGAGAAATGGAATTGCAGTGCTGACGAGTATGCACGCTTAAAATGATGACTATATTGCCAGATTTCTCAAGGAAAGTTGGACCAATTTGTATTCCCACCAATAAAGAATGAGTGGCTTTTCCCTGCACCTTCCGCTGTGTTTTTATTGCCATTATTTACAGTATGTGGCGGATACTCAGCCCCGCACTTAGTGTGCTTGTTGGACATGAGCACTGAGTGTGTTCTCTTTACTGTTGTTACAGAAACTTCCTGTAACACCAGCTCACTGTAGCACAGCTTTGGATCCACAGCCCAGAACTTTCTGCCTCAGTGGTAACCATTATGTGCAGTCAAAGCCCAAGGCCACCCTTGTTCACATGACAGCTGTCATTGCACAATTCTACACCATAAATTTATGCCAGGGAAAATGTGGGCAATATATTTTTCCTCCTTATCTACTTTAAAGCCTGCTAGCTATCGGGGAATTTTTTTTTTTTATTTTTGGTTTGGCTCCAGGTGTGGCCAACATTGCCAGGATCTTCTATAAGATTTAGCATTCCTATTTGCTTTTTTTCTTGGCCAGGATTGAAGGCAAATAACCAGAGGCAAGAGTTTCTAACAGATCTTTCTCTCATCAGTCAGGGATGGGGTAAGGATTGAAGAAAAGGCTCAATGTCTCCACTCCCCCACTTCTGCACCCCCCAACTCCATCCACAGTGATTAAGAGGAGTGGAAAGGGACCCCTCCCATCTCCAGTAGACAAAGTGGAGCCCAATCTCCCCACATCTTTGTAACTAGAGCAGCATTTCTTGCCTTGATCTGTTACGTATTGGGTTTATATTTAAGATTTAATTTGTCTGCAAATGTTCCAATGCTTTACACTTTTTTTTTTTTTTTTTCAAATGATTGGTGGAAAACAGAAAAGAAGCCTGTCTCCAGCTTTGCTCCCTGATTGATTCAGCTCTAGGGCTATTACCATAGTAATAGCCATCAACCTGCCCTCCAGCCTTCCAGCCCTGCTCTCAGATACTCTCCTAGGGGGCCCAGTTGGCCTGGTTTGGGGTGTCTAGGGGCCCTCCTTCCCTGCTCAGCACTCCACTCCTTTGTCCAGTCTTACCCTTTGCTCCCAGCATGTCATTGGATGGCATAGTTAAATCCCCTATTGGCAGTTGATGGTAGCACTAATTCTTCCGCCTTCTGGTCCTAATGTTTGTCTCCCTCAGTTTTGTGGGTCTGCTGCCTCTACCCCTACCTCACCCCTCTAACCTGATTGATGCTTGAAGACTCCCATCCCACTTTGTTCATATATGACAAGGTTGTCATTTTTACTAAGAGAGGGAGGGAACCACAGACGTAGAGAAATGAATGAATTTCCAAAGTACACATTTCAGATCCTGACTTTAATCCAGCCAAAGATTTGGCTGGCATTGATTAAATTATATTTATAGCCAGTCTCTAGATTCTTTTCCCCACCTAAATCTTGACTTGAATATAAGAAGCACAGATTCAGGGAGAGCCTAATAGTATACACATGTCAAGAAATCTGGGGTGCTATGGTGTGTCACCATTAGTTGCATTAGGAATCCCGAGTCCTTAAATTCAATATGAAGTGGTTTTTGTTTGTTTGCTTTTAACATTGGAGACTGCTTTGTGGAAAAGACTATTTAATTTGTTAAATGTGCAAAGCCAAAAACTGTTATTTTTTTCCCTTAGGCCGTTGAGTTCAGCTTATGGTGATGGAAAGAGAGATGTCAATAATTCCACATTTTCTGGCTTGCATTGTTTGATGAAAGGTGACCCCATTCCCTGAGTTAAAGAATGCTGAAAGAAGACCAGGCTTGAGGAGGAAGGATCATGCATTTGCTTTTGGACCTGTAGAGTTTGAGGTAATTGTAAGATATCCCAGTGGGCATGTCAGGTAAGCAATTGGATTCACATTCTGGAGCTCAGAGAAGGGATCTGGATTGGTGGTATAGTAAGTATAATGAAATAGGTACAGTTAGGTGCTATGGAAAGAAATCTTAGATGTCACACATGCTCAGTGTACAAAAATGAGATTTTCATCTTTTGTAGTAACATTACCCTATAATGATATAGTGCTTTCCAGTTTGTGTAGCCCTTTCAGATCTATTATGTAATTTGAGCACCATGACACCTCACTGAGAATTACTATTTACATTTTACAGTGGAGAAACTGAGGCTCAGGCCCTCAAGTTTTAGAGAACTTGGTGGAGTACACTTGACTCTCCACCTCACCAACTCATTCTCTCCTCTAGTTTCTCTGCCATACCCAAATGGGTATAAAAATAGAAACCCTATATTAATAAATATGTTACAATACTGTTTAACAAAATCCTATCCAAAGAATACCAGGGTTACAAAAGAGTGTGTTTGCCTTTATATGTGGAAGTGATAAGTTCTCTGAATATTGGGATGGCTACTCTGTTCTATGAAGACCTTCCCCCCAGGGATAGCATTATACCACATAGAGACAGTGCAGGGCAGGCACTGCTCAGGTTCATTTCTCCCCAGTTTTTCCAATAGTTTGCATTGATTTTTCTACTGTCTGAGTTTTAAAACCTCTGAAATTTTTGGTCTCATCCTGTGTTGTATTTTCTAGTCCAAACCAAATCCAGGAAATGTCATATGATCATATAAAATCTTTTCATGAGTATAAAGATGTGGGATGGGGGTGTGTGTCTTTATTTTGTCAGAAAGTCTTTGCCAATCCTTAAGAAACTGGTAAGTCTCAAGTGATACAGACTCCAAAAAGGTTTTTTTTTTTTTAAGAGAAGTTTCTATTTATAATGTCTCATGAAGAAGAAAAAAAAGATTTAGAAACCAATAGGAAGCAAGCCTCTTCTTGTCTAGAAGTAAGGAATCATGACCATAGCTGATGTGCCACATCCTCTCATGGATGATTTCCCCTATAACGTCCTTATTTTAAAACTCAGGATGTTGCTGCTCAGAGGGGTAAACTGACTTTCCTGTGGCCACAGAAGTACTTAATTAGAACAGGGTTTCATGGCTCATGACTTGGCCCATCTTGCCACAAGACCCCCTCGATGGAAGCAGAATTTCATGTGGCAACCTAGAGGATTGTTTTGCCATTGTACCCTTGCCTTCAGAAGGCCACATTTACATTGTCCTTATGTACTAGAATTTATATGGTTTTGTTACTGGTTCTATTAAGACAGCTAGAGGAGATTACGTGACATTCCCCCAGCAACTCGTGTTTACATTTAACTGTCCTTGTATCCAGGAAAGGCCTTAGAGCCAGTGAATTGGCAAAATTCCTTTCCTCTTTTCCAGGTAAGAAAAGCAGTCTTTTGGAATTTAACCTAAGAACTGGTAGAGTATCTGTTAATGTAAAATACCTGCATTAATTAGGGTTCTCTAGGGAAGCAGAACTGAAAGATAGATAGATAGATGCATACATACATACATACATACATACATACATACATACATACATAGAGGGGGTTTATTAGGGGAATTGGTTCTTGTGATTATAGAGGCTAAAAAGTCCCACAGTAGACCATCTATAAGCTGTAAGGAAAGGAGGAAAAGTCAGGAGTGTGGCTCAGTCCATGTCTGAAGGCCTTAGAACCAGGGAAGTCAATGGTGTCACTCTCAGTCCAAGGCTGAGGGCCTGAGAACCTGGGGGGTGGGTGCTGGTGCAAGTCCCAGAGTCCAGAGGCCAGATAACCTGGGATTCTAACATCCAAGAGCAGGAGAAGAAAGATGTCTCAGCTCCAAGAGAGGAGAGAATTATTCTCTCTGCCTTTTTGTTCTATCCAGGCCCCCAGCAGATTGGGTGGAGCCCATCCACATTGTGGGTGGCTCTTTCTTGCTTAGTCCATCAATTCTAATGCCAATCTCCTTCAGAAATGCCCTCACAAACACATCTAGAAATAGTGCTTTACCAGCTGTCTGGATATCCTTTAATCCGGTGAAATTATACCTAAAATTAACCATCACAGTATCTAAGTTGTATTTCCCCATGGAATTGTTATCTTCATAACCATTCATAATCTAGTCAGTTTTTTCAAAGTTGACTAGAAAACAAGCTGAACATTTTTCCAATACATCTATATCTACATCGACATCTGGGTCTGTATCCATATTTATCTCTACATCTGTCTACAGTTATATGCAATGTTCTCTAGAAGGGAATATACCAACATGCTAACAGCTACTGTTGCTTGCAGGTAGAATTATGGGTAATTTTTATTGTTTTATATATTTTATAAATTTTCCACAACACAATTGAATTAGCTATATAATAAAAAAGATTTTTCAAAAAAATTTTTTTTCAGGCTATCTGTCTGGGATATCACATAAATTTCAGGTCCACCTAAGTGATTGTGGGAGTGAAGGCAGTCACGTGCTCAATAATCTTGTTTAACCGAGAAGTGATATAAAAACAAGTGCAGAATAATGCAGCACTGACCTGCTGATCTATGTTCTGTAGCAATAAGAGGAAGTTGCTGGAGAGGCTTCTGGAAGGGGAGCAATTTTCAGCTGTGAGTTGACATGTATGCTTGACATCATGGTAAAAGAAGAAGAAAGAGGCTGTGAGGATGACCAAGTTCAGGGTCAGCTGTGAGAGCAACCACAGTGTGGACACAGCACAGCAAGCTGATTGGATTTGTAGCATAGCAGCTGAGTTGAAACTATGGCACTGAACATCTGCATATACATTTACTCCTTGGAGGGGCATCCACGTAAATATTTGGTCATAAATATAAGAATTACGTATTAGTATCTATGATTCCTTTAGTTGCAGATGGTTGACTAAAGCAGTCATTATGTTGGAGTCCTAATGGGGTAGGTATTGCTTGCCTGAAAAAGGTATATTTACTCTTTTTTCTCTTTATGAAAAACTCACTGGCAAAAATGGACTTTAGGTCTGAAGTTAGGCATCACTGCCCCCCCGGGAGGTGCTGCAAGACTCATTTGTATCAGATCCACCAAGTGGTGGCCAGTATGTCAGAGTGAGGAAACTAGGGATATGGCCAAAGTTCTCATATTCATATCATAACATAGGATACCACTGATATCACCAATGTTCGTATGGGGTTTGATCAAGAAGAAACTGGAATCTTCCACCTTTACCAGGCACCAAAATTCTATTGATCTTCCCCACACGACAAAGTTCCTCCTTCTTTTGGGAATGTATGGAGAAGTCTATTAGTGAGCACTGGTTCCAGACTTCCCACTGGAATCTACAGATTCTCGTGGAACTTACTAACACCACTTACTATAGGAATACTTTTTTTTTTTTTTTGAGACAGAGTCTTGCTTTGTTGCCCAGGCTGGAGTGCAGTGGTGCGATCTTGGCTCACTGCAACCTCCACCTCCCAGGTTCAAGTGATTCTCCTGCCTCAGCCCCCACAAGTAGCTGGGATTACAGGTGTGTACCACCACACCTGGCTAATTTTTGTATTTTTAGTAGATATGGAGTTTTACCATGTTGGCCAGGCTGGTCTCGAACTCCTGACCTCAGGTGATCTGCCCAGCTCGGCCTCCCAAAGTGCTGGGATCACAGGTGTGAGCTTGAACCTGGGAGGCAGAGGTTGCAGTGAGCTGAGATTGTGCCACTGCACTTGAACCACCGTGCCCAGCCCAGTACAGGAATTCTAAACAAAACAAAACAAACAACAAAGAGCAATTACAACAAAATCTAGGTACTATACCAACAATGTTACATGGTAGTTATAATGTAGGTGCAAATATTTATGGGAGTCAACATAAACCAATTTAATCAGAGTCTGCTTGTGTGGAGAAAAAAAAAATATTACTGGAAATCCACATGAGAATACTTATCAAATAGACCTGATGATGATGAACTACAAGAGGCTGGTTATATGTCAATATTTTCATAGCAAAAATATATTTAAAATATACACATATATGTATTTAGATATTAATATGTTATACATATTTAACAGATAGACATAGCATTTCAGTGGGTTAAACCAGAACAAACAGAAAAAAAAGAGTTACAAAAACTGTGTATGTTATTAGAAATGTGTGTAAGCCATTAATATAGAAAAAAATGCTATTATACTTGCAATGTTTTATACTTCCACAGCCATCATTAACAAAAAGTTGTGAGTAAGTAGTGATTCCCTAAACTAAAATATTCCTTTCCTCACTTTGGACAAATACCATGTGTATTTTTATGAACTTTCTATTGCATGTAACAAGCACATATTCTGAAAGAGTTCTGTTTCCAGTATAGTGAAGTAAGTTTTTTATCTAATAGCCTGACTCTCTGACAGGTAACAACTATAAAGTCCAGACCAAAAATCCCCCTCAAAAAACAACTATTCTTTGAGGGCTCTGGAGAGTGTAGAAGAGCAGAAAAAAAAGGGAGTCAAATTCAGACTGCTGAGTTTTACCCTCAGGGCAATCATAATGTTGGCATGAAGTTAAAACTTCAATAGAAAGTCTGTGCCTCTCTGGTGAGAGGATTTAAGGGAAGGTGAGCCTGTGTGGCTCAGCAGTCAGCTAATGTCTTGGGCATAGTTTATACTCAGAATCTGGCATTCCCTTCTCTGGTTTTCTCCTTTCTGGGTGGTATGGTTAGGCTTTGTGTCCCCACCTAAATCTCGTCTTGAATTGTAATCTCCATAATCCTCACGTGTCAAGGAAGAGATCAGGTGGAGTTAATTAGATCATGAGGGAAGTTTCCCCCATGCTGTTCTCATGATAGTGAGAGAGTTCTCATGAGATCTGATGGTTTTATAAGGGACTCTTTCCCCTTCACTTGGCACTCTTCCTTCCTGCTACCTTGTGAAGAAAGTGCGTTACTTCCCCTTCACCTTCCACCATGATTGTAAGTTTCCTCAGGCCTCCCCAGCCATGCTGAACTGTGAGTCAACTAAGCCTTTATGAATTACCCAGTCTTGGGCAGTTTTTTATAGCAGTATGAAAAGGGACTAGTACACTGGGGTTTCCCATTATTCTCCGGTGATTCCAGTTGCCCTAGATTCTTTCCCCTAAATCTTCCCACACCCTGGGCAGGCAGTGTGCATTTTGAGTCTAACCAAGTTAATTGCTTTCTAAAGAAAAAAAAACACCCTTTGAAAAAGTATAAAAGAATTGAGAGTCTCCACAACATAGTATTGATATGTTAAAGACATAGTCCAAAAGTACTTAAGAACCAGGAAGATGTGATCCATTCCTGAGGGATAGGACAATCAACAGATGTTAACTTCAAAATAATGTAGACATTAGAATTGTTAGAAAAGAGCAATGTAGACATTGGGATTGTTAGAAAAGCAGCTGGTATAACCATGCTTAATCAGGTAAAAGAAAATATGCTTTATCTCACAATTTTGTTTTTTTGGTAAAAGTGCCTAAAATCTATTCTCTTAGTAATTTTTCACTAAATAGTACAATATTATTAACCATAGTTCTCATGCTGTACATTAGATTTCTAGACTTATTTATCCCACATAACTGAAACTTTGTACCCTTTGACCTCTGTCTTCCCATTCCCTCTCTTACAACCTTCCCCACCACCCTGCCCCTGGTAACCACCCTTCTATTATCTGTTTCTATGAATTCAAGGGATTTTTGTTGTTGTTGTTGTTTAGTTTAGATTCCACACATAAGTGAGATTATCCAGCATTTTTCTTTCTGTTCTGGTTTAGTTCACTTAGCAGAAATGGAAAAAAATCCTAAAATTCATATAGAATTACAAAAAACTCCAAGTAGCTGAAACAATCCTGAGAAAGAAAAACAAAGTTGGAAGTATCACACTTCCTAATTTCAAATTATATTACAAACAATAGTAATCAAAACAGTATGCTACTGGCATTAAAAAAAAAAGTACAGACCAATGAAACAGAGTAGAGAGCCCGGAAACAAAGCCACTCATATATGGCCAACAGATCTTCAATAAGGTCACCAAAAAGATACAATGGGAAAAGAATATTTTTTTTCTACAAAACATCCTGGAAAAATTGGATATTCACATGATAAAGGGTCAAAGGGTACAAAGGTCAAAGGGTATGAAGTTTCATATGATAAAGAATGAAATTGAATCCTTATCTTACGCCACATACAAAAATCAACTCAAAATGAGTTAAAGACTTAAACATAAGATCTGAAACCGTAAAACTCCTAAAACAAAACACAGGGAAAATCTCCTTTATTGATGTTGGCAAGAATTCTTTTGGATATTGCACCAAAAGTACCGGCAGCAAAAGCAAAAATAAACAAGTGGGAGTATATCAAACTAAGATATACTTTTAATGGATGAAAAAATAAGCAATCACAGCAGAGAAATAGAAAATTTTGATATACTTTCTTAAAAGCGAAAGAAAGGGGTAAAGTTACAACAAATGTGCAAAATGTGCATAACCCGGGATGTGTCATGGTGGTGTGTCAGGCACGTGACTGCCATCTGTCACAGATGCCTGAGTGAGAAGGTGGTGGGAACAGCTATGTTACACAGTAGGGAACTGCTGACCCTTCTTTTCATTGATTGGCTGTTCTGTTTCATTTTTAGGAGAAGATTGTTACATTCAGGGCTGTGACTTAAAAATAACTATTAAGGCTCGGCGAGGTGGCTCACGCTTGTAATCCCAGCACTTTGTGGCCAGGGCGGGTGGATCACAAGGTCAGGAGATCAAGACCATTCTGGCCAACATGGTGAAACACCGTCTCTACCAAAAATACACAAATTAGCTGGGCGTGGTGGTGTGCGCCTGTAATCCCAGCTACTCGGGAGACTGAGGCAAGAGAATTGCTTGAACCCAGGAGGTGGAGGTTGCAGTGAGCCGAGATCGTGCCACTGCACTGCAGCCAGGTGACAGTGAGACTCCGTCTAAAAAAAAAACTATTAAAAGATGTATAGGCAATTGAAAATTGTATTATTACATAAAGCACCATAAAATTGACAAGAAATAAGGCAAAATATCAAAGGGCAAATGGGTAAAAGACATGGACACACAATTCCTAAAAGAAGAATTATAATAGGTAAATAAATGTATGCAAATGGCCAGCCTCACTACTCAAAGAAATACAAACTGAAGTGTTAATATCACTTCTTGCTAATTAAATTGGAAAAACTTTGATGATAATATTCAGTTCTAATTGAAGGGATAGGAAAATTGTGTATTCATATGATATATACAAATCTCTTTATAAAACAGTTTAAATGTCTTGGACAATAGTTAGCAGTATGCATCAAGAGCTACAAAAGCATTCATATTATTAAATCTAGTAACACCAATTTTGGACATTTAGGAAGTAACCTCAAACATTAAAAAGCTACATAAATGAGGTTGTTCATCACCAAGTAACTTAACAGCAAGAAATAATTTTAAAAAGGTAAAATTAAAGAAAAACTGGGCCCAAGCCCCAGCTTCATCACTCAGACAAGTCCAGTAGTGGGTCATATTGGCAGTTTCTAATGGACCATGCTTCCCCTCTGCTTGCACCTGGCATAGGCCAGTGGTTGGCTTTAAGCAAAAGAATGCAGTGGGAGTGACATTGTGTTCATTCTGGACTTAAGTTCTAAGAAGGCTTTTGCTCTTTGAGTAACTCTGAGCCACCATGCGAGAAATCCAATTACCCTGCCGGAGAGCCCATAGAAAGGAAGAGGCCCTGAGACCCCATGGAGAGAGAGACCCAGCCATCCCAGCTGAGCCCGGCCTTTTAGCTGTCCCCAGCCAGGTGCCAGACATGGGAGTGAGCCATCTAAGACATTCCAGCCCCAGCCACCATCTGATGCAGCATCATGAGAAATCCCAAGTGAGGTCAGCAAAAGAACTGTCCAGCTGATCCCCAGTCCACCCACACAATCATTTGAAATAATAAATTGGTTGTTGTTGCAAACCACTAACTTTGGTATGTTTTTAAATGTAGCACTTGATAACTGAAGCCCCAGATTAATTAAGGAAACTACTCTACCCTCATATTCCTCACCTGCAAAACTGAGTAATAATTATAGTGTCCTGAAAATAGATTTGTCATGATGGTCAAATAAGATAATGTGGTCAAAGTTTCGGAGCCTTTTCCGCCAAAGTCTGGTGTCAGAAGACGGTGAATAGCATTCGTGGGTAGCCTGGAGGGTGTGGCTTAAAGTGTCCTGCTAAACATATGCTATTTCTTAGAAGGCTTGTGTTAAACGTCATAGCTAGTTTTGAATTCTCTGTAAAGGGTCCCTGTCATTATTTTTAAACGCATCTTCTCCACTTTATACACATTCTGGTTATCTTGTGTCTTCACATCCTCCTGCAGCATCATAGGGAAGCCTCATGGATATTAATACTCCATTTGAAAGATGTAAGTACCTGTAATCTATAAATGTGGAACAAAGGATAATCACTGGTAAGAGGAGACAAACAAGGAATAGTCAAGAAAGGCAGAGGAGTCCAAGAAATTACCAGGTCTTGGAAACTGAGGGAGATTTAACAGTCAAGTGTTGCAAAAAGACCATTGGGTTGGGTGCCTGGTAAGCCACTTAATGTTCAAAGGAATGATTTCTTTGGTGAGGAGGCAAGAGCCATGGGCAGAATAAATGTGGACAGAGAAGGTTTTTTGAGGATGTAAGGAGAGCAACTGATAAGAGGAAATAACTTCAGGAAGAAGCGGGGACATAGAGAAGGTTTTTTTCTGTTTTGTTTCATAAGAGAATAATGCTGCACGTGTTTTTAATAATGGAGAGAAAAGCAATAAAGAGCAGAGAACTTGGATACAGAGAGGGGCTGATAAGAAACAAAATCCAAGAAGAACTGAGAAGCTTAGGATGGTTAATGTAAGTAAAGGAGTTAGGACCAGAGAGGGAAATGAAAGAACCATCTCTGTAATTGGAAGGAGGGAGGAAAGGGTGAGGGAAGATACAGAGACATTTAGAAATGGAGGGAAGAGGAGGGAAAATTCATGTTCTGCAGCATCAGTTGATTAGGGATCTAGGTCACCTGCAGAGAAGGGGCAGCTGGAGGCTTGAAGAGAGTGGGAAGATTTCCTATACTGGAGGAGCGATAGGGGAATCAGATGGAGGTGGGTAAAAATCCAAGTATCAGTGAGAGGCTCATTTAGGGTGGAGAATGTACATTTATTATGGCATCAGTTCCTGAATTCCTAGGATATTACAATAGGCAGGCAGACAGAGAGACAGACAGACAGAAACAATGGTGGAAATGAGTGAATTGGTGTTTCCCAGCAGTAGGGATTGAAAAGACAGGTTAAGTCTGGAGAAATGTCAGAGTGTCACAGAGGGGACGCTCATGTTACTAGAGCATCATTGACCAAACCAGGTGGAGTGTGACTTGGGCTGAAAGTGTGCCGGTGGACTAGGTGCATGTGATAGGGTCCAGGGTTGGGACATGATGGATGTTGAGAATACTCTCAGTAGGAATGAGGGAGTTAAAAAATGTTAAAAACAGTCAGAGACACTTCACATTAACAGCTCTTAAAATTTGGACCTTGCCCATAATGCTGTGTTTCAAAGTGCAATTATAATTCTGAATGTCTGAAGAGTATGGTAGCTTGAGGAAAGAAAGAAAGAAAGTGATCTTGAAGTGTTGTCTTGTGGATGGTATGAAGGTCAGTTTTATGTGTCAGCTTCGCTTGGCTATAGCCCCAGTTAACCACTAATATAGGTGTTGTCATGAAGGTATTTTGTAGCTGTGATTAAAGTCCATAATCATTTGACATGAAGTAAGGGAGAGTGTCCTCGATAATCTAATGGGCCTGGTTCAATCAGTTGAAAGGCCTGGGAAGCAGAGCTGAGGTTTCCTGGAAGAGGAAGACGTTTCTACCTGTGGACTGAAGCTTCAGTCAGTGCCTGAGAATTCCAGCCTGCCCTTCCTGATGGCCTGCTGTATAGATTTTGGACCTGCCTAGCCAGCCCCACTGTCACATAAGCAGTCCTTTCCAATAAATCTCCTAGTCCTTTCCAATATTATCTCCTAGTGTTTCTGTTTCTCTGATTGAATCCTGACTGATGGAGAAGGGATGGGATAGGGAGAAAGTCTGTAAGCTTCTACCCTCTCCTGCTCATATCGTAATTGTGGCACTTAAAAAAAAACAGGTGAAAAGATGGATGTAATTCAGGTTTGAGATGGAAAGAATAGAAGATAGATGAATGGATGGATGGGGAAGTGAAAGAGTGAGTAAGTGTGTGAGTAGATGGTTCCATACACTAAATAGGAATAAATTCTCTCTAAAATAGGAAGAAAAAACTGTTATCTACAAGTCTTTTGTGGGTGAGATAAATGCTAAAGAGTACTTCTGAAACCTAAAGTTATTGGTAAATATAAAATATGTGTTTACTATTTTAAGCATCAACTTAAAATATGAAACTATGAGAAACATTTTCAGTTGGTGTTGCCTAGAGCTGTTCTGTGCACTCAGCTTTCCAACATTAAGCAAGATGTGAGGACATGCTCTGGTGGAAATGTTGGCCTCTTGCTTAGTAGATATAAGAATGGTGGACTTGGTTCAGGACTTGAGTTGAACAGGAATCCTTTCCACTTTTCTCTCTCATGCCTTTTGCTCTTCCCTGGAGGTGGAGGAGAGAAGTGGAGTAGAACTCAGTTTTGCTTAGCAAATGTTTCCAGAGTGGCTCTTGTGAGCAGGTGAGCCTGATAGGCAATAGAAGGACCTCAAATACCACACAGAAAAGGTGGAAATTGTTCCTTGCTATTCCATCAACCAAACCTTGACTTAATTCATTTCATTAGGAAAGTTCAAGAAGGTTTTAAATTTCAGACTCAAAAGTCTGCACCATCTCTGTAGAAACAGTGAAGTATTGCCTCCATCAGAGAGCCCCTCTGATAGTTTATAGGTGTGTCAGATCAGATGAAGCAAATACATATGAGAGAAGATCCCACACTGTGTGTTGACTCCCTGCCCCAGGGTCTCATACCACCACGGGGCCGTCTCTGTAAGGATGTGGGAGAATTTTCCTACACAAAGATAAGCAGAAGCCCTGCTTCTGTCTGATACCTGCCCACTGCTGGTGCTATGATTTGTCTGGACCACAGGATGACATGGCACAAGTTTCTGTGAACAAGCTAAGGAAACCCGTTGGAGAGAAAGTATCCTAAAGGAAGAAGGAGGCTGGGCCCAGTGGCTCATGCCTGTAATCCCAGCACTTTGGGACAGCAAGGTGGGCAGACTGCTTGAGCCCAGTAGTTTGAGACCAGCCTGGGCAACCTGGTGAAACCTTGTCTCTACAAAAAATAAGAAAATTAGCTGAGTGTGATGGTGCGTGCCTGTAATCCCAGCTACTTAGGAGGCTGAAGCAGGAGGATCACTTGAGCCTTGGGAGGCGGAGGTTGCAGTGAGCCGAGATCATGCCATTGCACTCCAGTCTGGACGACAGAGTGAGACTCTGTCTCAAAAAAACAAAAACAAACAAACAGAGAAGGAGCTGGATATGTTGAACTGGCTGAGTCACAGCTTTAATCATCAGAGGAGTGCAGTGACACTAAGGACAGTGTATGGTCCATTGCTGGATTTGGATATTCTGTGGAACCTAAGCAGAGAGAGAATTAGTGGTAGGACCTGCAAGAGCTGTCCTGCTGAAAACTATAAATATCAGAAAGTATGGCTTTAGCAAGAATTACTGAAATGGGAGGGGAGAATTCAACTTCCATTTGCCATAAACCAAGCAGCTATAGCATCGTGGAAAGCCAGGGTGCTGGTGGTGATACGGCAGGGTCCCAGCTCTGGGCGAAGCATGTACTGTGCCCCGCAGGAGGGAGCTTGTTCATCAGCATACAGTAGACATGCCCTGGGACTCCGAGAAGTGCTGAGGACCTCACACATGAGACACTGCTGTTACTGTGACCCCAGCTCTACCCATAGGTGGATCTAAAGAAGGTAGGGTCACAGGAGGACTCAGAGGACTTGCTGCTTCCATCTGGTGATGAATTCTTCTGCCAAATAAAGCCTAGAGTACCATGAAGGGTCAGAAGTATTACATTGTTCATTACAATTATTTTGCTCAAACAATTTGTTAATTCTGTTATCCTATTTGTTTGTAGGTGTAGTTCAATTAAGTGCCAGCCTGCCTTGTATATAATTCTTGGTGTACGCTTGTGTTTTTGATCAAGAAAATTGAGCTATAGTCACTTTCACTTTCTTCTGTTGCTGGGCTGACTATATTCTGGAGACCTGAAATGTCCCTCCAAGGGACATTTAATGAAGGTCTCATTGCCTACTGACCTATGGGCATCAGGGAACTGGGCTGAGTTACAGTTAAGGATGGTGTATGGCTCTGTCTGCTCTTAACAGCCATTGACCAAATTGTACAGCCCCTTTATTAGAAGTTCTTGAAACCCTATGTGCACAGCAAGTTTTTCCCTCTCTCTGGTGGACCCTAAACTTCTTTATTTTTAACAGTGAATGCGACTGTGTGCCTCTTGGGGGACTTCTCCTGATGCACAGCCAAAATGTAATGTTTTGTTCACTCCTTCCTCTGAGAAGAGGACTGGATCAGCCTATGAATACTAGAAAACATGCATTTGATTTCTGCTTTCAATCATTTTTTGAGATTTATTGTTCCTGGTTGTGTACCATTAGACAGAAGTGATGGGATCAATAAAACTTGGAATTGTCTAACAAGAAAGGGCCAGTTTCTTGCTTATTATATTTGTAATAACAGAGTCCATTGGGTAGCACTCCGGTCTGTGAAAGTCAGTGAATCAATAATGCTCTTGTGGTCTGGATAATAATATACCTTGGCATGGTGTGAGTGATGCCAGCAGGTGGGCGGAGAGGCAGGGAAGGAAAGGTCTCATGCCTTTCAGGTTGACACTAAGAAAGAGGCTTCCATTCCTTTCCCTGTTCTACCACATTCTCCTAATGTGTATAAGAAATTATTCAAAGACAGCAACAGATTTCCCTCCTGACCTTTATAGTTGCTGGTTTGGAATGATTTTTGGCTGCTTGCTGGAAAAAAAAATTATTGCAGAGATGAATTGTCAGGACATCCGCTCCCCTTCCCATCAGCTTTATAAACATTTTGTACTGGAGGCAGTGTGTGTGTGCAGAAGAAACGCTATGGAAAGTGCTGTAGAAACAAGTGTGGTTTGTTGGCTACCAAATCTCAAGGCTATGCTCACTGGTCAGAATGGTTGGTGTCCAGACCCCCAGCCCCTCAGATTCTGAGATGTCTGTGTACCAGGGTAGCACCAGGGATGGGTTTTCTCTGAGACTGTCTTTTCATGATACAGTGTAAAATGTTTCCCATGAAAGGGCAGAGCTGAAGAAGCAGTGCAAGTCCATTTGAAGACCTCTGGAAGGAAACCCCCAGCGGCTCTTTTTTCACTGAACAAGCATTGTGGGAATTTGGGGCTCGGCTGTGTAATTTGTCCTCTTCTCATTCATTCAGGTACTAGGAGAGCAGGGCAGTATGGAAAGGTGCTACTTCAAGGGAAAGGCTTTGAGGTTATTGCAAATGGTGGGGGACTGGGGTGGAGTGGGCTACAGGTACAGTGACCAGAAGATGCTGAATTCCAAACTGTTTCCTAAAGCCTTTCTTCTGGACTCGACAGTTTTCAAATCTAAAGAACATATTGTGTTGTTTGCAAAGGAAATATTGTAATGGCTTCTTAGTTCATCCAGGAAAAGAGTCTGTCACTAATGGGCATTTTGTAAAATGAAATCCTTCTAGGGAGAAGGATAACTGGTCAGATTTGAAGGTTAAAAAAAAAGGTCTTGACACTGATCTCGGTTTGCAGAGAAACAAGAAATTCTGTCTGACTTCTTTTCAGTGGGAGCTAAAATTTTAACCACCCCGATTGCACTCACTTATATGAAAACGTTAATGTTAAACAAATAGGCAGGGATTTCTTTTATTATTATTTATAGAGGAGAATTTTGCCATCAGGAAACATGTTGGCTAATCTGCTTTGGCCAAATTCTCCTTAGAGACAGTGATTAATAGAAGGAATGAGTGGAAGATTAGTATACGCACAAGGCTATTCAGGAGTGGGGGTAAAATGTTAATGCGGTGACCTTTAAATCTTCATTTTTCTTTATTTCCCTGAATGCTAATTAAAGGACATGTTCAGCACCAGGAGGAATTTGCATCCAAGTCCGTCTCCCTGCTAAGTGGTATTTTGAGAATTCCGAAGCTTAGTCTCAGAGAAGAGCTGACCTGAACTTGCCGAGGCTCCCACTGCATTGTAGCTTTTCTCTGGAGAACAAAAACTGCCATTGTCCAGCAGCTCATTAGCATGACTGTACAGCCTCCGGAGTTAGCAAGGTAATTAGTTTTAGAGGTAAGTGGAGATGGGGGGAAGTTCGAAGCGCAGCATGTTTATCGAATGCTGTCCCCTGGACAACAGAGCCACTGCCTGCTTGTTAAAGAGACCTGAATTATTGCCTGCCCAGAGCTCCCAGACCCTTGAAAGAAGCAATGTGGTAATTGGGGCCTTCCTTGAAGCAAAGGGCAAAGGTAAATTTGTAATTTAGGCAATAACCTTTAGAGTGATGCCAAGGGATGCTGTCCAGAAAACATTGCCTTCATGCAGGGAGGGCAATAGACTGAAGTGCATGCTGAGTTTGGGTTGGGAATTCCTATTATCTGGGAGGAAGAAGAAACAGCTCAGATTGAATTAAAAGGAATTAGAGTTGTTAGGGAGGAAAAACTTTTGGGACTAATTTTTATAAGGGGAGCTTTGTATCAGGCATATCCTTTTCATAATGAAACTACAAGGCAGTAACATTTAAGCAAAAGTTGGATAGACATTTAAGCCTGTGTCTTCAGCTGTACTCTTCTGTAAAATGGGCATATTCTACTACCTACCTGCCAAGGTTATTCGGAGGTTTAAAGAAATTAATGTTAAAAAGTACATAGTAAAATACACATAAGTGTTTTTTATTATTATCATCATTGTTACTTATCCGTAAGCAATGTACTAGACTATGTACTAGACTATGGGGTCTAGTACATTGGGTTTGGGTAGGAGATTGAACTAAATGACCTCAAGACCCCCCTTAGCTCTTGGGTCCTATGACCCAGTAGATTAGTGGTAGAAGTATTTTGTGCCACAGATCCCTTGGGAGAGTTTTTATTTAAGGCGCACCTATTTTTTTGAGTCCCAACAGATATCTATGGAATAGTGGTTACGTCTCTACTTTTCTTGACCCACTTACAGAAATAGGTATTTATTTATTATTTATTTATGCCCTGCTTTGTTCCTAAAATATTTTAGGCAACACATTTAAAGTAACTTTGAATACGCTTTGGAACATGTACTGAATTAAACTCTTTAGTCTTGCCTCTTGTTGAAGCATAGATTTAAAAAAAGGATTTAAAGCCATCACTAACTATATTGGTAGACTGTGGTGACTAAAGCTACTATTCTTCTTTTTTTCTTTCCCTTCCTTTCTTTCCTTCTTTCTTTCTTTTTTTTTTTTTTTTTGACAAGATCTCACTCCTGTCACCCAGGTTGGAGTGCAATGGCACTATCACAGCTCACTGCAGCCTTGACCTCCCTAGGCCCAGGTAATTCTTCCATCTCAGCCTCTTGAGTAGCTGGGACTACAGGTGTGTACCACGACGTCTGGCTAATTTTAAAATTTTTTTTATAGAGACAGGTTTTGCCATGTTGCTCAGGCTGGTCTTGAACTCCTGGGCTCAAGCAATCACCCACCTCAGACTCCCAAAGCACTGGGATTACAGGTGTGAGCCACTATCTCCAAAAGCTATTTCTAGTACTGAAGACCTACTCCCTCGATAAGCCAGTCCTCTTCTCTGCTGACTGCCCCCTCTGTATGTCCCATTCATCCACTTCACGGAGTCATCAGGAAATCCCACCAGCACTAGCAGCACTAGAGACTGGCCCAGAAAGGGGATCGCAGGGTAAGAGCTTTGTGGTGGCTCTCTCCTACTCAGGTATAGAAGGAGAGAAGGAAGCAATAACTTAAAACCACCTCATTTTACCAAGCAGAGTCATTGGCCAGTATCTCTGCCAACTCCTATCAGAGATGATGCTGTAGATTCCTTATAGACCCTACTTTGATTTATGTTTTATTCTGGTCCCTTCCTGATGCCTGAACTGGTTTTTTTTTTTTTTTTTTTCTGGAAAAGGTTATAAAATTAAAGGAAAAATTCCATTCAAAATAGCATAAAAATAGTAATAATAAATTTAACAAAAGAATCCAAAGCCTCCACAACATTACATTTACAATGTGCAGAATCCAAGCTAAAATCATTTGACATACAAAGTGTGACCCAGCCTCACAAAAAAGACAATCAATGGAAACCTATCCCAAGATAACCTAGATTGGAATTCTCAAACAAGGAAATATCATAGCTATCCCCAATGAGATAATGGAATACGTACTTGTAATAAATGGGATTTAAAAATCATAGCAAAGAAATAGAAAATATTTTTTAAAAGTCAAATGAAAATTCTAGAATGGAAGATTACAATATCTAAAACAAGCGAAAATTATTAGATAGCCTGGATAGCAGAATAGAGATGATAGAAACGTGTCAATAAACTTGATGACAGAAAAAGAGAGAGAAAAGATTGAAAACATAAACAGAGCTTCAAGGATGTGGGGATAATGGCAAAAAAATCCAACAGATATGTAATTGGAGTTCCAGGAGAAAAAGAGAGAGAAAAATGGGACAGTAGGAATGTTTGAAGAAATTCAAACATTTCTTCAGTTGCCAAAAATTTCTCAAAATTGGTGAAAGATGTAAATTTACAAATTCAAGAAACTCAATGATCCCCAAACAGGACATAGATGAAGAAAATCATGCTTAAACACCTCTTAGTCAAACGGTTGAAATAAATCCAAATATAAACAGAAAATATTGAAAGCAGCCAGGGAAAACTGATACATTACCTAAAGGGGAAGAATGATTTAAATGACAGGAAGGTGTCTCCTTAGAAAGTCCAGAGGTCAAAAGACAGCAAAACAACGTGTTTTGCATACTTAGAAAAATAAAACCTATCAATTCTGAAGTTTACATTCAGCAAAAATATTCAAAATGAATATAAACTAAATATATTTTTGGATAAGGAAAAGTAAGAGAACTTATCAGGAGTTCTGCACTACAAAAAATGTTAAATAAATCTCTCCAAGATAAATGAAAATGATACTGGAGAGAAACTTGAATCTTAAGGAAGGAATAAAGATTACTTAAGATAATGGAACAATAGGTAAATATAAAAGACGATTTTTCCCTCTTTGTTTCTTTAAAATAAAGAGAATTATTTAAGAAAAAATAATGTTTCATGTAGGGCTATAATATATGAGGAAGAAATTCATATGACAACATGAGAATAAAGAAATAAAATATAGGATAAAAGAAAAGGGATTGGAGCCTATTTTATGTAAAATGGTACAATAATAACTTTAAGTAGTCCACAAAGTTAAGGATATATCTTGTAATCACTGCAGCAAATATTAACAGTAATTAATACTGTAATGCAAAGAGTATAAAAGTAATGCAAGGAGGTATAGCTAAAGTGCCAATAAAGTAATTAAAAGAAAAAATCTAAAACATGTTAAAATCCAAAGAAGTCAGGAAAGAGAGAACAGAAGAACAAAAAACAATCAGGCAAACAGGAAATAGATAATAAAATCGTAAATCTAAATCTAAACATATGAATAAATGTGTTCAATATTAGTGAGTTAAACACTTCACTTCAGAGGCAGAGGTTGTCAACATGGATTTTACAAAGCACTACCCAACTATATGCTGTCTATAAGAGTTGCACTTTAAAAATAAAAACAATGTAGGTTGAAGGTAAATGGCTAGAAAGTGGATATACCACACAAATTGAAAATATAAGAGACTGGAGTAGCTATATTAATATCAGAAAAAATAGATATAAAAGAACATTTCTAAATGATAAAAGTTTGTTCATCAGGAATACATAATAAACATAAATGTGTACATGCTGAATAACAGAGCTTCCAGATACATGAGGTAAAAATGGACAGAATCAACTGGATACATGTCACTATTATGGCACCATGTAATTATGGGTTTAGGCCCCATGATTCCAATTTAGGTTAGAAAGCATTTCTTAATGATTTCTATATGTTGGCTTTAGGTGATGCAAAAATAATATGACAAGATCCATGTCTTCAATGAGCTACAATCCTACTGGGACATGAGACTGTGCTTATAATATGATGAAAGAATAAGAAAATTTTAAAGGTGAGAAAAGAAGATTTTGTCTTCCTTTCATTCCCTTAGTATTGATAGGTGGGACTAAATAGCCACTTTTCATGACAATAACAGCTATAACAGGCAGAGCACAAGAACAAGCAGAGCTATAACAAGCAGAGCACAAGAAGGAAGAGTGCAGATCCAGGACTGGGACACTTAACCAATAATAATACAAATAGTGAGTACTGTTAGTTGATTTTCCAGGCTCCTCTTCTCACTTGTAATGGAATTACAAATTATTTTGTTGGTCATTGACACTAACCCCAGATTCAGAAGGAGATTTGATTAGAGTAGTGTGAGTATAATCTCATTGCTACTTCCATAGCAATTGGTTTGGGGTGAATACTGTTGGGTGACAGCAGAGGGAGATTATTTCATTTCCTGTGATCTGTGTTCAAGGAATTATGGTGTTTTAATTGCTGCTAGTAGCACTTTACTTTAGGATGAAACCTGGTACATACATGTAAAGCACTTTAAACAGTTCCTGGTGCAAAGTAAATGCTTAACATGTGTTCTTTATTGCTATGGTTTGAATGTATGTGCCCCTCCAAAATTCATTTGTTGGAACTTAAACCCCAAGGTGATGGTATTAAGAGATGGAGCCTTTGGAAGGTGACTGAGCCATAAGCGCTCTGCCCTCATTGATGGGATTAGTGCCCTCATAAAAGAGCTTGAGGAGCTAGTTCTCCCTTTTTGTCCTTTTGCCCTTCCTCTCTTTCTACCAGATGAAAACACAGCAGCAACAGGTGCCATTTTGGAAGCAAGAAGCAGAGAACAAGCTCTCACTGGGCATTAAATCTGCCGGCATCTTGATCTTGAACTTCTCAACCTCCAGAACTCTGAGAAATAAATTTCTATTATTTACAAATTACCCAGTCTAAGGTGTTTTGTTATAGCAGCTCAAACAAATTAAGATATCTGTTTATTGCTTTTGGTATGTGTTTGTGTTTTAATTTTCTTGGAAGGTAGAGCAGAGAGACAAAAATCACCAAATTTTGGTGACATGGTTGAAGCTCTGGGTCAAACCAATCTTTGAGTCCAGCCTCTGAACCTCGCATTAAAGTCCTTTATAGTTTAGATTGGTTAGGATTAGGTCTCTTGATGTTTGTTTTCACCTTGAGGGTTCCTAACTGCTACGGGGAGTCAGTGTGATTTAACTCTAAGTGAAGAAGAACAGTTTAGAGGGATGATCCTGCACATCTGCATGGTGATTGAATTTATGTCTCCTATAATTGTATATACAAAATGAAAGTTTGGACTCTACAGGACAGGAGACTTTCCCCAACTTCTACCCTCCTTTATCTTTTGCTGATTAGTATTGCAACAGGCACCTAACCAAACTCTCTGGCTCTGGGCCTGTGCTGTGTCTTCTAATCTTCACACAGCTGCCAGCATTATCTTTAAAAGACAGATCTTATTATTTTACACACAAAACAGACACACATCTCCATGCAGCATCTGCTTAAAGTGTTTCTGTGGTTCCTGATTGCTGACTGGATTTCACTCAACTTTTTAGCATGGCCCACATGGAGCTACCTCTGCCCCACCTTTTCAGTTTCAACTCTTAGGACCCTCTCCTACAAACATTGGGGTTCACTGTACCCTGAACATGTGATAGTCTTGCGTGTCTCCAAGCCTTTGCATCTGCTATTCCCCATGCATGCAAGGTCTTGCTCTTACTTTCTGTACAGGAGAACTCCTCTTCACCTTTGAAAACCCTCAACTCAAATACCAATTGGTTAAGACATATTTCTTGATGTCCCCTGACAGAACCACTAGGATGTGTATGACTTATTATAGGAATTTGACATTTCACAACTGTGGGCGCTAGTTAGTTGGTAAACAGCCTTTGGGAGGTTGTTGTGTTTATCTTGAAGGCAGGAAGTTGAAAAGGGAAAATGGAAAAGAAGAACAAATTGGGACCTGAATGGTGCCTATGAGGATGAACTGGAACCCGTGTTGGTCTGGAACCTTGGTTGGAAATCCAAGCTTTCAACTTTAATGATGCGGATGTTCTGCAAGAGAAGCTGGTGCACTTTTTCATGCTTGATATGCACCTGGCCCAGGAGTCAGAGAAGCTGAAAAACGATCCAGCAGGAGCTGGAGTCTGTGTGGGCCTTGTTGTTGCACCACCGTCCGCCTCCAGGCAAGACAACTGGTAAGCAGCTGCGTATGTGGGATTCCCAGAGCACCCCTGCCCCTACTCCAACCCTCCAGTGTAAAAGAAATGTGGCGATTTCACTTCTGCTTTCAAGTTGCCTGTAAAACAGCTCTTGTGACCTGTGGCAACCTAGAACTGTGAAGGGAAGGGGATTCTGAGAAACACAGATCCAGCTTAGCTGATCGACCCAGTACGATCCCCCATATCTTCCTTTTGTAAGAGAAATAGTTCTTTGCAGGCATGTTTCCACTATTTGGGTGTAAGTTCTTTTGATCAGAGAACTGGTCTCACTTATATTTGCATCTGAAGCACTTACCATGTAGTAGGTACTTACTCAATATTCAGTGAAACAACGGATTTTAAAAACCCATGTTCATACAAATAGCAACTTAACACTGAGTATCGTGCATGTTTCATTAATATCATTTCTTATATACACTTTGTAATGGTTGAAAAGCTAGTGTTTGGCACATGTTTGTACAACCAGCTGAACTGCATTCTGGAAAACAGATTTCCTACCATAAATGCTGGGACTGAATTTCAGGGGAGAATAAATCTATTTCATTGGTGAATTTTGGTGGGATACGACCTCTAAGGTTGACAGAATAAAGCCTTTTTTTTGGGAATGTATTGCAAAGCTTTCCAAAGAGGAGGCAAAGGTTAATTATTTTAAGCATTTAGAACTTGGCAACAAGTAGGGTGGAACAAACATACTGACTAGACATATGCTATAGAATATTCTGTAAAGATCTCTGTCTACAGTGGTTTAACAGAAAGCTGAACATATGGCAGGCTTTGTTTGTTTTTTTTCCTCTGGAATCGTCTGTCAGGACATGAGCTACCGCCTCATTATACTCACATTCCACTCCACATTTTCCATTTTTGATCTGATTTCTCAAAGCCTTCAACCACTCACTTTAAAGACATTAAAAAGATTAATTTTATCTCACCTGCAAAAGAGTTGTGGATGTTTTTGGGAGATGCTTTTAAAGAGCAAGGAATATGGACTTCATATCTTGGCTCTCAGACTCTGCATTATACCAAGCAAACGTGTTTTCTTAGAAAGGTGATGATTTATCATCCTACTAAAGAGAGAGAGGCTAGGAGAGAATGGTGGGAACTATTAGGATCAAATTTTTGTTGTTGTTGTTGTTTTTGAGACGGAGTCTCACTGTGTCACCCAGGCTGGAGTGCAGTGGCACAATCTCGGCTCACTGCAAGCTCTGCCTCCCGGGTTCACGCCATTCTCCTGTCTCAGCCTCCCGAATAGCTGGGACCACAGGCACATGCTGCCACGCCCAGCTAATTTTTTGTATTTTTAGTAAAGATGGGGTTTCACCGTGTTAGCCAGGATGGAGGATCAAACTTTTTTGCTTTGTTGAGCACCTACTATGTGTGAGGCACGTCTCAACAGAACAATGTTTCTCTAAGTGTAGCCCGCTGATAGCTTTCAAGGGTGAGGTGAAAACCAGTTCAAAAGAACAAGTCTTTTCTTTGGATCATATATGCAAATGATTGCATAATTTTACAGATTTTTGTTTTTACTTACAACTAATGTCTAGTAACTTACAAACTGAAGTATTAAAGCTTACTGAAATTTGATATTCATAAATTAACACATTAGGACAGCCAACTAAGGCATAATAGCTATGCTGTTAAAATGACTTACTTATTTGGAAAAGTTCCTATTGGGCATAGAACCTTTTTATAGATTACTGGAATTCTTGAAACTTGTGAGAAAGAATGCATCCTTATCAGCACAGAATATGAGTTTTGCTTTGGATGATTGTGGCTTTTCATTGCTGTTCTACCATTAATCAACTTCTATTTGTAGCTCTTACTTCTGTTCAAAGCTTGTTTTGTGTGTGTGCAATGCTGCACGGTAGTTTTTGGGTTTCTATTTAGTTTCTCTTCAGTTCTTGTGATCATCGAGTTCCTTCTCCACTGAAAATTGGGAATAGGTGATGTTAGTGGCTCACACAGTCTTTTGCCTTGCTTAAGGGGGCCTCACTCAAGTTAGCATTCACTGGCACAGAGAGACTACAATATTATAGAATAATCAGAGGACAGACAGCGAGACACGTGGCACTGTCAGGGGGTCAGTTTATTTTTATGGTAATCATCTGTGTTGATGCTTTTCCATCTAGTAATTATTTTTAAGACCAATGTTGGTAGTAAATTAGTTTTCCCGATGAGGTAGCCTTCAGCATCTGCCCTCAAGCTCCAGGGGAGGCAGGCAACAGACTGGCCTTCAGCATCTTGTCTCACACCAGGAGTGAGAGCTGAATGACTGGCCCAGAGTAATAAATGCACTGTCACGCTTTGCCGCTTAAATATTCTATAACTTTTAAGCTCTATTAAAGGAAGTGATGTCAAGAGTATTTAGTGGAGATAGCTTCTAGCAATGGCTTTTTATTAAGAAAGATGACACCAATCATATAACTGATGATGGAGTGAAATAAGATATTACCTCGCTGAAGATGGGCTTATTATTTCAGCCCCTGGAATGGTTGGCTGTTGTTAGAAATGATTGGGCAAAAGAGGGCAGGAGAATTTACAGGCGTGACTCAACCAAAATGTTTGCATCTGGGTTTCCTTAGTGGGGAGACACTGATGGAGGAAATGATCTGTGACTAGCACAGTTTTTATTTTAGTAAATGCCAGTCTTTACCATTTCTGAAGGAAGCAGATCCACTACTCCTGAAAAAAAGTGCATCCTTTCTCTCCAGCTTTCTTATGTGCTGGCTGATGGGAAAGATCTTTACATTTCTCAGTCTCCTTTCCAGGAAGGGATTCTGTGACTTGCATTTAGTGAGTGCAAGACTGACTTATCCATTAACGTAGGAGGCATACTGCCCAGGGCCCACAAGACTTTTAGGGGTCCACGAAGATGTTTTAATTTCTTTTAAAATCAGAAGAAAAAAATTAACTTTTAGGTTAAAGAAAATGTTTTTATATATAATATGAGTATATCCAGCTTCATCCCAGCTCAGTTGTTAAATTGAATTTTAAATTTTTTTTTTTTTTAATGGAGGAAGAGGCCCACAAAGACAGAAGTGCCTAGGGGCCCCACAAATAACACAATGCAGACCTAAAGGCTTATGGATTGCTGGGAAAATAATGTTTGGGTGCTTCAGTGTATTTCTGTGGGGACTCGGTGAAGCTCATGCCAGGGTACACTGCAAGAAATGTCAAGCAGCAGGCAAATGACACTGCACAGCGAGCTAGGAAGCCTGCGCTCACATCTTACCTCTGTCATATCTGCTTTCGGAACACTGAAAAATTCACCTGGCCTCCTGGGCTTTATTTCCTCACCCCTAAAAAGAAGGGTTTGAATTCAATTTCCAGGATATTTCTAGTTCAGAAATTCTTGTATTCTAATCCAGAACAGGGAGCAAGGGGCTGAAGTGTCTTGTAAAAAATTTTAGCCAGATGGTAAAAGTAACATTTATTTGTTACTTCCTGAGCTCATAGTAGGTGCTCAATAAACCATTCTTGAATAAAGAACTTGGATGGTGCTGGGTGCCTGCAAAATATTCTGCTCTCTGAATCTCTAAACACAGGGTAGAAGTGTAACTCTCTAGGAGATGCAGAAGGCAGACAACTGGCTGTGTATTCCCATGGCCCTTTCTAAACCCATGATTCCTTCTTGTTGAGAAAACTTGAGCTCTTATTTCCCAGCCAGGTTTAAAGACATTTGTAAGCTGACAGTCTGTTGTTGGATTTTAAACTAAGTTGGCAATAGGATTGGCTGTCCCCAAGCTATGAGTCCAGCTTGCCCTCCCCAAATGACAATATCCGTGGTGGGGTTGCCCCACTACTCAGCTCAGGCATCTTCTGTCCACCGAGTGCTTGTATGTCTGAGCTCTGGCAGTCTTCTGCTACTGGGAGTTGTGGCCTGGGTAGGGCTGAAGGTTAGCTGATCCCTGGCTTTTTTTTTCCCCAGAACCCTAAAAGAAAGACAGATATAGTGACAAGAAGGGTTGTCTCTGACCGCAACAGCCCCCTACACCCCCTTTGCCACCCACCGAGGTCATAAAAGTTGAGTGGTTGCCAGTGGAAGCTCAGAAGCCCTCCCTTCCAGATTCCTGAAAACTAATCTCCAAGAACTCTAGAAGCAGATGTGAGATTTTAAATTATCTTTATTAAAATGCCATTGATAATTGCACAGTAGGTAAAATGGACATAGGTCTTATTCTCTAAGACCATACAGATCCCAAAGGAAAACATCAACTAAGACAGAAAGCTGATGAGAATGAGTTCATTAAAATATGATTGTAATGTTGCCTTAGAAGAAAGTAACAGCATTGAAATTCTGGACCTTCTTCAGGAAAAATGCTGCAAAAAGACATGACCCATATGGCCTCAACTGTAAGGCATGTTGGGATCTCAAAGGGGAGCTGATAGGGCAAGGAGAGAGCCCAAAATTGGTGTGACCTTGGGCTAAGGACAGATTTTAGGGCTTTTCTTCTCAGACAGGATTGTCTGGTTGTTTCAGCAGAATTAGAATTATACTCTCTCCATCTCTGAAAGCTATTATTAGTGTGAGAGAAACTCTGAGCCATGCCTTCACTTGGTTAACATGCACACATAGACAAGAGACTATATTATCTCCGTTTTACACATGAGGGTGAAGCTGAGGGTCAAAACTCAGTGCATAGAATTCCACTCCACTCACCTGGAATGGTGCCCAGGATCTTGCCTTCCGGTTTGGTATTGCATCTGTTTTGACAAGGGCAGATACAGATGAAGGTTGGTCCACTGGGGAGGGAGCCGCCTGGTTCTAAATTCTATACCTTGATTGATTACCCAGAGAAGATTCAGAAATTGCTGGCAGTAACTTTCTTCTCAATCTCAAGCATGTTTTGCATGGAAAATGAATCATCTTGCCTTTTTAGTGCAAACACAGGGAAAACTCATAAATGATGTGTCTGCTCTTCTTTCATGGCCATAATTCCTGTTTTTATTTTGAACTTTTAAAAAACACTTCTTAATATGGTGTACTATAAACAAATGATTTTATGCTATCATTTGCCAGATATATATTTAATTATGTGATTGATCCTGAAAAATATAAAGCCAATTTGGATATTAATGAGAAGACACTGGTCCCTTTTATCCCTCAATGCACACATTTTCAAATTACTCCTCATCTCTGAGCCTTTGCATCTCTCAAGTTCAATTTTACCCATTTTGCTGTTTCTTTTAAGTCCTGATTAGATAGGGTGGCATTCTGACTTCTGTGGCTGCCTTCGGTCAATATTTGGTTCTGTTTTCTACTTCGTCGTCTCCCATCCTCGGAAGATTCTTTAAACAATAGGCAGGCCGGCTTTCTATCAGTGATTTCTGTTAGACTCTGATCAAAGCAATGACCCTTGTTTATCATTTCTGAATATTATACAAATTTGCAGAAATGACAAAGTAAGAGGAAGCAAGGCATATAACATAATGGGAAATGAAAACAGACCATGGAATGAAGTATTGCGGCGTTAATAACAGCAGCAGACATACCGGAAATTTGTACTATAAGTGAGCATACTAAATAAATATATCTGAAGACATTTGAAATATATAAATATTGTCTTCTTATTGCCAGTGTTTGGTTCACCATTCCTTCTTGATCTTCAGTGAATGCTAACAGTGGGAGTGTGAAGAAGCCAGAATTTAGTGTCGAAGGGCCAGATACTGTCCTGGACACTTTACTTACTGTAGTTCATCTATTTCCATGGTTACCTCCAGAGTCAGGTAATTCTATTACCATTTTCCAGATAAAGAAATTGAGGGTCAGAGATATTAGGTTAACTTATTTGAAGTCACACTATTAGGAAATGAAAGAACTATTTACTGAAGTCAGTTTTATTCAGAAACCGACGCTCTTTTCCCCACCACTCTTTACTACTTTCAGGAGAAAAATGGTCTGGCAAAATATACAGATTCATTCAGTAATAACTGTATTGGCTCCCTGAATTATTACACTAATATGATTATATTTTATTATAATATACTATACATTGTAAATGGTATATTGCAATATATATTATTACATACATAACAATTCTTTTATTATTATATAAATATTATTGTTTATTACCAAATGCCATTGTGAGGGTCAGAGGTCAATCAGGCATGGGTTCTATCATTAATGAAATGTCCATAGCTATAGGAGCAACATGACAGAGCTACAAATAACTACAATGCAAGGTCAAGCATATGCTCTGGGAGGTCAGAGTATGGAAAGCTTCTGACTAGGAAGGTTGGGGAAGTGCTAGAAGGTGATTTTTGAGATGGGCTCTGCAATATGGGTTATATTCACACTTATGGAAATGAGAAAGAGGGCATTCCAGGCAAGGGAAATGGTTTGAGAAACAGAAAAGAAAACTACACTTTGGTGGATATCCACCGGGTGCCAGAATTTTGCATATGTTATGTCACTTAATTCTTATAAGAGCCCCATGGAGTGGTATTGTTGTTTGTCCCATAACCACCTTGAACTCAAAATGTCCAAGCTGAACTCATCACTTCTTTCTGCCTCCTCTGGCTCCAGCTCCCTTGTGTCCTGTGTGTCTGTCTCAGTTAATAGCATCACTGTCCATTCTGTTGCCCAAACTTGAGTCCTGCTCATGATTCTTGCCTCTCCCCACTCCGCCCATCAGCATCATCCAGCCCTGTTGATCCCAACCTCTAAACATCCCTGGAGTCCACCCACTTTCCTGGTGCCTGGCTGCCTTGTCCCTGGTCCAGGCCACATGATCTTTCATGCACTATTGCAACCACCTTCTGCTAGCTGGCATTGCTGCTCCTGGTCTTACCCTCCCACCCATTCTCATCCAATCCATTCCCCACACAGCAGCCAGAGAGATCCTTGTAGGATGCAAACTGGGTCACATTCTTCTGATTAAGACCCTGTGATTGCTCTTCATTTCCCTTCAAATAAAGTCCAAATTCTTGAACAAAGCTTAAAAAGCCTTCATAATCCAACCTCTGCTTCCTTCTCCAGCCTCATTTGGGACCATTCTCCATTGCACCTCCAGCCTCCAGTTACTCAAAGTCTTTCAGTTCTCTCCTCTGTACCTCCCTCTGACTGCCCACCACTCACTGGACCAGCACCCAGATTGAGCAACTCCCCTATCCCTCCACTCCAACCCAGAGGGTGAGCTGCAGAGCTACAAGAACTAAGTCTCTTTGTTCACCAATAAGTATTTTTTAAATGAATGCATTGATTTTAAAAACTGGGGCTCAGAGGGCTTTAGTTACTTTTCTGAGGTAAAACAGTTAGTTAAGGGCAGAGTTGGGGATCTGAACAAATCTGTCTGTATCCAAATCTAATGCTTTTCTCATAGCATCATGGTGTCTGTCATACATGGGTAAGTGGGAGGCACTCAGGAATTCACTTTGCCTAGATCACAGCATGCATATAAGAGAGGACTAGGAAACAAAATGGGAAATCATATTGCAGGCCTAATCATATTGTATATGGCCTTGTGCCCTAGGGTAAGGAATTAGGACTTTATTCCACAGACTCTGGGGAATCATGGATGATTTGGGGCAAGAAGTGACAAGAGCAGAGTAATTAGGTTTCCTTATGCCTTCCAAAAGTGAAAGAGAGGGCAGAGGAACAGAAGAAGAATTTGGGGCTTTTTGCCATGACCTTCACTTATAAAATAACACCACTTACCTTGTATGACTTTTGTGAAAATGAAAATAAATATGCAGGTAAAAATGCTGTGTAGCCATCTTCCTCTTAATACATGTCACTGTGGTTTTCTTTCTCTTAATGTTTGTTAAAGGGGACGCAGACATTTGTAGCTGCTTCTAGAAGACACTGAGTGGACCCTTTGGGAAGTCACTCTCTGGAGGTGGTGCTGAGAATGTAAATGAAGCTTTCCGGCTCCTGGGAAGTTATAGACTTGTTCTTGGAGGCAAGAGAAGCCACAGACTGGAGCAGCTGAAAATTTCCCAAGTGATAGACTGGGGCAAGGGACAGGCAAGGTGGAAGGTACAGCTGTAATGAGAGATGCCCCAGGAGGAACAGTTGCCAGAAGACACTGCTGGCAGCCCCTGTGAAGGGGAGCAGCTGGAAACCAGCATTGGGAGCAGCATGGAACAGCATGAAGAGGGGGCTCTGGCTTGGGCTGGCCCCAGCCTGATTTTCCCTGGGGGGAGGGGAGGGCTGTGCTAATTATCTGCTCAATATCAAGACGGCACCTGGAAATAAATATTTTGTTGTAAATAATAATGATAACTATTTTCATTATTATTCCATTGACTGAAGAGAGGAAAAGACAAATCCAAAGCCCACCAAGTCTGTCTGTGAAATTGCACCTGAAAAAGGTGGTAGATATAATTCCCATCCAGTTAAGGCACAAATTAGCCTGTAAGAACAGCTCCCTCAGCCCAGAGAGTTTTGCAGGTGGTCATGAAAGTGAACTTGGGACTTAGGTTATCCAAGGAAGGCCTGCTGAAAGGATGATTTTTATGTACTTTTCTTTGGAATCACTGTTTGGAAAAGGGCGTAGTGGTGTAGCAGGACAAGCTGCAGACAAAACCCCTCAGACACTGAGTTGAAGGAAGGGCTTTATTCAGCCGGGAGCTTCGGCAAGACTCACGTCTCCAACAACCGAGCTCCCCGAGTGAGCAATTCCTGTCCCTCTTAAGGGCTTACAACTCTAAGGGGGTCCGCGTGAGAGGGTTGTGATCGATTGAGCAAGCAGCGGGTATGTGACTGGGGGCTGCATGCACCGGTAATCAGAACGGAACAGAACAGGACAGGGATTTTCACAGTGCTTTTCCATGCAATGTCTGTAATCTATAGATAACATAACCGATTAGGTCAGGGGTCGATCTTTAACTACCAGGCCCAGGGTGCGGTGCCGGGCTGTCTGCCTGTGGATTTCATTTCTGCCTTTTAGATTTTACTTCTTCTTTCTTTGGAGGCAGAAATTGGGCATAAGACAATAGGAGGGGTGGTCTCCTCCCTTAGTGGAATGTGCAAGATAGGAGTTATTGTAGAAGCCCCAGTGGCCTGGGTCAAGGCCTGGACTTGAGAGGAATGCTTGCAGGTTTTCTGCCACCTTTAACAGGTTACATTTCCAATTGGCATTAAGAACTGCATACAAACTTAGAGAAACCAACTTTCAGGAACAGGAGATTAATTTTCTCTTCTTGCCTTCCCTAGCACAATAATGCATTCTGCAAATACCTGGTGGGTTAATTGACTGGAACCCTCTAAACTGCATTTCCTATGGCTCAGCTCTGGGCTACAGGTCTTCCTGGGAAATTATTAAGCAGGTGAGGTAGAAATGTACGGAAGTAGAGGTCAAACGTTCTGAGTTCTTTTCTCAGCTCTTCTAAGAATAAACTGATATAAATGATGTCTACAACTGACCAGTTTTCCCTATGGCACTCAACGGTTTTTTTTTTCTCACATCTTGGCAATGAATATGACTCATCCAGTGTAACAGGTCCTCATAAGTAAAAGCTGAACATATAATTTTGACCAAAACTCGTGTAATTTTTCAAAGAATTAAGTTTAATTCATTAGCAGGGAGAAAATGTTGTATGTGGGTGCCACAGGCTAGATTTTCTTAAGTTACCTATGAAAAGATGATATAAATGGAGCTGATTTAAAATTACCTATATCTGAGAACATCCCAAACAAACGTTGGTTTAAAATGATTCTTTCAGTTGAATTGGACTCTTTTGCAAGTACAACTGAGAGAACTGCCCTTTAATTTGGATCTAGTTTAAATTATTTAATGAATCCCCTTTCTCACTTAATTGGACATTAGGTTTAAGAATGAATGAAAGTGCTTCATGTGCCACATAATAGCTAAACACTGTCTGGCAAGCAGCAAAACCAGCTGACATTCTTGAAGAGATGGATCAGTGGTCTGGTCTCAACCTCAGGCCTGGGAAAGCCATTAACCAAACAACTTAAGTTTCATTTTTAATTTAATGCACTGTGTTTAATGCAAAATGTATGGGCATCTTGCGAGGCAGTGTGCTCAATTGTGGGGAATGGCTGTCATCCCAGTGGGTTTATCTTGCAGGCTTGTGGGGCTGCTGTTATTTCCTGGTGGGTGTCTAAGGGAGGAGGCAGGAGAATGCAGAGAATGTGGGGAAATGAAGACTTATGAAGCAGTCCTTTGATTAGATTCGAACAGGCTTCTTTATCCTGTGTGTGTTAGGCTCTGGTGTGCCCTGAAGGAGACTGTGAGTGAGGCTGTGGGTGAAATGCCACACTGGTCCTTGCTGGCTTTGAGACTGCTGGGTCATTGCAGGAATCCAGGAAACAGAATTCAACAGACTGCTGTGAGACACTGATAAAGTTATAGAAATGCCACCCTGAGAAAGGGAGAAAACAGGAGTTCAGAAGGAAATCCACTCTGGATGCTCACCAGGACCACTTTCCAGAGTCTCTGCCCTCACCCAGCACATATTTCCTGGGTGCCTACTATGTGCCAAGCACCAGGCTAAGGTCCTTGGCCTGCAAAATCTTAGTTTTGGTAGATATAATTCCTATCCAGTTAATTAAGGCCACGTTAAAATTTGTAAGTCTTAAGATACACAGAACATTCAGTGGAGACATGAGGAACAGTGTGACTAAATATTGGGGACATCAACTTAACTCATTGCAGCAAACATATGTCACATACCTGTAACATGTTAAGCTCTGTGCAAGGTGCCAATGACAGGCAAAGCAAGAGCAGACCTTACCTGCATGGGCCAGAAAGGGCTTGGAGGAAGTTTACATGTTTAGATTAGAGACATAACTTGAGTCCCATTATGGAGGAAGACCCAGAGACTTGGGAAAATGTAGAATGCTGAGATAATCACAGGAAATTCTGAGAGAGAGAGGGAGAAAGAGATAAGTAGAGAGAGATTAGGTAGACAGATGGCAGTAAGGAAGTTTCAGGCAACAATGCAGGAATAGAAGGATGTTTGAGGCCATCTTTGTAGCTTTCTTTGTAGTGCTATGCCACTGAGTTTTGGTTTTTATCTTGTAGGAGCTGGAAGCCAATGTAAGGTTCAAACAGGGGGATAACTTGAGCACATCCACATTCTAAAACAATTACTCTGGCACTCAAAA